>NW_011332701.1:358759-717518 GCF_000001405.40 Homo sapiens
GATAGAGATTAGAGCAGCCATAAATTAAATAGAGAATAGAAAAATAACAAAACCAAAAGTTTGGTTTCTGACAAGAACAAAAAATCTGACAAATTTTTGGTAAATTAAGAAAAAAAGAGGCCAGTCAAGGTGGCTCACGCCTGTAATCCCAGCACTTTGGGGAGCTGAGGTGGGCGGATCGCGAGGTCAAGAGATCGAGACCATCCTGGTCAACACGGTGAAACCCCGTCTCCACTAAAAATACAAAAAAATTAGCTGGGCGTGGTGGCGCGTGCCTGTAGTCCCAGCTACTCGGGAGGCTGAGGCAGGAGAATCACTTGAACCCGGGAGGCAGAGGTTACAGTGAGCCGAGACTGTGCCACTGCACTCTGGCCTGGCAAGAGAGCAAGACTCCGTCTCAAAAAAAAAAAAAAAAAAAGAAAGAAAAAAAAGAAGATGCAAATAACTAACATCAGAAATGTAAGTGGAGACAGTACTACCAACTTAAAATAAAAAAGATTATAAAAGAACACTGTGAACTACTGTATGCCAACAAATAAAATAGCCTAGATAAAATGGACACATTCCTAAAAACATAAATTACCCGAACTGACTCAAGAAGAAATAGAAAATCTGAATAGACCCGTAACAAGTAAAGAGATTGAATCAGTAATTAAAAATCTTTCAACAAAGAAAAGCTTAGCTGGTCAACTCTACCAAAGATTTAAAGCAGAATTGACACCAATCCTCAAACTCTTCTAAAAACAGAATATATGGGAACACTACCCAGTTCATTCTATGAGGCCATTATTACCCTGATAACTGTAAAACAATAAAATACTGCTGAAAGAAATTAAAGAGGACAGAAATAAATGGAAAGACATTCCACATTCAGAGAATGGATGTTAACATTGTTAAGATGGCACTATTCCCCAAAACAATCTACAGATTCAATCCCTAGCAAAAATCCCAATGGTCTTTTTTGCAGATATGGAAAAGCCAGCCTTGAAGTTCATGTGAAAATGCAAGGGACCCAAAGTAGCCAAAATCATCTTGAGAAAGAAAACACACTTCTCAATTTTAAAACAGTACAAAACTACAATGTTCAAAACAGGGGGTACCTGCACAATTATCAACATATAGAATGTGATAATGTAATTGAGAGTCCAGAAATAAACCTAAATATCCACAGCCAACTGATTTTTGCCAAGGGTACCCAGAACTTCAGGGAAAGAACAGTCCTCAACAAGTGGTATTGAAACAATCAGATCATCAAAAAAAACAGGTTGGACTCTTACCTCACACTGT
Source organism: Homo sapiens (assembly GCF_000001405.40). NCBI lineage: Eukaryota > Metazoa > Chordata > Mammalia > Primates > Hominidae > Homo > Homo sapiens. The sequence goes on from NW_011332701.1 coordinate 360,047, forward strand.
GTAAAAGAAATTACCTAAAAATGGACCAAAGATCTAAATACAAGAGCTGAAACTATAAAACTTACAGAAGAAAACATGAGGATAATCTTCATCAACCTTGTATTTGGAAATGGCTTTTTGGATACGATATCAAAAGCATAGACGACAAAAGAGAAACAGATAAATTGAACTTCATCAAAATAAAAAACTTCTCTATCAAAGGAAATACAATCCAGAGAACAGGAGAAAATACCCTCAAATGATATACCTGATAAAGGTCTACAGATCTGTGAAGGTCTAGTATACACGAAATTTTTAAAGAGTCTGAGGACTGGTGTTAATTCTTCTTTAAAGGTTTGGTACACTTATATAGTGCATTTATTGGTACAACAACAAGGTGATGACAACCCTATTTAAAAAGGAGAAACGGGCTGGGCGCAGTGGCTCACGCCTGTTATCCCAGTACTTTGGGAGGCCAAGGCAGGCAGATCACCTGAGGTCAGGAGTTCCAGACCAGCCTGGCCAACATGGCTAAACCCCATCTCTACTAAAAATATAAAAATTAGCCAGGTGTGGTGGTGTGTGACTGTAATCCCAGCTACTCGGGAGGCTGAGGCATGAGAAGCGCTTGAACCCGGGAGGCGGAGGTTGCAGTGAGCTGAGATCGTGCCACTGTGCTCCAGCCTAGGCGACGGAGTGAGACTCCGTCTCAAAAAAAAGTAAAATAAACAATAAAGAGAAAGGGACTTGAATAGACACTTCTCCAAAGAAGATACACAAATGGCCAACAAGCACAAACATGTAAAGAAGCTCAATGTCATTCATCATTAGTGAAATGCAAATCAAAATCACAATGAGACACCACTTCACACCCACTACGATGGCCTTCATCCAAAAAAAAAAAGAAAAAAAAAAAAAACACAAAAAATAGTGTTGGCAGGGAAGCAGAGAAACTGGAACCCTGGAATCCTGCCCACTGGTGGTGGGAATGTAAAAATGATATGGCACTGTGGAAAACTTTGGTAGTTTCTCAGTAAGTTACACATAGTTGTACCATATGACCCTGTAATTCCAGTCCTAGGTGTATAATCAAAAGAACTAGAAACAAGCATTCAAACAAGTATTTGTATATAAATGTTCCTAGCAGCACTATTCACAAAAGTCAAAAGGCAAAACCAACCCAAATGTCCATCAACAGATAAATGAACAAAATGTTATATATTCATACAATGAAATCTTTTTCAGCCATAAAAATAAAGTACTGATATATACCAAATGAAATAACCCAGACACAAAGGCCACAAATGGTATGATTCCATTTATATGAAATATCCAGGATATGCAAATCCATAGACAGGGAAAGCAGATTTGTGACTACCAGGGGCTGGAGGGCAGAGGAGTGAGGACTGATGGCTAAATGGTGTGCATTTATAGTGATGAAAAAGTTCTACAACTAGACAGTGGTGATGACTCTAGAAAATCGTAAATGTATTTGATACCGCTGAATTGTGACGTTAAAATGGTACACTTCCTATTTGTGTCTTACCATAATTTACAAAAAGCTTTAAAAAAAAAAAAAAAGAAAAGAAAAGAAAAGAAATCAAAGCAAAATCTTGACATTTTCCCAAAGGCGCTCAAGCGGGTGCAGACCTACCAATCAGGCGCAGTGCCGTCTGCGTGAGGGCCAGCATGCCGGAATTGAGCAGAAGGTCGAGGTTGTTTGCGCCGTGCTGCAGGGTGAGCATGCTGAGCATCACCAGGAGGAAGCGGGCTTGCGGGATGGTCCCCAGGCTCGGTCCTGACGGGTTCTCATTGGTGATGGTTTGCAGGGGAACCGGCTGGATACCTAATGAGCATTGGCACCTACTGACATTTCTTGTGATGGATACAAGAATAAACGTAACGCAGAAAGCACGGGCGATTACTCTAAACATCTGACTATTTTGAAACCCACTGACATTTCTTCTGCATGGATGCAAGAATAAACGTAACGCAGAAAGCACGGGCGATTACTCTAAACATCTGACTAATAAACATTGACACCCACCTACATTTCTTGTGCATGGATACAAGAATAAACGTAATGCAGAAAGCACGGGCAATTACTTTAAACATCTAACTATTTTCCAGGGGTTTCCACAGAGTGGGCAGCTCTGTCATGCTGCACGATGGGCCTACCCCCTGCATTCTATGCACAGGTTGTTCCATCTGTCTACAGGACTTAGCATGTTGCTCTCTGAATACTCTGGTGCCCTATTCCATTCCTTCCATTTCGAATATAAAAGTTATGTCTCACTTTTCCTCCACAAAACCAATCCAATCAACTCTCTGTAGATGCTCAAACTATCCAGGAAATAAATATTAATATAGGACACAGACACTTTAGGATATGTGGTGATACACATCAAAATGTAAAAATGTTATACTAGAGTACTTCAACATTGTGTCTCCTGCTAAATTTTGAAGTTTTGTTTAAAATCTGAGAAAGCTGACAGCAGCATAGATTATACAAGTACAAAGTACAAACTTTAATTAAAATCTTCTCAAAAGCAAAAATTGGCATTTGCAAGTTTCCACAACATATAATTAAAGGCAAACTATAAAATAACATTGATACAATTATTGACTCACCAAGCTCTTTAAATTTGGCACTGGCATCCATCAAAACATTTCGAATGTTCTGTACAGCCCAAGCGTACAGCTTGCCAAAGGTGACTTCCAGCAGCATCCGATTAAAAGGCGGGATCAAATCAACATCCTTTAAACAATCAGTAAGAGGTTCCCTTTCAAATAAAGATAAAGAATTTGACTTGGGACACTGCCAGACTTCTGTTACAGAACAACATTTTGTTGCCATAGCTACCTTAATTAAGAAAAAAATATGCTAACGTTTTACCCTATATCGATTCCCTCAGGAATAAGTCTTTGCCATCCACAAAACATCGCATACTGCACAGATGGAAGTAAGAAATTCTTGCTCGCCAGTTTTAAAATTGTATCTATCCCTTCCAGGCGAACCTCTGCTCTCTCCAACTGCAAAATATCAATGCATACAGTTAAGTGTTATGTATATTACCCAATGCAGAGAAGCATTTCTCATCAAATGTTACCTGTTTTAGTAGGCACTTTCTCATTTTTTCCACATCCACTGGCTCTTCTTTAAGGGCAAATTCAGCAATTGTACTGAGGAGTGGAGACTGCGGATAAAGACCCTGCACATTCTGCTTCAACCACTTGTATTTGTGAACACCTGTAACAGTACTCAACAGCGGCTGCCATTTGTCCTAACAAAGGAAAACAATTTTCATCATTAGTCTACCCTATTTAATAATAAACTGTGCTCTAAAAGTTATTCAAGTAAAATATAAATAATGCTCATAGGTTTAAATTGGTTAAATTTAGTAATACATGGTTTTAAAACTATGCTATAAATATACTTATAAGTGATTTTATAATCTCTATACTAATATATGTTGGAACAGGCTAGCTTGGCATACAAAGCTAAGTTATGGTTCATATTAATAGCCACAGGGCCCAGCACTGTTTCTGGAACAAAGAATATATTTAAGGAATGAATGGTGAATAATTAATGATACAATCTAATACCAAAAATAAAAGGAAACCCTTCTCCAGCTACAGCTCTGACCAGGACATCATAAGCCAAGTTCATGAAGCATCACTGGGGCCATGTTTCTAACAACCGCCCGTCCCTCCCTCCAGATGCTCAGGACAAGACTGTGGATTCCTGTGCTACATGCTATGATTCTATTCAGCCAACCTCAGAATCACAGAAAATACTGCACCTTGGGTGATTTAATTGCAATGGGTCTCTTGTCCACATTTATTGGACTATGAGGCAAAATGCAAGCTTCTTCTAAATCACTCTCTTCGTTTCCAATTTTTTCTTCATCATCCGTAGATTCTGGCTTCTTAGGAACTGTGTTTTAAAACATCATTCACTATAAAAATCATACACTTAAATATTAATTTTAAATTAAGAAATACTTAGATTTACATGAAGGACAAATATCTCATTCAAATAAACATCTGAACAACATTATAAATTGCAATGCTCAACAACAAGAGTGAAATGATCACCCTGGCAGAACAAAAAGACAAAGTGAGAGTGCGACGAGGGGAGAAGCCCCGAAGCACGGGAAGCCCGGCAGCCAGCAAGCTCTTCCTCAAGTGCCAGAGAGTGAACATTTGAGTCTTTCAGGCCATGCAGTCTGTCGCAAATACTCAACTCTGCTGCTGTAGCACAAAAAGTAACCACAGATAAAGCAACAGGTGTGGCTGTGCTCCTGTAAAACTTTATTTATGGTGCTACAATTTTAGCTTCATGTAATTTTCATGTGCCAAAATAATATACTTCTTTTAATTTTTAAAAAACAATTTCAAACTGAAAAAAAAAAAGGTCTTAGTCCATGGGCAACACAAAGCAAGCAAGAGGTAGAATTTGGCCCATAGTTCCTGGCTTGTCCACCCTGGTCCAGTTCAGTGGTTCTGTTACTGTGTAACTGAATCAACTGAATTCACTGCGATATGTGGAATTTCCTCCCTATACTTTATCTCTTTTAAAATTTTTGGTCTAAATCTCCTCAGCATATAATATAAAAAATAAGCAACATGATAATACACCTGGGCAGTAAAGAGCTAACATAGCAGGCCGGGGTTGCTCAAACCCTGCAAATTCCCAAGGAAGGTCTGTCCCTTCAGGATTGGTCCTTCTTCTAGGAGCTGAGCTCTGAGCCCTTGGAACATCCTGCCTGAGAAGTTTTTTGGTATACCTGACACCCAGGACCTTGTGGCAGTGGTCTGGCCAGGTAGTTTATGCTAATGATGGGACTTGCGAGGGACCACTTGTTTTTGCATTGGGGCACTGGAGTCTGAGTGAGGTCAGTCACATGGGCACTGCCTGCGTATGTGACTGGCCCCCAACAAAATCTCTAGACTCGCTCAGGTGCGCTGGCCTGGTTAACAATTCTTCACACATGATATGACACTGTTGCTGGGAGAGCTAAGCACATCCACGTGACGCCACTGGGGAGAGACACCAAAGCGTGTGCCTAGTTTCCTCTGGACTTCCCTCCATGCACCCTTCCCTCTGCTAATTTTAATCTGTATCCTTTTTGCAGTAAAAAAACACAGCTGTGACTATAACAGCTCTTCTGAGTCCTTTTAGTGAATCATCAAGCCTGAGAGAAGGCTCGGGGATCCCTGACACAGCAACAGGAATATTAATCACTTAATCTTTTCAAGTTACTTAATTTCCAAAAAAAAAAAAAGAAAACCAGCTTGAAACAACACACAATAAATCTATAAACCCACAGGAAACTCTAAAAGTGACAGTGTGGGCTCAGAACCCACGGATATGAGATGGCAAATGTGGAGTCTCTCTCCCTCATGCCGAGGCAGCCTGTCTCCTGGGCCCAGGCTGAGTTCCTGCATGCCTGGGTTAAAGGAATCGCAGCAGTGTGACTGCTGTGACTTCCGGATCCAGAGCACCCCTCGCATTCAGACAGGCTGTTATGGTGTAGGGTTTGTTCAGGAACAATCAAATTAGGATGGCTTCTAACACACTTTAGTCTTTCATAAGCTTATTGTTCAAAATGCCCATCGGAAACTCAGTAATCAATACTGGTCAATAAGCAGGTTTGTGAGTAAATCAGTATAAGTCATAAGAATATGATCAGAGGCCAGGCGCGGTGGCTCACGCCTGTAATCCCAGCACTTTGGGAGGCCGAGGCAGGCAGATCACGAGGTCAGGAGATCAAGACCATCTTGGCCAACATGGTGAAACTCCGTCTCTACTAAAATACAAAAATTAGCCAGGAGTGGTGGCGGGTGCCTGTAGTGCCTATAATCCCAGCTACTTGGAAGGCTGAGGCAGGGGAATCGTTTGAACCTGGGAGGCGGAGGTTGCAGTGAGCTGAGATCGCACCACTGCACTCCAGCCTGGCGACAAAGCAAGATTCCATCTCAAAGAAAAAAAAAAAAAAGAATATAATCAGAAATTTCTGTAGTTTATTTATAATCACAAGTGACTAAATTCTAAACTATTTTATAATTTCTAAGCATTTTTATTCAAATTTGGATTTAATGCAAAAAGACTTTTCTGTACCTTTACACAGCTACTTCCAGGAAAATGTAACTCTTTTAGCTTGCCTTTATAATTCTCCATGTATCAGAATACTCAATATTTCCAAACAAAAAACATTTCTTTAGAAGAATGGCAATAAGTTTAAATGTTCCCATTATATCTCATTACCAGGATAACTAATAAAATAAAAATACTTCCTTGTTCCCATCAATTTAGTAAAGATTATTTATGTTTTCAACATCAATTTACTAGTAATCAAATCATACCACACTCAATTCCTAAACTGTCTCATTGTCTGATTACTTGGAAAAACAAGCGAGATTTCTGTATTTAATCGTAACTGTAATAAAAATGATGGCAGCAGGTAGAAATGTCACATGGAATCAACAGTAGAGAAACTTCACTCTGAAATCACAGATCCAATGTGGCAGGGTGAAGCACAAGCTTTAATAGTATCTTCTGTCCTTTTACATTCTTACCTCTCTTTTTCCTTCGTTCTCGAATTATCTTTTGAGCTATCCTCCTCCAACGGGGCAAAGAACTTAACAATTTAAACTTAGACATTATAGAGAGGTCATTACAAACAGCAGGTCTCAATTCATTAAAGAGGAATCTCAAACGTTCGATGACAGGAGCGCAGACCTCCTTGTAAGAACGGCCCTGTTCTTGATGAGTCTGCAAAGTTAACCAGGAAAAGACAACTTTAACAACAAATATTTCAGCAACTGTCTGCAAAGCACAGAATAAAAAGAATTAAAATCTATCACCTTAATGAGCGAACATTTTGCTTGGTAGACAACTCTACAAACATCCACCACTGACTTAGGCAACGTTCTGTGCTTTACTTGCTCAATACCAAGTGCACCTGCATGAACTAAAGATAATGCCACATGACCTGTAAAAAGACATTTAAAAGAAGGGCAGGGATGAATATGTACCTCAGGTTAGTCGAGGAATCTGCAGTGTACCTAAAGTACACAGATATCGAGCTCCTTACCTAAATCTTCATGTTTTAAGAGGCAACATAACAACAAGCGACCGACCTCTTCCACGGGATGCTCGGGGGGAAACATGATCGGTGTGGTCAAATGGCACTGCCTACAGTACCTTTCTATTTGACACAAAAAGTCCTGCAACAGAAACAGCTGGAAGTAACTTCAGAGCCACCCAGTGAGTCTTCACAAATCTTAAACATGCCACAGCTTCTGACGCACTTGCAATCACTAATGCTTCTGAAGCCTCGCTAGCATGTTAACACAATCAGGTTCTCACCTCAAAACCCTCCAAATAATACATGAAACAAAGTCTGTGCTGTGTTAACCAAAGAGCACATAAGTATTCCTATGTCAAAGTCCTCAGATAAACAGAGCACTGAGGTGGCAGTGGGGGCAGGCCTAGCTCACCTTCACGTTGTGATCCTGAATGTTGTTGTCTGCAATGGCTTGCAGAAATGCCTGGGAATGGTCCCCCAGGGCCCGTCTGTGGGAGCAGAGTCGAGATTTGCTGGCAGGTGTGCCCCCTGGGGAGCTGCAGTGGTCCTCGTCTTTCTCCTCGTTGTAGCTGTAGTGGATCTGGCTGGTCTGCAGGCCTCCAGAGAAGATGGATGACTGAAGCCATTCTGGAAAATGCACACGCAAACATGAAAGAGAAACTCAAGTGCACAACTCAAAATAAATACTAAAAAAAAAAAAAGATGCTCAACTGAACACTCAATTTAGAAGGTGAAATTCAGCATCATTCATATGAAAGAGCTCCACCTAACATGTTTACACAGGTTGACTTATAATTCCTCTATCTACGTGAACACACTTTCTGGTGATTCCACACGCCTCAGGCATGGCATCAGAACTCAGGATCGTAGTTCCAGTCCAACATTCTCTGGATACCTGTGCTCTGCCTGCAGCTGCCTGGTTCCACAGGTACCGTGTGAAGACTGAGGTGCACATTCTAACAGGGAAGGCAGCAAAGGGCACCGCTGACACAATTAATCACAGGATTTCAAGTCCGAAACTGTGCAACAGATGACTATGGGGGTACCAGGGAGACTGGAAGACAGACCACCGCTATTCTGAGGGTCAGTGAGGGACTTGTGGAAGCAACAACTGAGCTAAGATGAGGAATAAGACCCAGACGCTGAGTATCCAGGCAGGGAACAGCACATCTGAAGGGTTTCTACAAAGAATTACATCCTCAGGGTAGGCTATGTATTCCTAGAGCACTTATAAAGGAATGAAAAGGAGAAAATATTTAAGAAACACACAATCTGTAATGAAGGATAGATCCTTGGAGATGGGAGGGCCGATGGACTGGAAAGGAGACCTGTGCGTGGTGCAAGGCATGGGATCAACCAGTGCGAACGTTAATTACAACTGCTTATGGCAACTTGAGGGAGTGCACCACTACAGATCTCTATTAACGATCTGTGTTATCAAATACTGCTCCAAATCCAAGCAATCAAAGCGGGATGCACTTAGTGTTCTTTTACTGGACATTTAGATTTTAGAGCACTCAGGAGCATTCCACAACCCACCACATTCGTTCTTCTGAAACACTAATCCAATGCCGACTCTCTCTGGCCCCCTCTCTTTAAGCACAGGACAGCCCCTCCTTACTGCTCCAAGATAAGCCTCTGATCCTCCTGTGGATTGGACCCACCTGCCAGGGCCCATGGCACCCTCTGCCCTGGAACTCGCCAGCCCTGCCCTCCTTGCCAATTTAAACAAAGCCCATCTTCTGGCAAGCAATGAGCCTTGAGGAGGAGGGAAGGAAGCAGATACCTCAGAGGGCACCACAGGCAGCCCAGCACCCAGCACTGCACAAAGGTCCACCCAACGGGGGGCTGTATGGACACCAAGATCCTCCTTCCCCGCAAGCCTTCTGCGACACCCACTCTCGAAAGCAGCAGGAGAGCCCTGCTCCTCTCAGCATTGCCCTTGACACTCCTGTGTTTTCTGCCCCGAATGCTCCCTCATGCAATTTCAGGACTGCTGCCAGTGTGAAGCCTTTCTTCTCCCAAAACCACGTATGAACGTCTCCATTTCACCATTCACCACCTTGTAACATGACCTGCTTAGAATGCTGGCTCATCAACAAGAAGCAGCTGAAAGCAGAGGCGTGTCCTACCCATCACTGCATCCTGAACACCTCGCATGGTAACTGCACCAGGCAACTGTTCAACAGAAGCTGCTCACACGGATGGACAGACAGACAGATGGGAAATGCACAACTATATGAAAGAAAATGTAAACCCATCTTAGGAGACAGGAAGAAACTTATTATTTTAGGTGGTTACAAAGGCTGCCATCCTGAAATATAACTGACTTGAGCCTGGTCTGGTAAAAACACAGTCCTCAAGTAGAATGCTGTTCCCTGAGAGGACAGCTGATCCACATTCTGTGCAATTTCTGGGCATGCAGGGAGACAAAAGCCATGCTGGGCCCATCAGGCAGAGGCTGCAATACGTGAGACCACCACAGGGTAGACGGGTAGAGATTCCTGCACACTTTTTAGCTTCCTCTGCAGCAACAGACCATGAGGGCAAATGACAACCACTCACAGCTGTTTCTACCTGATTGAGTCTCACTATCCTTATTATTATTATTTTTATCATCATCAGCTGTGTTGAATCCGCCTCTCCTTTTGAGACGGAGTCTCGCTCTTGTCACCAAGGCTGGAGTGCAGTGGCGCGATCTCGGCTCACTGCAACCTCCGTCTCCTGGGTTCAAGCAATTCTCCTACCTCAGCCTCCCGAGTAACTGGGATTACAGGCACCCGTCACCACGCCCAGCTAATTTTTGCATTTTTAGTAGACATGGGGTTTCACCACATTGGCCAGGCTGGTCTTGAACTCCTGACCTCAGGTGATCCACCCGCCTCAGCCTCCCAAAGTGCTGGGATTACAGGCATGAGCCACTGCCTGGCTATCTCCTACTTTTTTTAAAGAGAGAGTCTTGCTCTGTCACCCAGGCTGGAGTGCAGTGGTATGATCATGACTCACTGCAGCCTCAACCTCCCAGGCTCAAGCGATCCTCCTACCTCAGCCTCCTGAGTATCTGGGACTACAAATACGTGCCAACATGCCTGGCTAATTTTTGTGTTTTTTGTAGAGATGGGGTTTTGCCATGTTGCCCAGGCTGGTCTCAAACTCTTGACCTCAAGCAATCCACGTGCCACAACCTCCCAAACTGCTGGGATTACAGGCATGAACCACTGTGCCTGGCCCTCTCCCACTCTTAATGGCACTTACAGTTCAAAAAAAATAATCTGCTGATCAGCAAAAAGCAAAGATTTTCTTACTGGCACATTCAATCTCGACAGGAGACAGCGGTGTGCTCATTGCCAAATACGAAGCGTGTAATCCGAGAAGCAGGCCCAGATTCCTCTCTGTGTCTATCAGAGGTGAAGAGAGACTCCCCAGATCTGGTATGGTGACGATTTCTTGGTCAGGCTGGAAAAATAAATTTCATCATCAATCTGAGGAAACAGAATTAATTAAAAACATAAAACCAAAAGGACAGCTCTCTCCTGCAGCTGTAACCGCACGTGAGCCCAGGGGTGCTCTGGGCATTCTGCCCCTCCATCCTGTAATGAGTTGATGCTGCTGTGCCCAAGTAACAGCAGATACCACATAAACCCACATGCCCAGTAAAGCAGGCAGCAACTGCACAGCCCTACTGTAGAAAAACTAAACCACAGATACATGATTTGGCTAGAATATTCCTTAGGAATCAGTTTCCAAAGTGACTGTACACCATGCTTCAGAAAGTATAATGAATTGTTACATGCATAAAGAACCCACTGGGCAACAAAACTATGACAAGTATTCGATGACAAGTATTAGTGGACTGTGACCACACATGTAGAGGAAATGAAATTTATTCTAACAAAAATCAAACTCTGAAAAAAGTAAGAGTTCATCTTTTCCAGTCACAGAAGATATTTACAGCAAAGTTAATTCTCCCCTTCATAAACTGTTTTAAGCCCTGCCCTAATGGCATTTAATACATCTTATTACTTGTCGATACCTGGAAAGCTAATCCCAATATATAAATTCTATGTGTTCGTGAATACATAGGAAGGACATATTTCTACTGTAAAGAATTACACTTCTACATAGTTCTTCCCAAAAAATACTACCTCAAGATTATAAGCCATTCCAAATTTCTACATAAGACCAAAGTTTAACCTCTTTTCTTGTGGAACACTGTCTATATTTCTCACAAATTGATCATTTAAAAAACAATTTTTCAAGACCAGTACATCACAGATCTTAACATGAATAAATGTAAATTCATTTATGACAAAACTTCTAAAGGATCTTTATATTTATCCCTAATGCCCCACAAAAGACCCAGATATCAGTACTTCTAGATCCAAATATTCCTATCACAAACACACAGAGGGTATCCCCTGCCATCCTCTGCATCACTCAAGGCATACAGCCTCACCTCCAAATACTGGCCAACACAAAACGCGTGCATGGATTCCCGGGTGTCTTCAAACTGCAAAGCAGCTTCCAAAGCTACCACTGGGTCTTCCCCTGCAAACTGAGCTGAAACAAAAAGGGAAAAAGCAACATGAGTTCAATTCAGCTTGCCTGAAGAGATATAGGAGAAACAGTGAATAGGAAATAAGTTAGGCGCTTAACTCAAAAGTGAGGGTTACCAGAGTATAATGACCTTCTACTGTCTCCCAGGGTTGCCTGGGCCAACTCAGAACTTGAAATGAGTTCCAAGTATTAAAACAAAAAATGCATAATCAAAGGAAATTCTTCAAATGTGCTGAATTTGTTGATAAGACAGACATCGAAGCCACAGATACATTAAAATATGTGGGGGCTGGCACAAAACTAAAGAAATCATTTATAAGCCAAATACTCTGCTTAAAATGATATAGGTTGTAACTTTTAACCAGGAAATAACAAGTGTAATCTTACCAAGAATACTATTTCCTGTTAACGACTGTGTCTGGAAGTCCTTTATATCATACACCTTCCCGTCAATCACAGTCCAGAAGCCTCCATCTTTATTATGGTTCTCCAAATCAGCTTTGCGTATAAGTGTCACTTCCTCATTATTTCTACAGTTCTGACCTGTAAAAAATGACTCTGTATATACAGAAACCAGAATCAGTCCATTGATCAATCAACAGGTAAAATGAAAAGAACAAACTGTGTGAAAGAACTACAAGCAGAAATAAACAAACCCACAATCACAATGGGAGAAATACATACCTAGCTCTGAAACTAATACCACACATACAAATTCTGTTAAATATAGAATGCTTTAAAAAAAAATCTAGGCAGCATGAATACCAAATTGGGCCATGCCAGGCCACAGAGCAAATCTCAACAGATTTCAAAGAAATAAACTTATAGAGCATGTGTGCTGACTACAATGCAGTTAAATTAGAAATAGGTTTTCAAAAATTCATTCAAAATAAATAAAAAATTCATCCACATATTTGAAAATTATAAAATACACTTATAAGTAACCCAAAATTCTAAGAAAAAAATGACTATGAAAATTAGAAAATGTGTTCAATTAATAATCAAAATACTGCAGATCGAAATTGGTGACATACAACTAAATGCATGCTTGAGGGCATTTATGCCTTTAAATGTGTATATTAGAGGGAAAAAGCTAAAAAAGAAAAACACCAAATCAATAAAAGTCTATTAGTTCATAAAAATACTCAAAAAAAGAAAACCTGAGTGGTGGTCACCTATGCAAGTGCTAGGATACCAACTCAATATTATGAAAAATAGTTAAAGGGAGGTGGCAGTTCAAGAAGTCAAGCTTAGATTATGTCCTTCCTGTACAAATTGTACCTCCTGCTAACCAGACAGCAGAGGGCAAGGTTGGTAGGGGATTTTATAGAGGATACGCAACACATGAATTCCCTGGTCTAGCTTCACAGAACTAAAGCGGGGAGCCACCGAGCATTACAGGCCTCCTGAGCCAACAGAAAGCATGCAGCATGACCCCAGACATAACACCGCCCCAACGAGACTGAATTCAAATCCAACCAAACCTCTAGATCTAACCAGCAGATTAATGTAACTAACAGAAGAACATGTTGGTCTAGAATAAGAGAATGCAATCAACCAAGTTCAGAAAATGTGAAGTTCTCCAAAATAACCAACCTGCTTCTTTGAAAAAGAAAACGGTATGATCACAGGGAGAGGAGGGCCTGGAGCCATGTTGTTGGGAGAAAGACTGAAAGCACATGTCAAGCAATGTCAACACAGAGAACATGCTCAGGTCCTAATTCAAAATTACCACCTAAAAAAGGCATTTTTGAGATAGTCCAGGAAAATGTAACATGGATTGCATGTTAGATTAAGGAATCACTGTTAATCTTATAGACAAGATAATGATATTGTAGGGTTTTTTTTTAAATCCTTATCATTAAGAGGTAAAATGCCTTAAAATGTTTTAAAGACAGAATTATGCTTTAAAATAATCCAATCAGAGGGCGCAGTGGCTCACGCCTGTAATCCCAGCACTTTGGGAGGCCAAGGTGGGCAGATCACAAGGTCAGGAGATGGAGACCATCCTGGCTAACACGGTGAAACCCCATCTCTACTAAAAATACAAAAAATTAGCCGGGCGTGGTGGCAGGCGCCTGTAGTCCCAGCTACTCGGGAGGCTGAGGCAGGAGAATGGCATGAACCTGGGAGACAGAGCTTGCAGTGAGCTGAGATCACGTCACTACACTCCCGCCTGGGCGAAAGAGCGAGACTCCGTCTAAAAACAAAAATTAAAAAAATAAAATAAAATAAAATAAAAATAATCCAATCAATCAAAAATACAGAGAAGTATGAGAGGGGAACATACTCACCTGTTAAAACTAGATTCATTTTACTATTTTTCTACTTTTATCTATGTTAGAAAATTTTCATAATAAACAGATTACAAAAACATCACAGTGCTAATAAGTATTCATTTCTCAAAAAGCAAGAAAAATAGCAGATTAAACCCTAAGAAAGAAGAAGGCAATAATAAAGAGTATGGCACTGGACAGACAAACATACAGAAAAATGGAATAGAATGGAGACCCCAAAAACAATCCATCACGTATTTGGTCATACGATTTTTGACATGGGAGCCAAGACCACTCAATGGGGAAAGAAGAGCCTTTTCAATGCATGGTACTGGGAAATCCAGACATGCACATGTAAAGAACGGAGGTAGACCCTTACCTTACGCCACACACAAAAACTAACTCAAAATGGATAAAAGACCTAAAAATAAGTGCTAAAACTATAAAATTCTTAGAAGAAAACACTGTGGAAAATCTTCATGACACTGAATTTGGTGACGTGTCTTGAATAGGACACCAAAAGCAGTGCAGGCAACAAAAGGAAAAAAATAGGTAAGTTGGACTTGATCAAAATCGAATACTTCTGTGCATCAAAGGAGGCTATCAAGAGTGAAACAGCAACCGAAAGAATGCAAAACAGATTGCAAATAATATCTATGCAGAATATATAATTAACTCCTAAAACCCAACAAGACAAAAAACCCAATTAAAACACGGGCAAAAGACTTGAATATGCATTTCTCCAAAAAAGGTATGCAAATGGTCAATAAGCACATGAAAAGATGCTTGACATCACTAATCATTAGGGACACACAAATCAAAACCACAATGAGATACCACTTCACACCCATTGATGGCTACTATCAAAAAAAAAAAGTGTTGGTGAGGATGTGGAGAAACTGGAACTCCTGCACACTACTGACAGGAACATAAAATGGTGCAGCCACTCCGAAAAACACTATGGCAACCCCTCAAAAAAATTAAATATAAAATTACCATATAATCTACCAATTCTACCTCTGGCTATATACCCAAAAGAAGTAAAAGCAGGCCGGGCGCAGTGGCTCCCTCCCGTAATCCCATCACTTTGGGAGGCCGAGGTGGGCAGATCACAAGGTAAGGAGATCAAGACCATCCTGGCCAACATGGTGAAACCCCATCTCTACTAAAATACAAAAAATTAGCTGGGCATGGTGGCGCACGCCTGTAGTCCCAGCTACTCAGGGGGCTGAGGCAGGGGAATTGCTTGAACCTGGGAGACAGAGGTTGCAGTGAGCCGAGATCACACCACTGCACTCCAACCTGGGCGACAGAGCAAGACTCTGTCTCAAAAAAAATAAACAAATAAAAAAAAGAAGGGACGCAAATGGATATACACACCCACATTCATAGCAGCATTATTCACAATAGCCAAAAGATGGAAACAACCCAAGTGTCATCAACTGATGGATGGACAGCAAAATGTGATATACTCATATAACAGAATATGATTTCACCTTAAAATGTAAGGACATTCAGACACTTTGCACAACATGGATGAACCTTGAAGACATGCTAAGTGAAATAAGCCAATCCCAAAAGGATAAATACTGTATGGTTCCATGTATATGAAGTACCTGGAGTAGTCAAATTCAGACACAGAAAGTAGAATGGTAGTTGCCAGGTGCTAGGGAAAATTGGTGTTTAATAGATGCATAGTTTCAGTTGAGAAAAATGAAAAGCTCTAGAGATGAGTGGCGGTGATGGCTATTAAACAATGTGAATGTATTAATGCCACTAAATGGTACACTTAAATGGCAAATTTTACCAATCTTATACACACCCTTCCAAGAAAAGAATAGGCAGGAACATTCTCCTACTCACTCTACAAGATTAGCACAACTTTGGTTACCAAAACCTGAATGTCTATTATGTTTTCCTACTACTGGATCCATCAGCCAGTGTTTCCCTCGACAAACTAACGTTCTCTGGTGGATAGATGGAAACTAACGGGTTGCATGGGACCTATCTTCTTCCTGAATTATAGCTTCTTTATTAGTAAAGGGGTGGTGGTTATCAATAACAATAAGTTGCAGGGCATTACAAGAAAATAAAATTACAGGTCACTGAAAAAATTACAAGGAAAATGAGATGCAAAATCTAGAAAAATTACAACTACAGATGCAAAATTGTCTTTAAAAAATAGCAAACCAAGACCAGAAATATCTATCCATATGACCAATATCATGAGCAAAGTAGTTTTATTCCAGAAACGGAAGGTTGAGTCAACATTTGAAAAGTCAGTAATTCACACATTAATAAAAAAAATAAAAATTATATGATCAAGTAATGCAGGAAAAGCATGTGATGAAACTTAACACCCAATCATAGTTAAAACTGCATCACAAAGCAGCAACAGAAGAAAACATCCTTAAGATTCAAAAGTACTTACAAAGAGACTCCTAAAACAAACATCATACTTTGTGTGTGAAATCTGGAAAGCTTTTTCTCTGCTACTAAGAAAAAGGCAAGGAGGTACACTGTCACCATTTCTACTCCACAATGCACTACAGGTCCTAGCAAGTGCAATAAGTCACTAGGGGAAAAGCTGCAAGATCAGACCAGACACAAGCATAGACAATCACTTGGTTCAGACAAAGGTGACATCCCAGAAGAGTGACCAAGGACAGTCTTTTCACCCAAAGGTGCTGGCACAAAGACACTATGGACAAAATGCCCATGGAAAAAAAGTGACATGTGACCCCTTTCTCATAACATGCATGAAAATCAAGTCCAAGTGCACTATAGCTCTAAACATGAAAGTTAAGGCAATAAAACTTTTAAGGTGTAAAAGAAAATCTGGGTAAGAAAAAGATTTCTTAAGGCCCAAAATGAACAACCATTAAAACAGAAACAAACTGGATTTCACGAATATTACTTCTGTTCATCAGAAAACACTTTTAAGTGACTACACAGGCCTGAGTGAGAGAAAAAGCTCCATCAGAAATAGAGCCAAAAGTTCATATCCCAAATACACAGTAACACTCACATGAATGACTAAAAAGAAAAAAAGACAACCAGATAGAAAAATGCGCACAAAACTTGAATTGGCACTTCACAAAAGAGAATTTCCAACTGATTAATGCACACAGGAAAAGGTATCAAACCTCACTAATAATCTAGAAAATGCTAATTGAAACCACAATGAGATACCAGTGTACACCCACCAGAATGGGTCAAACAGGGAGTGCTAGCAATGCTAGGTCTTGGCATGGAAGTGGAACACTGAGAATTCTCACTTTGCAGTGGAGATGAGTAGCAGCACAATCACCGTGGAAAACTGGCATTCTGTATTAAAGGCATCCTCTACAAACCAAGAGTCCCACCAAGAAACAGAAAGAATGATTAAAGAAACAGATGTAAGAATGTTAACGTATTGGCAGGAGCGCTGGCTCATGCCTCTTATGTCAGCACTGTGGGAGGATCACTTGAGCCTAGGAGTTTGAGACCAGCCTGGGCAACAGAGGGAGACCGTGTCTCTACAAAAAATTTAAAAATTAGCCAGGCATGGTGGCGCATGCTTGCAGTCCCACGCAGGTGGAAGGATCTGCTTGAGCCGGGGAGGTCAAGGCTACAGTGAGCCATGATTGCACCATTGCATTCCAGCCTGGATGACACAGCAAGACCCTTGCCTCAAAAAAAAAGGTAACATATTTACTTTAACCTAAACCTGGAAACAACTTACATTTCCATCAACAAGTAGAATGAATAGGTTGTTGTATATTCAAACAAAAGTATACTACATATGGCAATAAAAATGAAAGAACTCAATAACGGGGTGAAGCTCAGAAACCAAAAGGTACGTACCGTCTAGTTCCACTTATATGAAGTCCGAGAACAGACAGAATTAAAATGATGTTGGGTAGGGACAAGAACTTAGTATAAGATGATCAGAAGTAAGGTGGCGATGACCACACAGCCTGGGGAAGGGCACTTTTCAGAGAAATGAGTCCGAGTTTGGGAGGGTCCTGCCACCATCCAGGCTAAGGTTTGAATGGCTGTGACACAGTTCTCTCTATGATCAATTACAGGTATCTACTAGGTACTTTTGTGTATGTGTTACTTATCACAATTTCAAGAGGCTTTACAGTGAGTAAGCTGCTGATCTGATCAAATGAATGCCCCTCAACAGTATGATAGTAGAGAGACAAAATAACACAGGACTAAGCTCACTCCTTAACAAAAGGGGAAGAATGGTGCTCAAAGTATTGACTGTTTTAAAAATAAAAAACCATGTTCAATGTCCTGGGGCTGTTTTCCTCAGGACAACTGCTACCTCTTGTTTTAAGCTCCCATGTTAGGGGGATGATGGTCTAAAACACGAGAAGAAAAAAAGCCCATCCAGCTTGAGATTTCATATAAATCAAAGTTTAACCCTGATTTTGATTGATTCTGAGTCCAGGAAGCTAGAACCATAGAAAGCATGGTGACTTAGATTCAAAAACCCAAAACTCAAAACATTGAGAAGATAAGTCTCATTCCAATTTGGGATGCACTACAAGGCAATGCCTGTAAGAAGTGCTCAGGTGACTCCAGGAATTCTGCATCTCACTAACATCAAACAACCAGAGGACTCTGGAGAGTCTTCCCATTATCAATCTCTGCCTCCTGAGCTGGACCACAGATAACCACCCCAACTGCACCTTCTGGAGGCACCAGGACTTTGTAAAATTTCATTTCAGTACTTAACAAGGATTACTAATGGAAAAATCTTCCTTAAATATAACCGAAATATAGCCGGGCGCAGTGGCTCATTCCTGTAATCCCAGCGCTTTGGGAGGCAGAGGCGGGTGGATCACTTGAGGTCAGGAGTTCGAGACCATCCTGGACAACATGGTGAAACCCCATCTCTACTAAAAATACAAAAGTAAGCTGGGCATGGTGGTGTGCACCTGTGGTGCCAGCTACTCAGGAGGCTGAGGCAAGAGAATCACTTGAGCCCAGGAGGCAGAGGTTGCAGTGAGCTGAGATCATGACACCGCACTCCAGCCTGGGCAACAGAGCAAGATGTAGTGTCAAAAAAAAAAAAAAATATACACACACACACACACACACACACAGATATATATATACACACACATATATGTACACACATATATATACACACTCATATATACACACACACACATACATAAACACACATATATTTGGTTAATATATACATATATGACCCAAATTTCTTCTGATTTGGATTATCTCCATTTTTTACTTATACTACCATCAGTAGAAATGGCAAATCTTCCTTTGTAAAGTATTCTTTCAAATTGAAAGGCAAGAATAGGTTAGACAAGGACAATAAAACTTTCCTCAGTAAAACTCCTTTAAGACGCCGTACCCATTATGCCAGGCCAGGCTAACTCTTCATGATCATCCCGTTCCTTTCCTGGTGCCAGATGGTTGAACCGATCCAGATGTTCCAACAGGCCACCCAGCAGAGGTACAGCTCCAGCCTCTTGCATGAGACCAGCATTTTTACTGAGCAGAAGCACTATAGAAACTACTAGTTCTGGAAGGAGAACACCTACATTTAAGAAATAATAAGATTTAAATAAGTATTTATCCTATAAAAGCTATTTGTAAACTTGTTCTGTGTTTAAATTCTGCTAAGTCACAAAATAAGAAATGTTTGTCCTTTAGCATATTTCTAAAGAATTATCTTATATTTTATATTGAGACAGGCATAGCTATTAAACAGAACCCTTTAAATTACAAAAATATTTTCCAAAACACTGTATTTCAATCACAGAACTATGAACTAAGAGTCTTCTATTCAGAAAATTAAATGTTTATTGATATGTTTATCATCAGGGAAAAAACACTAAAAAATAATGCTCTAACCTCAAAAAGTTAAAACATACCAGGTAATATCAGAATTTTTAAGATCCTTAAATAGGTACCTAATTTTTATTATGCTGTCAAAATAAAATTAGACAATTACCTTTGACCTCATTATTGAAATGTCAATAATGGAAGTATAAATCTAAATTACCAATTACATTTAAAGTGATATGAGTCCCATACCAGCTGGCTTAACAACAGAACTGTCAGTAACTAAAAAAAAAAAACAAAGGTGAAAGGGCAGGAGGCCCAGAAAATTTAGAGAGTAAATGCAGGCATGCTGATCAGCAAAGAAGACACTTTAGCTTTCATCTATCTCCTAAAATAAACATGTACACAAGCAGGAAACAAAAGGTACCAGTAAAGTCCCCTTCCACAATGTAAGCCACCTCCGCGAAGTGCCGCCAGCTGGTAGAAGCAATGCTGGCGGCCACAGGCAGTATATCTCCAATGTGCGTGCACAGGAGGGCTGTGTACTTCTTCAGCAAGGAACCAACACCCATTAGCTCTGGACCTTGAAGAAGGATTGAGAAATTTTCATTTTCACTACTAAAATTTTTCTTTGTAAACAAACTAACTGCTCCATGATGCTATTCTCATCTACACATCTTTTACCCATAATAATTTTCTCAAACAGAAGCCTGTTAACCCTTGTCCTTGCGCTCTTTCTGTATCATGTGACTGGAGGGACAGGGTTTTTATGTCAAGTTTTATACCCTGCACTACAGAGTACCTAGAAATTTTGGGTGTATGAACACTAAAGTCATAATTTAATTTAAAGATTTTTTTTTTTAACAGACGGGGGTCTCACCATGTTGCCCAGATTGGACTCGAACCCCTGGGCTCAAGTGATCCTCCTGCCTCAGCCTCCTGAGTAGTTAGATCTACAGGCATGCACTACCACACCCAGCTCTAAATTTTTAAAATTTTATATCTAGTACACAAATGTTTCCTAAAAGCTTGTAAATTATTCCCAAAAAACAAAGTTAGGCACTTTTCTGCTCCATAAAATCTTCAGTTTTTCTGTCTACATGGTTCTTTTTTTTTTTTTTTTTTTTTTTGAGACCGAGTTTCACTCTTGTCGCCCAGGCTGGAATGCAATGGTCTGATCTCGGCTCACTGCAACCTCCGCCTCCTGGGTTCAAGCGATTCTCCTGCCTCAGCCTCCGGAGTAGCTGGGATTACAGGCACCTGCCACTATGCCCAGCTAATTTTTTGTATTTTTAGTAGAGACGGGGTTTCACTATGTTGGTCAGGCTGGTCTTGAACTCCTGACCTTGTGATCCGCCCACCTTGGCCTCCCAAAGTGCTGGGATTACAGGCGTGAGCCACCACACCCAGCCTCCTACATGGTTCTTAATAGCTTTTCAGTCCTTGTGACTTTGTCTTTAAGATGGTCACCTCTTTCAAACTATCAGCTCACCTACTGAAACCTGAAAGTTTCCATTACTGACAAGAGCCTAACTCTTCAGAAAGTAATTAAGTTACTTTGGGAAAAAAACAGCTACAAAATTACTAATGGAAGCAGCAGAGCTTTCCATCCTTGACAGAGAAAGCCTCATGATGGAGGGCCAGCCGCTGCCCTGGATGCTGAAGAAGGGGAACCATTCCCTCAACAGTGCACAGCACTGAGCACTTACACACCATTCTGTTCTGATTCTCACAGGCTGCCTCAGGGATTATCCCAAGTCTGCAGGTGAGAAGTCTTTGGCCCCATTAGACTTGGTCTAATGTCTAAACTATTAAGCCGAGCTGTAACTGAAACCCAGGCTTTCTCCAACAGTTCTTCCCATTCCACCCAGCTGGCTCCCCCATGTGACATATGAATAGGCTGTCACTGTTTACTTCCTACATCATGCCAGTCTCCAGCATTCCATAGCACATGGAACAAATCTGATAAATCTTCTGTAAGACTAAACTGAACATACAGGATGCTATTACTGATGTCTAAAGAATTTAAATATTAAGGCAACAAAATTAAAAATATTAACGAGGCTATTATAGAAAGGTCCAACTCAAAAAAGTGGATGCAAAATGAAGCCCCAAAATTGGTGCATTTAGTAGTATAACAACTACACATCTGGGCATATAGGATGGACACGTCGAAAAGCCTAAAGTAACGAGCCCCGATCACATACAAGACACTTTCACATTTTAAGCAACTTACTAGAAATATCTGAGGTCTGACCAATACTTTCTCCTGGATAAAGTTTACTAATAAGCAAACGTTGAAAACGCAGTAACAAATCCAATGAAGCAGATCTTTCACGACTGTGTTGCTCAAAGTCCAGACATGATGAAATCCGACGGGCAACATCTTTCAATCTGGCTACAGTCTGAGAAGCAATGTTTCTATACAGGAAAGAAGAGGATTACAAAATTAAACAAGATATTTCTACTAAAAAGAAAATGGGATGGGGTAAATCATGACAAATTAATATCACAAACACAGATCATACATGATGACCTGCAGCTGGCTTCCCTCCCCAAGTGTGTCCAATGTATCTGCAACAAGCGCAACCTCAGCCAAAACGGAGCAGAAGGGCACGGAAGGCTCAAAAGAGATAATGATGCCCTCGTGCTTCACTAATGTGCGCCTATGGAGCTGCGCGCAGTGGTCCAAACTGCAGAAGATCTTGCTTCCAAAGGAATACTTCCACATTCCCAATGTTTAAGGAATGTAAACATTAAGACAACGAAATTTAAAATACTGATGAGGCTAATATAGAAATATCTGACCCTCTAGAAAGAACAAACACAGTGTCATTATTTTTTGTCCAAAGCTGCATTTCAAACAGCAATGTGATACTACTCTTCAAGACAAGACTCGCCTGCATTGCCACATCTGCCTTGCAAGTCCACCTTGAGCCCTTACTCGCAAGCAGCACTGGGGTGGGCCATGCAGCAGGTGCCGAGGGCTCAGGGAGTCCAGGAAGGAAGACCAAAGCAGGTGCCCAAAGAGCACGGCAGCGAAGAAAGTAGAAGAGGCTCCAGTTCCAACACTGTGATGTGACTTGAGCCATGAGCCATTGGAAGATGACAAGAAAAGAGAAGAAACATATGTTCCCAGAAGGTAAAGTTAGGAGAGCAGTGAATGTTTCTGGTTCCTCAGCAGAACACCAAGAAACAAGGGCAGGAGAACAACACAAGGAAGCAAGGGAGAGACAGTGCAGGTAATGGAATGTCAGGCTGTGGGACCAGAGTCTGCAATGCCAACCCACCAAGGTTATGATAGGAAAATAACACCTTCTGTGTGTTTAAGGAAAGTAACTCTTTTTTTTGAGACAGAGTCTAGCTTTGTTGCCAGGCTGGAGTGCAGTGACATGATCTCAGCTCACTGCAACCTCCGCCTCCCGGGTTAAAGCGATTCTCCTGCCTCAGCCTCCCGAGTAGCTGGGAATTACAGGCACACGCCACCACGCCAAGCTAACTTTTTTTTTTTTTTTTTTTAAGTGGAGACGGGCTTTCACTATGTAAACCCAGGATGGTCTCGATTTCCCGACCTCGTGATTCACCCGCCTCAGCCTCCCAAAGTGCTGGGATTACAGGCGTGAGCCACCACGCCCGGCCTAAGGAAACTAACTCTTATGTCAATGTGAAAGCAAATCAGACAGGACATGGGAACACGGAGGGGAGGAGAGCCCAACCAGAGCCTGGTTCCAGACCCACCCCACCCGCCCCGTTGAGCCAGGAGCACAGGTGGCTCTCTGCACAACACCAAGAGTGAGGACATGCTTTCAGCTCCACTTTAACTCAGGTTCCTAATGTGACAGCAGGCTTGTCAATCCCACTTGCCCCCGTGGCTCACACCAGAAAAAACTACCAGCAGCATGAGTAAGGACAGAAGCAGGAGACAGAGGAGCCAGGGTTGGGGAATCCCATAGCAACCCACAGGCCCTCATCACACACGGCAAGGATGCGCCCTCACTGGGCTCACCACCACCAGACATCACCTTCACTACCTGATACCCTGCCTGGATAACACCACTGTAACACAAGAAACAGGTCTAGAATCTAACATGTATGCTACACCTGAAGGAGCAAGAGACGGTAATACAATACAATGAAATTTTTAGTTTATTTAATATAAAATTTAGAGCCATAATCAAAACGTGTAATTCTGATGGGGTTCACTACTTATAAAAACTTCACAGCGCTCTATTTTCAAATGTAAATGGTATTCTGTGGCTCCTCGCCAGCATGTAAATAACGATCTACTCTGAAATACGTTTCACGGCTTATTTTTGGCAAGCAGCGATTTCTCCAACTCACGTTTTCCAAGGGAAAAAAGGACATGAAATGTCTCCAAAAGTCTCTTACGATCTTTAGATAAACTACTGTTCAACAACTGCATCTGCCAAGTCAACACATCAAGAATCCTTCACTCACAAACACTTAAGGTGAGAAAACAGTGTCTACCCATGCGGGAGAGGGACACATGATCCATGCTTATGAAGACAGCCTGGATATCGGCTACTGGAAAGCTGCGAATGCATTTTTCTTTTTCTACTTTCCAAAATTTTTGTGAGGTGATAACTATGTTTGTGTCTATTCTTTTTATTTTGTATTTTTTAAGTACGTACATCCTTATTACAAATCTGCTGTAGAACCAATGTCCCATACAGGACCCCACGTGCCACAGGAACCAAAAAGTCACATGCAGCAAGGATGAAGACACAGGAGACAACCTGTGTGGACAGCACAGAGCCACCTGCCGAGGACACCAATGGAGCTACAGGTGCAATTCAAAATGTTCTTGGTTGTATTAATAAATGTGGCCAGGTGCAGTGGCTCACACCTGTAATCCCAACACTTTTGGAGGCCAAGGCGGGCAGATTACCTCAGGTTGGGAGTTCAAGACCACCCCAGCCAACATGGGGAAACCCCATCTCTACTAAAAATACAAAAATTAGTCAGGTATGGTGGCATGCACCTGTAGTCCCAGCCACTCAGGAGGCTGAGGCAGGAGAATCATTTGAACCCAGGAGGCAGAGGCTGCAGTGAGCTGAGATCGTGCCACTGCACTCCAGTCTGGGCAACAGAGTGAGGCTCCATCTCGGGGGAAAAAAATTGTCCTTAGTCACATTAAGTAAAAAAAAAAAACAAAAAAACACATAAAACTAATTTTAATAATGGCCAGGCGCGGTGGCTCACGCCTGCAATCCCAGCACTTTGGGAGGCCAAGGCGGGCAGATTACTTGAGGTCAGGAGTTCGAGACCAGCCTGGCCAACATGGTGAAACCCTGTCTCTACAAAAATACAAAAATCAGCAAGGCGTGGTGGTGTACGCCTGTGGTCCCAGCTGCTCGGGAGGCTGAGGCAGGAGAATCACTTGAACCCAAGAGGCAGAGGTTACAGTGAGCCAAGATTATGCAACCGCACTCCAGCCTGGGCAACAGAGCAAGACTCCATCTCAAAAAATAAAAATAATTTTAATAATGTGTCATACTTATCCCAACAGATTGAAAATATTACCATTTCAACATGATATCACTATAAGAAAAATTATTGAGATATTTTACATAGGTTATTTCATATTAAATCCTCAAAAACCATCAGGGTAGCTTACATATGTAGCACATTTCAATTTGGACAGTGATATTTGCATTGAAAATATCTGATCTGCCCTAGACTCATAAAATACACAGTTGACGAAGTAGACTCACATGGCCAAGTGATTCTAAACATACTTAAGTGCTTCCTAATAACGGAATCAAGTTTTTAAACCTGCATTTTAATTAATAAAAATTAAACAGATAAAATATTCAGTGTCTCAGCTATGATGGATACACTTCAAGTGCTGATCAGCAAACGGTGTTGAGTGTAGCCAGACGGGCCAGCGCAGGCTACACAGCTGCAGCTCAAACAGCATAGTTGCAGGTCAAACAGGCCAGTCTCGGTGCACGGGAACATTCTGGGCAAGCAGGAGACGGGGAAAACGGGCACTGCCCTCGTGAGAACAAAGGACCCACAACAGGAACCCTAGACTCACCCCCTGCCAAAGACACCAATAGCCCATGAAGCAGCCTCCTCAGAAAAGGGAGGGGCATTCAAGAACTTAGAAAAGCACCTCTGGAAAATGCTCACTTTAAAACTTTGCGTGGAACTTTACATTTTAATTACAAAGGTTTTAACTTCCATGTTCTCATTGATTCTTAATTAACTCCATGAAAGTAAACACGGCTTTTATTCTTATTCCTATAGTTACTGTGTTGGAAGTTCATCTATGTGAACAAGCTGTTGCAACTGAAATTTTATGAGAACAAATTCCAAGCTCTTTCCATTAACACAAACTATATGAAGTTTAGTTCTCTTTATTTCCATTGGTTAAAGACCAGAATGTATGAAATATGCATTATCAGATTAGAAAAACAAAACAAACATCAGAAAAAGGTTTTGCAAAATAGAATTTACTAAAATCTATGATAGAAACTAGCTCTAAAACTTCCTGTTTCAAAATTTCACTGTGCGTCTACTAAGTTCGTTTTTCTGGTTGTGGACAGCAGGCCCACCCCACGCCACAGGCCCAACCCACACCACAGACCCACCATGGTCCCATGAATAGGCCAGCTGAGAGCTGTGGCCACTGCCCAGGGCTCCCTGCTCTGTGCTCGGCTGCCTGACCCAACCTGCCAGTGCTTTGCTTTCTCTATGTGTAGAAACTAAAACCAGGAGCCCAAGTTTACAAAAAGCAGATTTTTATTACATAGAGGTACAAATGTGTTTCACTTTCTAATCTCTTTCACAAATCACCTTGCTTTTTCGCTCTTCTTGGGTGATCATTTTTACACAACACTGACCGTTTTGGCTTCTGCCAAGGTTAGCCTCTGTTCACAGGCTGACTCTGACTTCTTCTTCCCACCTCCTCCTAGTCTGGCCTTCCAAAATAATGCTCACCATTCTTTCACATTGACTTTAGTTTTGAAAAGAAAAGTTACCTTACAAAGTAGTATGTACAACTCTGTAATATGTAAAGTGAGGCAATGATAGAACCAGTTTTAAAAATAACCTTTCCATGATGATTTTCATTTGCATCCACCTGCTTATTAGTAAGAATCTTTTTACATGTTTACTGCACACCGCAATTTCTCTTCAGTGAAAAACTTCTGAGTATCATCACACCCTCCAACTTCTCCTCTCACCTATATTGAAAAGGGTCTGCTCTTTATTCTAACATCTATACTAGGTAATTTTCAGAATATTCCTTCAACCACCAAACAAATTTTTGAGATCCTTGTGCTAGATTTCACTATCTTAATATGAAAACCAATAATCACCTACTAAAATACAATACAGGCCGGGAACAGTGGCTTACGCCTGAAATCCCAACACTTTCAGAGGCCAAGGCGGGTAGATCACCTGAGGTCAGGAGTTTGAGACCAGCCTGACCAATATTTTGAAACCCCGTCTCTACTAAAAATACAAAAATCAGCCAGGTGTGGTTGCGGACGCCTGTAGTCCCAGCTACTTGGGAGGCTGAGGCAGGAGAATTGCTAGAACCCAGGAGGCAGAGGTTGCAGTGAGCCAAGATCATGACACTGCACTCCAGCCTGGGCAATAGAGCGAGATTCCGTCTTAAAAAATAAATATTAAAAAAAAATAATAAGTACATAAATAGACCGGGAGTGGTGGGTGATGCCTGTAATCCCAACACTTTGGGAGGCCAAGGCGGGCGGATCACCTGAGGTCAGGAGTTCAAGACAAGCCTGACCACCATGAAGAAACCCCGTCTCTACTAAAACTACAAGATTAGTCGGGTGTGGTGGCACACACCTGTAATCCCAGCTGTGTGAGAGGCTGAGGCAAGAGAATCACTTGAACCTGGGAGGCGGAGCTTGCAGTGAGCCAAGATGGCGCCATAGCACTCCGGCCTGGGCAACAAGAGCGAACTCTGTCACACACACAAAAAAAAGTAAATAAATAACATATAATACAATACAGCTACTACGATTTACCTAAGAAGCTGTTGTATGAGCTGAACCAGAGGCAAACACTGTTTGCCAGAAGACTCACAGATCCCCGTATTAATAAGGTCTTTATCCAGTGGAGTCCTGCTTCTATGAAATGTTGAGGCATTCGCTTCCTGTTCATCAATTTCTTTTTCCTTCTGTGCTTCTTTTTTGGCTTCAATATCCTGTAATTCATAAAAAGAAATTGTTTACAAGTGATCTCATTACCAGGTGTGAAGACACACAGGCTGGCTGAGCCCTAACCCCAGTGCCAAGCTATCCCAGCCTCTGTGGCTAATGCACACACCTACCCACAGGCCCCCATCTGCCTTGTTGGAAACCCTAACTCAGTTGTGCAGTTTCAAACAGTGTCTTCTTTTTACAGAATCAAGGTCCAGGCTGCCTCTGCTGATGCTCTCCAGCATCCTTCTGTGAAGTCCCTAAAATCCTTAACCCTGCTACTGGCTCTCACAAAACCCAATGTGATGTGCCCCACACATGCAACATCCAGCTGCTTTGTAAGGACAAGAAGAAGCTGGAATTCTCACATACTTGTTCAAATGTAAATGGCAAAGCCACTTGGGGAAACTATGAACACGCACCTGCCCCAGGACCTAACAAATTCCACTCCAAGTGTTTACCCAAAAGGAGAACATATGTTCACTAAAGTACTTGTACACAGCACAACCGTGGCAGCTCTACATGGCCAAAAACCAGAAAGCCTGGGCGTGGTCGCTCATGCTTGTAATCCCAACACTTTGGGAGGACAAGGTGGGGGGATCACTGGAGCCCAGGAGTTCGAGACCAGCCTGTGCAACATAGTAACACCTTGTCTCTACAAAAAAATCACAAAACTAGCCGGGCATGGTGACATGTCTGTGGTCCCTGCAAAACAGGAGGCTGAGGTGGCAGGATCATTTGAGCCTAGGAGGACAAGGCTGCAGTGAGCCAACATCAGGTCACTGCATCCAGCCTCGGTGACAGAGCAAGACGCTGTCTCAAAAAAAAAGAAAACAAAAACCAAAAGCAATTAAACGTCCTTCAATAGGAGAATGAACAAACAGTACTACACCTATAAAATGGAATACTTCCCAATAATAAAAAAGAAGTCACAATACACACAACAGTGAGTGAATCTGAAAATCATTCTCCAAGGCAAAGCAAGAAAGAGTGCATACTATATAGTTATATTGCTGCGACACTCAGAGCAGGAAAAATGAATCTAATCTCAGGGCAGGGGAGTATCCTGGCTGCAAGTGCCAAGGGCACAGGGATCTTTCCGGGTAACGGGAATGGTCTACATGAGGAACAGGTTACCTGTTAACTTCACTGAAACAGACAACATGCAGTATTTTATCACAATTAAATCATATCTCAATAATTTTGTAAATTGGCACATAAAAGAATTTTAATTTAAAAAATACTTGGATATGATAAAAGTTTAGAGTTTTACTGTTTTCAGTTATTCTTCACGTGTGTGAGTGTGGTATTTCTGATCTCAGTGCACCACCAGGTCACGTGTGCCTCCAAAGCCATACCTGGATCTCTGCAGTAATGGCTGCGTGTAAGGCTGACTCCAACCCTCCATCAGCCATCAAGCTGCCCACCAGAAGATCAATCATGAATCGACGACCTGGACTTATGTTCACTTCATTGCCTGAAACTGAAATAGAAAGTGTGTGCCAATTTGAGTGAAACGCCATTCCCTCCCAACACCCTGACCCATGCCCTCTCCTGTTCCTTCCCCAGGCCCACCTGCGCAGGGCAGGAGAGCAGAGAGTGCCCGGGCCCGCTCCTCCGCGGTGGGCAGCAGCACGGACCAGCCACTCTGCAGCACGGCCTGGGCGGCCGACTGCACGGTGCTCAGCACGCCCGCACTGCTGGCCAGGGTCACCACCGTCTGCTTCAGGCTGTTCAGGAGGATGCTGCCCAGACCTAAACCAAGGAATTCCGGGTCAACCTGGTGACTAATGGCAGCATGCAACTGAAAGGAGAAAAACAATTTTCACTTAGAACCCCTAAAAATGAGTGAATTTCAAAGTCTTATTAAACACTGAATAAAAGTCAATTTCAAGTATTATTTAAATAGACAATTTCTCAGTTTATGTATTTTTAAAAACTGGACTAAAAAAACTCTTACCCACAATAGTTGAGGTATTTGCTAGAGGAATCTTTTTAACCCCACTATGAACATGTTTATGGAAAGCTCAAGATCAGCAGAAGAGCTAAACAACTAGCAACAGCAACCTCCACCCCGCGCCAACAATCTGCACCAAACACAGAAATAACAGCTACAACTCAACCAAAAAAGCTGCCACAGGTGCAATCTCGGCTCACTGCAAGCTCTGCCTCCCCAGTTCATGCCATTTTCCTGACTCAGCCTCCCGAGTAGCTGGAACTACAGGCGCCCGCCACCACAACTGGCTAATTTTTTGTATTTTTAGTAGAGACGGGGTTTCACCATGTTAGCCGGGATGGTCTCGATCTCCTGACCTCGTGATCCACCCGCCCAGGCCTCCCAAAAGTGCTGGGATTACAGGCGTGAGCCACCGCGCCCAGCCCAGATCATGTTTTTTAAGACTCGCGTCCATTATTAGTGCATTACAATCTTACTTTAAAATATTTCACCGAACAGGCTAAAACCCATGCCCTTCAAAATACATAAACCTTCTTACAAATCCCTAAGACACTTACAAAAGGAGGAAGAAGAAGGGAAATCATGAATACCTGAAGTCGTAGAAGATTCAGCGTTGCCACGGCCACACACTCTTTCTCCTGGGGCGGGGGCCAGTCCGCGGAGCCATCCATCCCCTCACTCACCTGCCGAAGCAGGAGATCCAGCTGCTCAAAAGTCATTGAGCAGATGTCCACCACAAAAGGGACACGGAGGCCAATGGACCACTCAGAACATGATGACCAAGCAAAGCTCTAAGAGGAAACGCAACAATCTAAAATGAATCTCCAAATGCAGCTGCTGGTCTGCTCCACAGGAGTCACCAGCGTGTGTGATGGAGCTGCCTTATACTATTACCTATCATCCCTCGAACTGCCCAGTCCAAAGGCATTCATGGATGTCTAGCTCACACACTATCAGCTTCCGATTTTCCCACCCATTTCACTAGCCCATCTCATTTGGCCATACCTAAAAAAGTAAAAGCATTTTTAACAATCTTTTCACTCTCAAAACGATTAATGACATTAATGGATGGCAGTGAGGATCTCCATCCACTTGAAGTGGTATAATAGCAACTCTAACTAGACAACGAATTGTTAGATGCATATGACACACACACAACCTTTCACAGTGAAATAACAAGTAATCGGCAAGGATCTAAGAGAACGGTGGAACACTATGAATAAACTGGATCTAATTTATAGAACATTTCACCCAACAACAACAAAATACATATACTTTTTTTTTTTTTTGAGACAGAGTCTCACTCTGTCACCCAGACTGGAGCCTCAGCCTCCCAAGTAGCTGGGACTACAGGTGCCCGCCACCAAGCCTGGCTAATTTTTTTTTTGTATTTTCAGTAGAGACAGGGTTTCATGGTGTTAGTCAGGATGGTCTCCATCACCTGACCTCATGATCTGCCCGCCTCAGCCTCCCAAAGTGCTGGAATTACAAGCGTGAGCCACCGCACCTGGCCATACATATACTTTTTAAGCACATACAGAATGTTCACTAAGAGAGAACATATCCTGAGACATAAAACAAATCTTAACAAATTTAAAAGAAATGAAATCATATACAGTTTGTTCTCCAATCACAATGGTATTAAACTAGAAATCATGAACAGAACAATCTACAAACACTTCAAAATTAAACAACATACTTAATAATCCATGGGTCAGGCCGGGCGCAGTGGCTCACGCCTGTAATCCAAACACTTTGGGAGGCCAAGGCGGCGGGGATCACCTGAGGTCAGGATTTCAAGACAACCTGGCCAACATGGAGAAACCCCATCTCTACTGAAAATACAAAAAAATTAGCCAAGCATGCTGGTGCATGCCGGTAGTCCCAGCTAATCAGGAAGCTGAGGCAGGAGAATTGCTTGAACCCGGGAGACAGAGGTTGCCGTGAGCTGAGATCATGTCATTGCACTCCGGCCTGGGCAATAAGACCAAAACTCCATCTCAAAATAATAATAATAATAATCATCCATGGGTCAAAAAAACAATTCTCAAGAGAAATTATAAAATATTTTGAACATACATGAAAATGCGCCAAAATTTGTAGGTTTAATTAAAGCACTGCTAAACAGGAAAATTTATAGCATCAAATCATTATCTATTACAAAAAAAAGATAGGTCTAAATCAGCAATCTAAGTTTCCGCCTTAAGAAACTAGAAAAAGAACAAAGTGAACGCAAAACAAGCCAAAGGGACAAATGACAAGACAAAAGCAGAAATCAATGAGATTGAAAGCAAAACAAAAGGGAAAAATTAATGAAACGAAAAGATTGTTCTTTGAAAAGATCAACAAAATTGAAAAACTCTAGGAAAACTGACAAAGAAAAAAACAGAAAAGATACAAATTATCAGAATCAAGAATGAATGAAGGGACATCACCGCAGGCCCCACAGACTTCAGACAGCAAGAGAATACTAAGGAAAACTTGACACGTAAAAATCAGACAACGTAGATGAAGTAAAGCACATCTGAGGGCCAAAAATCAGGAAAATCCTCCTAGAAACAAACAGGTCACCTGAATACTTCTATATCTGTTAAAGAAATTGAAGTTGCAAAATCTTTTTTTTGTTTGTTTTTGTTTTTTTGAGACGGAGTTTCGCTCTTGTTGCCCAAGCTGGAGTGCAATGGCGCCATCCCGGCTCACTGCAATTTCTGCCTCCCAGATTCAAGCGATTCTCCTGCCTTAGCCTCCTGAGTAGCTGGGATTACAGGCGCACATCACCAAGCTCGACGAAATTTTTGTATTTTTAGTAGAAACAGGTTTCACCATGTTAGCCAGGCTGGTCTCAAACTCCTGACCTCAGGTGATCCACCCATCTCGGCCTCCCAACGTGCTGGGATTACAGGCGTGAGCCACTGTGTCTGGCGTAAAATCTTTTAGAAAGCAATCTCCAGACTCAGATGGGATTCAAAAACATTTAAAGAAGAAATAACACTAATTCTACACAATCCCTTATAGAAAATGAAAAAGGACGGAACACATGCCAATATTTTGTATAAGGTCAGCTTTCCCCTGATAGAAAGTCAGACAAGATAGTATAACACAAAGAAAGAAAACCACAAACCAACATCTCTAATGAGCATCAACAGAAAAATCCTCAACAACCTGTTAGCAAGTCAAATTTTGCAATACAGAAACAGAATAGGGCCAGGCACAGTGGCTCACACCTGTAATCCCAGCACTTTGGGATGCCAAGGAGGATGGATCACTTGAGGTCAGGAGTTGGAGACCAGGCTGGCCAACATGGTGAAACCCCATCTCCACTAAAAAGAAAAAAAAAAAATACAAAAATTAGCCAGGCATGGTAGTGCACACCTATAATCCCAGCTACTCAGGAGGCTGACGCAGGAGAATTGCGTGAACCCAGGAGGCACAGGTTGCAGAGAGCTGAGATTGCACCAATGCACTCCAGTCTGGGTGACAGAGTGAGACTCCATCTGGCAAAAAAAAAAAAAAAAAAAAAGAGTAGTAAATTGTGGCCAAGTGATGCCTATCCAAGTAACACAAGGCTTGATCAGTATTTAAAAATCAGGCTGGTGCAGTGCCTCACACCTGTAATCCCAGCACTTTGGGAGGCCAAGGCAGGCAGATCGCTAGAGCTCAGGAGTTCGAGACCAGCCTGGGCAACATAGTGAAACCGTATCTCCAAAAAAGAAAAAAAAAAAATGTTTAAGAAAAAGAAAAGTAAAAAGCATCATGTAATACACCATACTAACACACTAAAGAAGGAAAACTGCATGACCATTTCATTTGAGAAGATTAAAAGCATTTAACAAATTTTAACATCCAGTCAGGATTTTTTAGAAGCTTCTAAAACGGGGAATTAAAGACACTCCCTTAATCTGATAATAAGGCATCTACATAAATACCCACAGCTAACATCACAGTTGATGGTGAAAGACTGAACTGCCTTCCCCTACAGTCAGGATCAAGGCAGGGTGCCCACTGTCACCTCTCCTATTCAGCTTCACACTGCAAGTCCTGGCCAGGGCAATCAGGCCGGGAAAAGACATAAAAGGCGAGCAGACTGGAAAGGAAGAAATGAAACTGCCCCTCTATACAGATAGCATTTAATTGTCCATGAAGAAAACCCAAGGAAACTACAGTGAAGCTCATAATAAATGAGTTTAGCACAACTGCAGGACACAAGAACAACAAACAAAACTCAGTGGTATTTTCTACATACTGGTAATGAACAACTGGAAACCAAAATCCTCCAAAATACCAAATCAAGCTCTATATTCAGTACCTGGGCAGGCCCACAGGCAATTCCCACTATGTGTTTGGTGTCCAGTCCTGGCAATGCTGCAGGTTCTGGCTTGGTCACGCGCAAGGTGTCAAAGTGCTGGCACTGGTCGTTGCTCCCCCAGCTGTGGACCTCGCTGTCCTCAGTCAGAGCCAGGCAGTGGGTGGAGCCTGCAGCCACATCAATCACCTTCTTCCCTACAAGGGAAGAGGGATGCAGATGCAGCTTCAAGCCTATGACTTCCGCTGCAAGAAAGATATTTCCTAGGCCATTCAGGTCAGACAGCTTTTAACATTAACTTCTTGAGGATAATCTGCTTTGCTTTAATATTAAGCACAATTCATTTGCTTTGGGTGTGTTATTAAAACTGCTGTATTTTGTCAGCTACAATTCGTTAGGACCCACAGTCTACAAAGATCATAATACTAGGATACAAAAAGGATCTGTTTTTTTTTCTCCTCCTCATTCAGATTTTCAGTCAGAAAGAAACAAGGTGCTTTTAATTAACTATTAGATCATATTCTCCCATCCGAGATTTAACAATGCATAGCACACTCTTCAGTGAGGAAGGTTTCCTAAGAAGAAATCTATTGTTCTCTCAGTTAGATATAACTGATATTTAAAACATTGTTTCTATTTAAACACTTAGCAAAATATTCTATTTTTCCTTCCTGGTAAATCTAACATGGCCAACACAAAGGGTGTTTCGCAGAAATGTCAGTATATAAAATAATTCAGCTGAAAAACCACACTGCAGTAAGGGGAAAAATTCTATCCTAGGAACTTACCATAAGTTAACATCAGCAACAAAAAAGGTGTTTCTCAACAGTAATTTAAATACCCTCAAAGTAAATGATTTCTATACTAATGATTGTCGTAGCTTTCCTATACTAATGGAGGGGAATATAAACAAGAAGGCAAATGAAATTCAAATACCATTCAATGACACAGAGTAAACTTCTTACTCTGCAACTTATCTCAGAAGCTTAGAAAACAATAAACACCATATGGGCGCACAAAACTCTCAGTCATCAAAATATTAACCTGCTTTAAAATAAAACTAATGGAGAAGGGAACTGGCAAGTCTCACTTAAAAGTCCCACTTCCAAACCCACTTGGTAAAGAACCAAACACACAAAGAATGTATGTAGTACCAGGACCCAACGAACTACAGCCCCCACACACAACGCAGCCCAAGGCCTGCTTCTGTGAAGACACTGGTGTTGGAACACTGCCAGGTCCACCTACTTCAAATACAATCTGGTCCTTTAAGAAAAAGGCTGCCCACCCCTGAGAGAAGAGAACCCTAAAGAGTCCATCTGATGTACCTCTCACACTGCCTTTTCCCTTCTTCCTACTTTCTTGTCAATTTGTCTGCCCTTCAACAGTTCTCGATTAGGATGAAGACTATCTCCCAACCACTAGGCCAGGTGGTACGGAAAAGTCCTGTTTTACCTTAGAAAGATCCCTCCAACATCATAGTTTTGATGGCCCCCACCCCAACTTCCTGCAGCATAACATCCCTAGTAAGAACACCACAGAAGAATCTCAGGGTCTTCTTGCAGAGACTCCCATCCTCTCTGCCTGCACCGGCAGCCCACACTGAAGGCGCCGGCACTCTTATCTACATACCTTGGCTTCCATCTCTTGCCTCCAACTACAATGCATGCTGGACACCTTTGCAACTGAGCAAGCAGGAATCACCCACCAAGGATGAGTTCACATGAGGGTGTCCCAAGTGGACCCAATCCCACCTCCCAATGTGGCTCCACAGCACAATGCACACTCATGGTCTCAGTGTGCCTGCAGTACAAGTACAGGTGACCTCACCACACAGAGGGAACCCTTACTGAGTCCAGCCTGCTGAGTGATTAATGGGTGCCTGCCACAGAAAGTCAACTCAACAGGTTTAAATTACATTTCAGTCATTTTGTAATAGACACCCACTTTCCAATTAGTATCAATACCTATACCAAGCAGGCAGTAAAAGTTTCTAATGACAGTCCATTCATGGAATGTCAGGTTAAGAACATAAAACCTGCTAACTCATGGAATGTCAGGTTAAGAACATAAAACCTGCTAACTTTAAAACATTACTAAAGAAACTGTCCTGAAGGGTTTTAAAAGTTTACATTTGCACTCACCTTGCAAGCCTTCTAAGAGTTTTGGATAACGAACATGTTCCTCTGTTCCATGTCCAAGTCTCTGGTTGTCACCTTTTCCCCATGAATAAACTTGGCCATCTTTCGTCAAAGCAATGGAAAACTGACTTCCACAGCGGACTTTGACCACATCCAAGTCTTGAAGCTTTTCAATCAGCTTTGGGGTTTTGCAGCCATCACTACCACCTCTGCCCAATTTCCCATAGTCACCATCTCCCCAAGACCACACTTGCCCTAAAAAATACAAATGCATTTAAATAACAACAACTCTGCATTTTAACGAAAAATTTTAAATGACTGCAAATAATATAATGAAAAACGCACACTAATCTAGACCACTCAGGTACATAGTTAACACTACAAGGGTGGCTACTGAGCAAACGAAATCTAGGTGACACTTGAGGTTGACATAGAAGCAATAAAGAAAGGGAAAGCTGAGTTTTCTTTTTGTTTTCATTCCATGAAAAACAAAGTCCTGACTCTTACTAGCCTGGGCTCAATGTTAACTGCTTCACAGAACCAAAGGCCCACTGCCTCCATAACACACAGTAACTGGGGCCTGGCACATTGCAGATGCTTGCGGACCACCCTCCCGTTTGCCTGCCTGCTTCTGTTGCCACCATGCTGACCGGTGGTCAACTGTACCACTGTATGTGTTCCCAACTGCATATCAGCATAATTATGTAAGTTGATTAAATATTACATAAAGGGATAAAATGCAATTGCAAAAGTAAATATTTTTATTTTTATGGTGAAAACTAAGCTGAAAACTTTGCAAAAACTTAAAGTGAATTGCTAAAAAACAGAATTGTTAGGCTGGGCATGGTAGCTCACACCTGTAATCCCAGAACTTTGGGAGGCCAAGGCGGGCGGATCACTTGAGCCCAGGAGTTCGAGACCAGCCTGGGCAACATGGCAAAACCCTGTCTGTACTAAAAATACAGAAATTAGCCAGGCATGGTGGTGAATATCTATAATCCAGCTGAGGCATGAGAATTGCTTGACCCCGGGAGGTGGAGTTTGCGGCGAGCCGAGATTGCACCACTGCACACCAGCCTGGGTGACAGAGCAAAACTTTGTCTTACAAAAAAAAAAAAAAAAAACAAACAAAAACAAAAAAAAGTGAAATTACGTAAAGGTGAAAACTGTAAAAGATCAGGAAAAAGAAACCAGAGAAGATATCAGATTGCTCCACAAGTTCCCACACTCTATTTTATAATAACTAAAGATAGGCAAATATTTTCCTCAACGATCAGATGGTAAATATTTTTAGCCTCTGTGGGCTTTCTGTCCCAACTACCCAGCTGTGCCACTGTCACAGGAAAGCAGCCACAGACAGTACGTAAATGAGTGGCATGCCTGCATGCCAATACAACTCTACCTGCAAAAACAGGCCAACCCCAAGCAAAATGGAAACTGGAGATGACGCACTATTACATGGTCAATGAAAGCGGCACAGCAGACCTGAACACAGAGATCGGAGCATGCATTTCCATATGCTGTGCTGAAAATTATGCTGTTCACATAGCCCACCTGGCTATTTCCCACTGTCCCCCAAGGCCAGACTGCAGGGTAGGATACTTCTACTGTAACAGTCGCCTCAGAAAATATATAGCAGCACAGCAGGGACACTTCCCTACAAGATCTGCACCAAAGAAACACCAGTGTGAGGAAGACAATGTCTGCAGCCCTACTCAAGGCAGTTTACTCAACATATCATCGCAAACTTTAACTAAAGTAGCAACTACACATAAAGAATGCAAGGCTAATCTCCTAACACAGCTTAGACCTTACAAAACTTTTAACCGGGAAATATTTTAAGGTCTGCAACTCACTCAATAATAGATATTTTAAAATGACGAGATGTCAAACTGAAAGCTCCTTGACAGCAGGAGCCTTTCAGATGAGGCCATCTTTGCTCTAGGACTCACAAAAGCAGAAACAACACGGCTCTGACAAGGTCTGTCCCGTCAATGGCAGCAGGACCGACATACAGGGAAGTATCTAAAATGATTTTTCATCTTTCACCTAAGAAATGCCCAAAAGTCACTCAATTACCAATCTGCCATTCAACTTCTGCAGGAGAGAAAGCAAGCTGACAGGTACCCCTGCTGATTATAACGGAAAGACTCCACAACGCCAGAGACACACAAGATGCCAAGGACAGACCACCACAATACTGAAAGACGAGTCATTTCTAAAATATTAACATGACTTTAACCATCAAACCTCATCAGGTACCCTTGAAAAAAGGATGATCTCACTTAGGAACACAAACATAAAACCAAAATTCAAAGCAAGCAGATACCGTAGCATCAGACTACAGAACACAGAAAGACTTAGCAGGAATTACCACAGGGAATCAAGAGTGGCCGAACGTTAAGAAATGTAATAATACTAACCAGAGACAATTCAGAGTGTCAATCATCCCATTTCAACTCTCATTCTTAAAAAATAAAATGCCCACACAGGAACGGCGGCAGCTGCTAACCAGCTGAGAGGCCTCAGGCAAACAAGCCCAGTAACCACCCGGGCCTCTTCCCCAATGCCACTGAGCCCCACACCCACTGGGCGACAGGGTGGGTGGCCTCGTGAGGCCCACTGTACTCATCTCACTTCCTCCAGGGAAGCTGCCATGCGTGTCCTCGTGGGCCTGTCCAGGGTGGCGAGAGCTCTACGTACCGTTCTCAGTGACAGCCAGGGTTTGAGCATCCCCACTCCCACACGCCACATCGATGACCTTCAGTCCTTTAAGCCCGGCTACCAGCATCGGAATGGCCTCGTCCTCACTGGAGCCTTCAAACAGATAGGACGGCGGTTACTAAGTCCTGTAAGAGGCCACCTCCTGCTGCATGCTCCCACTCATGCAGAGCAGACGTACCATGGCCCAGCCGGCCGTAGTTCCCGCGGCCCCAGGTGTACAGCTCCCCCTCGGCAGTGATGGCCGCACTGTAAGTGCTCCCGCAAGCGATGTGCACCACGTGCTTCCCGGCCTGCTTTCCAGAGAAGGCGGAGATCACCTTAGGCTCCTCCAAAGGCCTTGGGGAGAAAGGGAACAAACATGAATGCCCTTCTTCTTGGTGTTATTTCTTATTAATGTTAACAAAGGAAATTCACTATCCAAATTTAGACCAGCATAGCATCAGGCCAGTTTCACCTTCCAGGTACCTTGTGAAAGAAGGAAGAGAGAATTCCAACACCTAACACCTCCATGACTTTTTGTTCAGTTGGAACCCGATGCCAAACATGGTACCCAGTAGAAATATAAAAATAGTGTTTGTTAAAGAATTGTACAATAGGCTAGGCGCGGTGGCTCACACCTGTAATCCCACCACTTTGGGAGGCCGAGGTGGGCAGATCACCTGAGGTCACGAGTTCGAGACCAGCCTGGCTAACATGGTGAAATCCCGTCTCTACTAAAAATACAAAATTAGGTGGGCATAGTGGAGGGTGTCTGTAATCCCAGCTACTTGGGAGGCTGAGGCAGGAGAATCGCTTGAACCTGGGAGGAGGAGGTTGCAGTGAGGTGAGATCGCCCCATTGCACTCCACCTTGGGTAACAAGAACAAAACTCCATCTCAAAAAAAAAGAGACTTGTAAAGTCCACTGCAGCTTTATTCACAATGTCCCAAAACCATGGTCCATCTGCAACAGAAGGAATGAATTACCCATACACCCAACCCAACATGGCTGGATCTCAAGACATCTGCTAAGTCAAAGATGCCAGAAACAAAATACCATACACTGTATGGCTTTGTTATATTAAATTATGGAAAAGACAAAATAATAACAACAGAGGGCAGATCAGAGGTTGTCAGGAACTGGAGGTAGGAAGGGGGCATCAACTCAAAGGGTACAAAGAGGGCCCTGGAAGCGATGGGAGCGCCCCATGTCTTGATGGTGGTGACCCAACTGCGTGCACTTGTCAAAACCCATCCAACTCTACATCTGAAACTCAGTCATCTGGTTGTATGGAAGCCTCATAAAGCTGACCGACATTTATATGTATTTGTTAAATGAATGTGGATGGAATGAAGCCAGCACTCTGCAATCTATACTTTACAAATGAAAAGTATGAGGCAGTGGGGATTAGGGTAGAGAAGTCTTACTAGTTGAAGAAATTTCAAAGTTAGCAAAATACCCTATTCTTAGGATCCAGAATATGTTCCTATGATGGATGACATTTTCTTGAAAATCTACAGAAGCCAGGCCTCTCCTTTACTCACTTTGTGACCTACTAGTTTGCAAAATACACACAGTGGCACAGGTGCTCACAGGGACAGCCCAATGACTCTACTCCAGTACAAACTATCCCTTATTCAGCTTAAGTTTCAATTTCCCCAAAAGGTTATCTCCAGCTTCTGCCATCTGCACTCATCTCTCTTCCTTCCTTGAAGTCCTAGAATAAGGCGTAAGTTACTCATCCCAGCACTTACTCTCCACTGAGAATTGTTTTACTATGAAATATTTTATAGAAAGTCAGTTATAAATACCATAAAGGAAGTAAGCAGACATACCACCCTGTCCTGTACCTCGATGCCTTTCAAGTCCCGTGTACCCCATGTCAATCCCAGCCTTTACAATCCAGTGTGAGAGTAACAGCTATAAATTCCATGGAGATCAATCTTTTCTTTTTCACTCGTCTTAGATTTGTCTGAATCCCTTACAACACTGTCAGGGTTGGGCTGTTCTGAGCTTGGCATACATGTACCACACGATACGCATTACTCTGCTTTTCTCCCAGTTTGGGATCTTCCCAGCGGATGCTGTCGGCAATGATGCCCTCAACTCCACCCTGTGGTGTGCATGGGCCATGCCCCCCAGGCTCCTCTCAAGGGACACAAGTGCAGTCATGACTTCACTCATTTCAAGCTCTGCACTGCCCTCTCCCTGCTCAGGGCTCCAGCCCACAAGAAATGGGCTTGCTGGGTTGGTGTGTACATACATCCCTCATTTAAACCTAATGCCAAAGTTCCATGCACAACAGCAAAGTACAAGAGGGTTCCCATCACTCCATGGGGCTGGCAGACCTCCCAATTTTTACAACCTGGCATTTATAACAACTTTCTGTTTCATTTGTTCTTTCACAATAAAAGGTTCCACTGAGTAGGATAATATTAGGAAGAAACTGCTGACTTTTGTTCCTGTAAAAATAATATATGGTTCAAGAAAAGGGTGACAACCTTATCTATGAGAGACAGGGTGAACTGTTTGTGAATGAAGGAACAGTGGTGTGGGATTTGTTTTGGCAAACTCCACAGTGGGGATGCAGTTTGAGTAGACAGAAGGCTGGCCAAGGCTGCACGGGGTCAAGAAGAACAGAAAGGCCAATTCCCGTTGCCCTCCACACATGGGCAGAGCTCCTAAGCCATCACCAAGGAGGAGGCATATCGTAGTGTCCTGCTCCATCCCAGCGCTACATGTCAGGGCAATTGGAAAACACCTGGACACACTTCTGCGCTCCATCCTGTTTAGGATATGGCAACATAAAAGGAGAGTGTGTCCCCTACAGGAATAAGCGATACATACACAGTGTCCCCATGGCCCAGCCGTCCGCCGTCCCCACAGCCCCAGGAGTACACCTCTCCAGTAGCAGCCAAGGCTAGGTAGTGGTGACCATCAGAATGGGCAGCAATTTTTACAATGTTTCTGGAGGCAAGGCCTTGGACCAGCTGTGGGGCCTAAAGAAGGAAAAATACGAAGAAAAGTAGTCATCAGTCCAAGGAAAATGAAACCAGCTCAGCTCTCCGTTATCATGTATCCCCAAGCAAAGCCTGCTGTAACTCCAAGTGGGGCATAAGTCTCTGGGAACTACGGGGCCGGCTCTCCAGCCCTTCCCACCCAGCAGCAACAGAACAGCGGGCAGCCTCCAAGTGCTCTGCAGCAAGACCAGAGCCGATGCAGGGGCAGGGCAGGCTAGCCCCATGCCACAGAGACACGCAGCCGACAGGGAGGAACACCTCGCTTTAATGAAAACATGCCACGTCCCAATTTGCCACTATCCCCACGAGGCCCAACTCCCTCACCTGTCACCTGTCTGGCCCCAACGTCAAATGAGTTTACACGTGGAAATGAGTTTACAAACGGGAATCTCACGATTAGCAATGAGTTTCACTGTAAGGACTTCCTAATCTTCACAACCCAAATCTTGACAATATTACAACTGAGATCATTAAACATAATATACAATAAACAGAACCTTGTCAATCTTCAGAAATCAAACGCCTTAAAGAAACACCAGAGCTTGTGCATCTGTAGGACAGACCCTGCCCCGCAAGGGAACACTGCAGGCACAGTGCCCAGAACACTCACCAGCGTGTCACTATTATAGGCCTGTGTGTACACGCGGCCATTGCGTGACAGAATCAGGAAACGCTTCTCTGCACAGGCAATCTGTGTGACTCCCAGGTTGGCCAGGCCTTCGCACTGGATTGGACCAATCACATTGGCATAGTATTTCCATCCTATTAACCCCCAACCTATGACCTCTTGCAATGATCCCTGTAAGATAAGAAAGTAAACATTTCCTTTAACAACAACAACAATAAAAAAAGGCTGGGAGTAACACTGAGCTACTACAAAATAAAAACAAAGCAAATAAAGAGAAAATATGCTGATTCAAAACATCAAAATAGCTCATACCAGCCTGTATTACCTCATTTAACAGGTAAGATGAAGCAACTGAACAGGTTATTTTTCCATTTCCATTGCATTTCATTTTAACAGAGCCCATTAAAAAGTACTATAAATGGCCCTTAAATACTAATATATTTTTAAATGCTCAAACTATATCAGGGTCACCATTTTGTGCTTTAGCAGGCAAAATCCCAAAAGCCCACACACAAGGCTGGGAGACCAGCATCCATGTTGGTGGTGAGAGAAATCAACTTGTACGGGAGCAATCTGGTGACAACCAGCCCACACTAGGTGCATCCCCACCTGTGCATGTGCACGGGCACACACACGTGCACACATGGAGGACACATGTTCCAGGTCAGGCCTTGCAGCACTATTTGTGTTTGTTTTTGTTGTTGTTGTTTGTTGAGATGGGGTTTCACGCTTGTTGCCCAGGCTGCAGTGCAATGGCGCGATCTTGGCTCACTGCAACCTCCGCCTCCCGGGTTCAAGTGATTCTCCTGCCTCAGCCTCCCAAGTAGCTGGGATTACAGGCATATGCCACCATGCCCAGCTAATTTTTGTATTTTTAAGTTGAGACAGGGTTTCTCCAAGTTGGCCAGGCTGGAGAACCCACTCTTTTTATTTATTTATAGATAGATAGATAGATAGAACCCACTCTTTTTATTTATTTATAGATAGATAGATAG
Organism: Homo sapiens; assembly: GCF_000001405.40. Lineage (NCBI taxonomy): Eukaryota > Metazoa > Chordata > Mammalia > Primates > Hominidae > Homo > Homo sapiens. The sequence goes on from NW_011332701.1 coordinate 403,706, forward strand.
ATAGATAGACAGACAGACAGACATGTAATATAGATATATAATATATAATATATAACATATAATTATACTGTCACTACTATCACCAGCATTACATACTAAGACAGTCCGCGTTCAGAGTATGAAGAAGGCTGTGGAACCCCCTGCAGAAGGTGGGAGGGCCTGGGGCTGTGGATAAAGGGGAGCTCTCTGGGGCTGTGCCACCTGAACCTGGAACCCGGGCCCCCAGGTTGGGTCGCCAGGCCTGTGCGCCTCAGCTTGCTCATCACTCACTCTCAACACGGATAACACCTTCAACTGCAAACGCGTTTAAAAACCACAGGCCAGCTCCCCCTACCAATACCAGAAAAAGCAAGTCTCCACACGGGCCCAGGATGAGAACCTACAAGTGGTACTAGCTACAAAACACATGGAGAACACGGTTCTTGCACACACACCTTATGAGATGTCGGAGAGCTACACAGCGGAGGCATACAGGGCGTAGCCAGACGGTCTAAATGGGCCATGACAACAACCGCCGTTTGTCGCAGATCAATGGCAAGCTCGTTGTCTTGTGGAAGGGTGAGGTACCTCAGGAAACTCTCATTGGGGCTCAGAGGGCCAGACAAAAGCTAGAAAGGAAAAGTAAACAAAAATTCAGAAATGGTGGGAAAAATTAAAGTTAACACAATTAACCTTTATCCACGCTTTATATTTTGGTATTGACTCATTTGACCCATCAAATGACAATGTCAATGATACAGTTATACTATACATCTATATATTTATGCAGCATATAAACTGACTGTGTAAATGTCTAAATTTGCTGTACACGCATACACAACATTGACTGCGCATGTATACATTTATGATACCACAGGTAAGATGGATCCACACAGATTACTAACATGACCAAACCACCCTACAGGCCTAGGACCCCTGGAGAAAGGCAGAACCACCTCTGTGGGAACCCAGCACAGCATCTCAAGCTGGCCTTGAAATCTAAAACCAAAACCTTTATTTTAATCTAAACGTTGCCCACTCTGGAGAACACCTACTTTCATTTGCAAATTAAATCATAGTTCTAATTCTTCTAAAGGCAGAAGAGCCCTATTATCATTAGTTTAAAGACTGCCAAATAATAGGCTGGGCATGGTGGCTCACGCCTGTAATCCCAGCACTTTGGGAGGGCCAGGCAGGCGCAGGCGGATCACAAGGTCGAGAGATCGAGACCATCCTGGGTAACATGGTGAAACCCCATCTTTACTAAAAATACAAATATATTAGCTGGGCTTGGTGGTGGGCGCCTGTAGTCCCAGCTACTCGGGAGGCTGAGGCAGGACAATGGTGTGAACCCAGGAGGCCCAGCTTGCAGTGAGCCGAGATCACGCCACTGCACTCCAGCCTGGGCGACAGAGCAAGACTCCATCTAAGGAAAAAAAAAAGACTGCCAATAATAGAAAAATTAAACCAAAGCACGATATTGGAATGCCTAAGACTTTCCCAAAAAGACTGGCAAAATCCAACTTGTACTTGACATGTAAAGACCAGCAGTCCTGGAGGTTTAGGCCCAGGGCCCCGCACGCCTGCTCCTCCCTCAGCTTGTTGTCCACACCTGTTAAGGCGGGAGCTGGTACCAAACAGAGTGACAGCTCAGGTGACGTGCCCTGCACAGAGCCCAGTACATAGGAAGGACCAACAAAGCAGGCCGCTATTTTCGTTGTTCTTTTCTGGTATTTATTTAAAAGTGAATGTTTCAAGCTTGGTTTTGTGCTGACAAGGAAGTCAGTGCTCACTGATCCGAGTCTTCTCCACAAACAAGTGACCTCCCACACCTGTCTCATCTGACTCGCTGCTATTACCACCAAACACACACACGCCAGAGAAAAACACTGCCGTTGACATGCATGCTAGTCTTGCTTTAAAAGTAACTAGACTCGAGTGCCACCTAAACACAAAGTTCCATCATGACACTCACGTGCATGTCGCCCTCGGAGTGGGGTGCATCCTTCCTGCAAATGATGCTCTGGAACCTTTGCAGCAAGGGCAAAAGTGGGGCGCTGGTGCCCTGGGCGGAACGCTCATTGTCAGTCTCCTGTGCCCCGCTGTCCCACAGCTGAAGCAACAACAGGATGGCAGACAACATTTGGCTAAAGGAGAAAAGATATTTATTCTAGTAAAAACAGATTAACTTCTTTTCTTCACAGTTGATCAAAAATAAAAGCAAATAGCTGGATAGAAGTGAACAAATACTTGGGATTTGAAAGGAAACTAAACTAAAGCCGTGGTAATTAAATCACTGAATTGACACCAAGACTTTAGCACAAGACATCGCCTTCTGCTCATAAGAAAGACCAGTTAAGAAGCTCAAAGAGCACATTTACATGAAAGTTCTAGGATCTTAAATTCATGGAATAAAAATAAATAAATGAAGAAAACTGAAAGAAAAAAAAAAAGAACAGTTCCCAGGCTAGAACACTGAGCATAAAACAGGAAGTGAAGAAAAGGTAAAGAGAGAGAGCCCTGGGACATGGTTCTCCGTACAGAGTACCACATCTGCTGCGGTCACAAACGATTCAGTGAAACACACACAATGCAACAGGTATTTCCATACACAGGCGCTTCCCCAAAGCGTTCCCGTCTGCGGCAGCCCTCACCTCAGCGTGCCTCTCTGCACAGCCAGCTCCAGCAGGATGGCCAGGGCCAAGTGCTGGTCCTGCAGGGGGATGCTTCCTGGCCCTTTGGTGGCTGGCGTTCCGTGAACATCCCTGAAATGAAAGCAGTGGATGCAGGAACAAAGCAACCTCCAGAAAGACAGCATGCTTACAATCACACTAACACATTTACTACACGCTCCCTCCAAAGGAAGGATGTATTTTTAATATTTAGGATCAAGTTTCTGATACTTGCTACTCAAATTTATTCAGAGATTATAAGTGTACAATTAGCTTACACAACTATATTTTATTTAAAGTGTTCACTCAGATACTATATTACAGTAGATGACATACTCCATGTATATGAAGCATAAAATAATTTATCTCATTATCAAAAACATAAGTAGAAGAATATCTAGCTATCTTTTCCAGTTTCAATGACGTATAAGACTATACCAGTATCAGCATTTATCTACAGAATTAAAGAACCAATTTCTAAAACCACCTTAGAATCTGGAGGCAAAATGTCAACACTAATTTCTATCTCTGATCAATGAAATATTTTTAACTTTTCTATGTTACTCAATAATAAATTTTCTAAAATTCTATCCTAAGACTGCAGAGAAAGGATCTTATGGTATCAATATTACAGCTGAATTTGTGAAATCAACTCCAAGCCTATGCTCAGGGCCTCCAGCGTTAAAACTCTGTGGTGATGCCTTCACCAGCCGGCTCAGGAAGTGGACTCAGAGCCGGGGACGCAAACGCCAAAGGCCTCCTGCTGGCTGCAAGAAGGCACAGTGCTGACCTCTGCAAGGAGAGTGAGGAGTGGCCTCACTTTCCCTCTGCATCTGTCCTTCCTGTTGAATTTTATATTTTCTTTAAATTTAAAAACCTTAACAAAAATGCATAGCACCCAAGACCAGAGTTCATGTTTTTCTTACACACAAATGATTCCTATTCAAAATTTTTTACACTAAAAAGATCAGCTACAGGACTAAAGAATTTGATCTTGAGTAGTTGTTTACTCCCACATTATCTATAAGACTTCAAACCAAGCACCACTCCGCACTCAGAACAGCAGCTCCTAATCATCACAGAGAGACACACAGTGTAAGCACTCAAACCTCTACGAATGACTGATGGCCAAATCTCTAAGCATTCTCTCTCATCCGTCTCATTTAGTATCACAGCTTCCTGGGTCTAGTCAGAGTATCATAAATCAAATCGCCTGAAAAGCTGAGAACCCAGACCCGGAATCACAGCACTGACAGCCCGCTGAAAACAGGTGAAAAACCAACCTACTAGGCTTCTTAGCTCTAAAGCAAGGGTGGTAAGAACCAGCCTCAAGCAGGCCAGCTGTCTGCGTGCAGAAGGCAAGAAAGGAAAGAACTCACCCCGTCACGACGGACCTGAGGAACCTGGTCGCTCTCTCCACCACCTCCAGCCACACAGAGGACACGGTGCTCTCGTCAAAGAGCGAGGCCTCGGGAAGTGCTCGCAGGGCGTCCAGGGACTCCTGCAACAGCTCACTGCAGAGGTCCGCATCCTCGCCTGGGCGCACACACGCGTCAGAGGAGCCCCCCCACTCCCCTCACTCTCCCGCTGGGCTTCCCACCCCTCAGCGAGAGATGACGCCACTGTCACCTTTCCAATCCCTCACTCAACAGGCCAAAATCTAGCGCAGCTGCTCCAGTCAATTCTGTGTTTCACGGCTGTCACATGAGCAATACACTAACTTCTTGTCCTTCTAGAATTAAGTCTGTACTCAGGTGTTCCATGGTAGTGGTTGACGTGGGGGTGGGGGTGCATACACTCTCTTTTTTTTCTTTAAAGCACAGATGTGAAAAGCCAAACAGCCTCTGCAGCCTCTCATCTCACAAGCAAGGAAACTGAGGCACAGAGAGCACATGGGATCAGCCAAAGGGCACATGGTGGCTGAACCGAGTTCGAAACCCAGTCTGTTGATGTATTAGGGAAGCAGAACAACGCGCCACACCAGGGACCGTACCTGATCGCCAGGCCCTGCGCAGGAAGGCAAAGGCAAAAGACAGCGCCGCTCGGGATCCCACTCTGGCGAGCCCCTCCACACCTTTGCCCGCAGGCCGGGAACTGCAGACGACACACACGGAACATACAACCAGTCAGCAGCAGAGGGTGCAGATACTACATAAAATCAATACTATGAAAGGGTGTGTACCAAAATCCGACCAATGGTTTTCTTCAAGTGACAGGATCACAAGTGGATTTTTCGTTTTGTTGTTTAACAACTTTCATCAAATGTCTTTTGTAAAGGAAAAGTTTTCTCTTTAAGAATCAAAGAAATGTATAAGGAATTTTAAATGTCTTGGGAAAATGCTCAAGAAATGACCTCCCAAAGTGAGATTCTACTGGGAGGAAGCAGACGATAAGGAGATAAATACATAAACGGAGGGAGAATAAACCCCACATGGGAGACCAGGCCGGAGAAGAGCTGGAAGAAGAGCAGCAGAGCCGCAGAGGGTAGCCTGGCTCGCCCCAGCTCCGGCGTCCTCCACTCGAGGTCTGCTCCTGGCCGCGGGTGAAGCCCTGCGTGCTTGACCCACCCTATGGGGCATTGCCCTCTTCTGACGGTGGTGCTCATCACCCTCCTGTGTCTATTTAAGCTTTTCACTACTTGTGTATGTTAATTTCACAAGTCACAGTTTCATTCTGCATGTTCTAAAAGGTTATGCATATGGTACACCATAAAAATCATCCTGTACAAGAGAGAAAAGGCTAGAATACAAAAATGCATATATAGGGGAGGCTGAGGCAGGAGAATGGTGTGAACCTGGGGGGTGCAGCTTGCAGTGAGCCAAGATCGCGCCACTGCACTCCAGCCTGCGAGACAGAGCAAGACTCCATCTCAAAAAAAATAAAATAAAATAAAATAAAAATGCATATATAATCTCAACTCAATCATGCACAGCAAGTAATTGTATGTTATACTTTATACTATATCATGTTTCTAATATTACAGTATTGCTACTATAAACTATATTCTCCAAATTTACTAAAATTTGCTTTCATGATCAGGGGAAATCCTATAAAAACAGGTGATACAGAGTTCAAGACCAGCCTGGCCAATATGACGAAACCCTGTCTCCACTAAAAATACAAAAATTAGCCAGGTGTGGTGACGGGTGCCTGTAGTCCCAGCTACTCGGAGGCTGAGGCAGGACAATCACTTAAACCTGGGAGACAAAGGTTGCAGTGAGCCAAGATCGCACCTCTGCACTCCAGCCTGGGAGGCAGAGCAAGACTCCATCTCAAAAAACAAAAAAAAAAAAAAAAAAAAAAAAGAGGGTTGTTATAGAAGGATCTCCCCAAGATACAATATGTAATAAAAATGGCAATGAAGAACACGGCTGGCCAGGGGCAACAGTACACGCTTATCCACAAGTGCCTGAATAATGCACCGGGAGCTCAGAGAGGAAACACAAGAACCTCTGAGAAGGGCACTGGGTACCTGGAAGATGGAAATCTTTGCTCCTAAATGAGAAATACGAACATGACAAGACACAGACATGTAACAGGACACACAGTCCTTACAAGAGAAAGCACATGGGCCAAGTGTGGTCAGAGGAGGTGGGCCAGTCACTTTAGGTCAGGAGTTTGAGACCAGCTTGGCCAACATGGCAAAACCCCATCTCTACTAAAAATACAAAAATTAGCCGGGTGTGGTGGTGCATGCCTATAGTCCCAGCTATATGGGAGGCTGAGGCAGAATTGCTTGAACCTGGGAGGCAGAGGTTGCAGTAAGCCAAGATCGCACCACTGCATTCCAGCCTGGCCTGGGCGACAAAGCGAGACTCTGTCTCAAAAAAAAAACAAAAACAAAAACAAAAAAAAACTACTCAGCCATAATAAAATAATGATACATGCAATGACCCCTTTGGGAAAATGTTAAGGGGATTGTGCTGAGTGAAAAAAGTCAATATTGCTTGAGGCCAGGAGTTCCAGACAAGCCTGGGAAACACAACAAGACCCCAGTCTCTACAAATACAAAATGAGCTGGGTGTGGTGTCATGCATCTGTAGTCCCAGCTACTCAGGAAGCTGAAATGAGGTGACTGCTTGAGTCCAGGAGTTTGAGGCTGCAGTGAGCTATGATTATATCACTGCACTCCAGCTTGTGGGCATCAGGGTGAGACCCTGTCTCCAAAAATTATAATAATAACAATAATAAAAAATTTAAAAGCCAATGTCAAAAAATCACATAATAGGCACACAGAACAGATGAGTGGTTGCCAGCAGTTAAGGTGGGGAGAGAAGACGTGAATGTGGGTATAAAGGGCCCTTGTCCATGTACCAATTGCAGTGGTGGTCTCAGAAAATCCACACCTGAAAAAATTGCAAAGAAATACACACACAATTGAGAGCATGTAAAACTGGGAAAATCTGAATAAGATAGGCAGGCTATCAAAATTAACACCCTCGTTGTGATGACTGTGTCACAGTTTGCAACTGCCATTGAGGGCAACGGGACGAACAGTACAAGGAATCTCTATACTGGTTCTTACAACTGTATGTGAATCCACAATTATCTAAAAAAAAAAAAAAAAGGGGCTTTTTTAAAATTTTAGGAATTCTTCCACTTAATGAAAGATACATTCCAATTAATTCACCAACCCTAAGTCATCACAAAGGAAACAGCAGAGAAAAATCAGCTGGGCTCTCAGCCATTTCTGCAGCTGAGGGAATTCAGTTTGATTCGACAAACACACAACAGTGCTTGGACAATCTTAGCACCTACCGCCGACCCGTACATAACACTGATTCATGACCATCACAGCCGGTTAGGAAGGAAGAAAGAACCATGGCACTCCTATTACCAAATGGGTAGGAATCTCATCTGTCTCTTGGTTTAATTTACCCTAAAACTATTTTCAAAAATACAACATGTACAGTCGTCCCTTGGTATCTGTAGGGGATTGGTACCAGGCTTGCCCCACCCTGGCTCCATACCAAAACCCTAGGATGCTCAAGTCCCTGATATAAAATGGTGTAGTATTTGCATATAACCTGTGCACATCCTCCAGTATAATTTAAATCATCTCAGCCAGGCACAGTGGCTCACACCTATAATCCCAACCCTTTGGGAGGTCAAGGCGAGAGGGTTGCTTGAGCCCAGGGGTTCAAGACCAGCCCGGGCAACATGGCAAAACCCAATCTATACAAATTAAAAAAAAAAAAAAATTGGCCAGGTATGGTGGCTCATGCTTGTAATCCCAGCACTTTGGGAGGCCAAGGCAGGCAGATCACTCGAGGCCAGCCTGGGCAACACAGTGAGACCTCAGCTCTACAAAAAATACAAAAATTAGCTAGGCATTGTGGCACACGCCTGCAGTCCCAGCTACTTGGGAGGCTGAGGTGGGAGAATCACTTGAGCCCAGGAGGTCAAAGCTGCAGGAAGCCATGATGGCCCCACTGCCCTGGGCAACAGTGAGACCCCCATGTCAAAACAAACAAACAAAAAAAAATCATCTCTAGATTACTATAACACCCAATACAAGGTAAATGCTCTGGAATTAGATGTTATATTGTATTGTTTTTTCTTTGTATTTTTTTATTGTTGTGTTGTTTTTTATTGCTTTTCTTCCAATATTTTCGATCCATAGTTGGTTGAATCTGTGGATGTGAAACCCACAGACACAGAGAGCCAACTGTAATGTGATTTCAACTATATTTAAACATAAGGAAACAAAAAAGGAAAACAAACACAAAAATTAAAACATAAGAAAACAAGGAAACAAGCTACAAGTACCGCTCCTGTCTCTGGGGAGCAAGACGATCAGGGTTTTGCTCTTGTTTCTTTCTGCCTCCCGTACCTTCTATGTGCTCTCTCCAGGGAGTCAAAGTCACTATCACAGTCAAATAAAGCCAGCACTCCTAACACAAAATATAAGTTTCATCTGGCAGTCTTGTAGTTTAACCTTCTGAGGACAAAAGTCTGATAGCTTCATTTTGGAAAAGTACAAATTTACATAAGCCTTAAACATTCTAGTGGCTGTTAGCAAATAGTGGAAATCTGTGATACATTAACAGGCATCAACAAATTAAAACTCATATGCCCAAAAGCATCTCTTTTTTTTGCTTCTTTTTGAGACAGAATTTCATTCTTGTTGCCCAGGCTGGCACAATCTCCGCTCACCGCAACCTCCACCTCCCGGGATCAAGCAATTCTCCTGCCTCAGTCTCCCAAGTAGCTGGGATTACAGGCATGAGCCACCAAGCCCCGGCTAATTTTTTTATTTTTAGTAGAGATGGGGTTTCTCCATGTTGGTCAGATCTCCAACTCCCGACCTGAGGTGATCCGCCCACCTCAGGCCTCCCAAAGTGCTGGGATTACAGGCGTGAGCCACCACACCCAGCCCAAAAGCAACTCTTGTAATAAAAGAATAAGAAAATCACATTAGGAAGGAAAAACATGAAGCATCTAAACTAGTTGGGCATTAAACATTACAATCTATCTCCTACCCAGCAGCAAAACAAAATAAAACGTATACAACGTTCAGAACTCATTTTCCAATTTATACTTGAGCTGATCTAAAGCTGTGGCTGGCTTCCACAGTTACTGACAGAAAAATGTCTTTACAATAATGACACAGAGCCAGGCGCAGTGTCTCATGCCTGTAATCCCAGTACTCTGAGAGGCTGAAGCAGGAAGATTACTTGAGGCCAGGAGCAAGACCCCATCTCCACACACACACACACACACACACACACACACACACAAATTGTTTTTATTTAGCCAGGCATGGTGGCATGTGCCTGTAGTCCCAGCTACTCAGGTGGCTGAGGCGGGAGGATCACTAGAGCCCTGGAGTTCAAGGTTACAATGAGCTATGATTACACCACTGCACCCCAGCCTGGGTGACAGAGCAAGACATTGTCTCTCCAAAAAAAAGAAAAGAAAAATTTTATTGAATAAAATAAAATAATGGCACAGATTACACAGCATGGTCTATTACTACATGAGCAAATTGGCAAATCCATTCTCCAGATTATACAAAACATACAAAAAGGGAAAGCAAGAATAAATTTCAGAAGGTGAAGACAGCCTATATTGAAAACCTTAAACTTTCTGAAACAAAACAGTCTGAATTTTATATTTAACTGGCATCAGGATTCTTTCTTCGCTTTATTGTTACCTTTTTTTGTCCACAGGAGGCAGAGAAATACCGCTGCTTTTCCACTTAACTTTGACATTCTCCTGAAAAACGGTTCTATTCAAGGCAATGAAATAGCGCTCCAAGATCACCAGCCTCTGCTTGAGTCGCAGGGCTGAGAGGGTGGTGGTGGCTGACTGGACGGCCAGGGCCTGCTGCTCTTTAACCAGCACAGAAAGACACTCCTTCAGTTCATTCACATCTAGAAAATAAGACAAGAAAACATCTCACCTGTGGACAATGTGGCCACAGTTTGTTGCAATGTTGAGAAAATGGATGATGACGACAGGTAGTACTCGAAGGCATGATATGTGGCAATAATGGTTTTAACCACTTTACACACATGAGCTCAGGCAACCCTCACACCCAGCACTGTCAAGCAGTGCTGTCCATCCATTTTATGGATGAAGAAACTGAGGCACCAAGTGGTTAAGCAACTTGTCCGAGGCCACACAGAGGAGTGCGGCACATGACAGAGACTCTTGAGCCACCATGGCACACTGCCTCTCTCTATGGAAACATCATACAAAAGAAGTTGGCCGGGCACAGTGGCTCACACCTGGAATCCCAGCACTTTGGGAGGCCAAGGCAGGTGGATCACTTGAGGTCAGGAGTTCGAGACCAGCCTGGCCAACATGGTGAAACCCCTTCTCTACTAAAAAAAAAATACAAAAATTAGCCGAGTGTGGTGACGCACGCCTGGAATTCCAGCTACTCAGGAGGCTGAGGCACGAGAATTGCCTGAACCCAGGAGGAGGAGGTTGCAGTGAGCTGAGATTTTGTCACTGCACTCCAGCCTGGGTGACAGAGTGAGACTCTGTCTCCCAAAAAAAAAAGTTACTAACACAGAACTTTGAAGTCAATATTAGTCAATATTTATCAGCAGCACATCTCCTAAACAGAGAAAAACACTAGCCATTATTTTCATGTTACAAAACCAAATTCAATATAAAAACGATGTCTTGATAAAATTACCCAGCATGCATGACTCATGAAGCACATTTATGGACATATTTTAGAGGAAGATAAAGTAACAAGTTAGAATACACATTCTAACTAGTGAGTAAGTGATATTTCATTATATTATTCTCTCTTCTTCTATGTATCTTTGAAAATTTCCATACTAACAAGTGTTTTGTAAGTAGCTAGAAGGCAATCACAGGACTGAAAATAATTCAAAGGATTCTGGTCTTTCAATTAAGCATGTGTCTGCCTCAGAGCACAGATCATTATAAGGGAATTGTAAGTTACCTCCCACCAATCCCCTCTAACAGCACAGCTCCCAGTGGCGAGGTGAGAGCTGGTCTCTTTTGTGCTTGCCTCTCTGCTGCTTACTAGCCTGGAGGCCAGCAGCCACCAGCCTCGCAGCCCTGGATCCTCACAGGTAATAGCAACACCCCTACTGGCTGCCTCCCCTTGTGCAGAAGACATCAGTTTTCTGGCTACCCACTACCTGGATATGCTCTCCACGGGACAGGAGGGCCTTAGAAGGCAGTAGAGAGAAACATCTCACCACTCCCTGGAAAGGCACAGGGTGGCGCACACTGTGCCCAGCACCAGCAGTAGGATGTGAGACCTGGAGCTTTGCAGCTAAGAGCTAATAGTTATTTAAAACGACATGAAGAATACTGAATTGCACACTGGGCTCAAGATGGAGAAGTGAAAGACTGAAAGGTAAAGCAGTGCCCCTGCCCTTCTCAGGGCATCCCCACCGAGCCACCCTTCAGGCAAGGAGCTGGCCCAGCACTTCAAGGGCTAAGCCCTTCCTGAAGAGTCACTGCATTTGCCGCTTTTAAATAATACATCTCCCTTCTGCTTGGCTGCAGAGCCCAGAAACAACCCCAAAGCTCCAAGAGGGCAGCTCTGCCCTTGAGCACCCACGTGCCCTTCTCCCTGACACCCTCCTGCTTATTCCGTCGCAATCCTGACTGCCCAGTCCATCAGTCATGTACACTCTGAAACAGTGGGTGAGAAAATACACAAACCATGGACACCACTGGGGAGTCAGAACTCCTACCCCTGCCTCACAGTAACCAGGGGCCTCTAGGCAAAGTGGGAAGCCTGGACTTCGTCTCCAGCTGCCAGCGATGAGGTGAAGCACGCCCTATCCCTGCCAGAGCAGGGTCACAGAAAGATTTAACCACTTACACAGAAGATTTAAGTAAGACCTAGAGTCGCCTAACAACATGTTCTATTGAGAAAGTCACTCATGATACCAAGAACCAGGAAGATCTAAAACCAAATTTTAAACAGTTATAGAAATACCACGATGAAAGATGTTGGAATAATGTGGCAAATAATTAAAAACGGTCACGATAAAAAGGCTTCAACAAGCAATTACAAACACATGTGAAATAAATGAAAAAATAGAAAGCCTAAGACAAGAAAAGGAAGACAAAAAAAAGAAACCAAATAGAAAGTTTAGAACTGAAAAATACAATAACCAAAATAAAAAGCTCAGTGAATGGACACAGCAGTAGAATGGAGGAAAAAGGGCAAAGAATCAGTGACATAGAAGATAGAAGTTATCCAATGTGAATAACACAGAAGAAATACATGCCCCCAAGGCAGGGCACGGTGGCTCACAGCTGTAATCCCAGCACTTTCGGAGGCCGAGGCAGGCGGATCACAAGGTCAGGAGTTTGAGACCAGCCTGGCCAACATGGTGAAACCTCATCTCTATTAAAAATACAAAACTGAGCTGGGCATGGTGGCGGGCACCTATAATCCCAGCTACTCGAGAGGCTGAGACAGAAGAATCATTCGAACTAGGGAGGCGGCGGTTGCAGTGAGCCGAGAACGTCCATTGCACTCCAGCCTGGGAAACAGGGAGAGACTCCGAAGATGGGAAGGGACGGGAAGGGATGGGAAGGGACAGGAAGGGATGGGACGGGACGGGACTGGATGGGACGGGATGGGAAGGGAAGAGAGAAAGAAATGTCCCAGCAAAAAAAAAAAAAAAAAAAAAAAAAACCAGTCTTGGGGACCTATGGGACTATAACAACTCCAGTCACTGAACTCACGAAGGGACAGGAGAAAGAAGGTGGGGTTGAAACTGTACTCTACGAAGTGATGGCTTAAAAGTTCCCAAATTTGGCAAGAGACATAAATCTACAGATCTTAGGTAAGCAAACCCTAAACAGGATGAACCCAAAGAAATCCAAACTAAGACATACAATAATCAAACTCCAAAAAACAAAAGACAAAACATTTCAAAAGCCACTAAACAAAAACTGCCTTAACTATCGTGCATTAACAAGTCAAATGACAGCGAATTTCTCATCAGAAACCATGGAGCCCAGCTGAAAGTACAAAATATTTTTTAAACAATGAAAAGAACCATTAACCCAGAATTCTTATATCCAGCAAAAATGTCCTTCAGGAATGAAAAGGAAAGCAAAACATTCTCAGAGGAAGTGAAACAGAATTTGTCACCAGAAGACCCACACCAAAAGAAAGGCTAATGGAAGTTCTCTAAGCAGAATGGCAACCATCAAAGAAAACCCTGGAACTTCTGGAAGGAGGAGATGACAAGCACACCAACGCATAAATACAATAGACTTTTCCCTCACCTCTTGACTTTGCTAAATTACGTCTGAAGGTTCAACCAAAAATTATAACATTGTCATATGTGGTTATCAATGTAAGTAAATGAAATATTTAAGGCAAGTATGTTATGAACAGGAGAACATAAAGGAACGTCAAGGGAGGTAGTTTCTATATCCCTGAAGCTGGTAAATGACAACACCAGGTACAATCTGATAAGTGTTCATATATACACAGGTTGAGTGTCCCTTATAAAATGCTCAGGAGCACAAGTGTTCCAAATTTCAGATTTGTATCAGATTTAGGAATATCTGCATATAAATAATGAGATATTTTGGGGATAGGACCCAAGTCTAAATACATTCATTTATGTTTTATATATAACTTATACACAGAGCCTGAAGGTAATTTTATACAGCATGCTTAATAATTTTGTGCATGAAACAAAGTTCGTGCTAAGTACTTATGAATGGAATTTTCAATTTGGGGGCATCATGCTGGAGTGCCAAAAAGTTTCAAATTTTGGGGCATTTCAGATTTTGGATTTTGGGTTTAGAGATGCTCAATCTGTATGTAACATATTACCTAGAAAAGCCACTAAAGAAGCTATACAAAAAGATACACTCTAAAACACTACAGATAAAATAGAATGCTAAAAATGGTCAAGTAAACCACAGAGAGCCAGGAAGAACCAAACCGAAAAAATGAAAAACAGAAGAAATAGAAAATACAAAACAAAATGGCAGTGTTAAGCCTCAGTTTACTAATAATGACATTAAATTAAATGTAAACAGTCTAAATGCATCAATTAAAAGACACCAGGAGAGCAGACTAGAGAACATGATCCAACTATATGTTGTCCATAAGAAAGTGACTTCAAACAGGCAAACTGAAAATAGAAGTATAGAAAAAAAAAAAGATCATGCAAACATTACTGAAAGGACAGCAGAAGTTGGCTACATTTATATCAAATAAAGTAAACTTCAGAGCAAAGATAATTACCAGGAAGGCCGGGCACAGTGGCTCACGCCTGTAATCCTAGCACTTTGGGAGGCCAAGGTGGGTGGATCTCAGGAGTCTGAGACCAGCCTGGCCAACATGGCAAAACCCCATCTCTACTAAAAATACAAAAAGTAGCTAGGTGTGATGGCAGATGCCTATAATCCCAGCTACTCAGGAGGCTGAGGCAGGAGAATCACTTGAACCCGGTGGGGTTGGAGGTTGCAGTGAGCTGAGATCGTGCCACTTCACTCCTGCCTGGGCAAAAGGAGCGAAACTCCGTCTCGGAAAAAAAAAAAAAAAAAAAAAAAAAAAAAAAGATAATTACCAGGAACAGATGGCAACATTACAAAATGAGAACTTGGTCAATCCACCATTAAGACGCAGCAATTCAAAACGTGCATATACCAAACAAACAAAGAAACAATGAATAGAACTGAAAGGAGAAAAAGACATTTATACTTTTATAGTTGGAGACCTCAAAGTCTCTCTCTACAGCTGATAAAATTAGAAGACAGAAAAGCTGCCAAGATATAGAATTCAACATCACCATCAATCAACTGGATCCAATCAAAATTTACAGAACACTCCAGCCAATAACAGCAGAATACATAATCTGTTCAAGCATCCACAAAACAAATACTAAGTTAGAACATATTCTGAGGCATAAAACAAACCTAACAAATTTTTTGAAATTAAAATCACACAGCATATGTTCCCTCAAACAATGGAAACAAATTAGAAGTCAACAAGAGAACAATTACAGGAAAATTGCCTAACTCTCAGAAACTAAACAATAAACTTCTAAATAATCCATGGATCAAAGAGGAAGTCTCAAGGGAAATTTTAAAATATATTCTGAACTGAGAGAAAATGCAAGTACAATACATCAAAATGCATGGGAAAGAGCTACAGTGGGTGATGAGAAATTTACAGCACTAAATAAATGATATATTAGAAACTTGGAAACAAATCAATAATATAAGTGCCCGCCTCGACAACCTAAAAGAAAAAAAAAATAGCAAAATCAACCCAAAAGTAAGCAGAAAAGAAGAAATAATTAAGGAAAGAGTAGAAACAAAGTGAAAACAGAAAACCAATAAACAGTAAAGCAAAAAGCTGGTTCTTTGATAAGATCAATAAAACTGACAAACCTCTCTAAGCATGACTGACAAAAAAAAAAAAAAAAGACATAAATTACCAACATTAGTGATGAAACGGACTCTAAAGATACCAAAAAAGATAATTAGGAATTACTAGGAACAACTCTACACATGTAACTTTGACAACTTGGGCAAAATGGACTTATTCCTCAAATAATACAAATTACCACAACTCACCAAATATAAAATAGATCATTTGAATAGCCCTACCACTATCAAGAAAACTGAATTCATAATTCAAAGAATCCGAAAAAAAAGAAATTACCAGACCCAAATGAACTCACTGGATAATTCCATCAAACATTAAAAAAGAATTAACACGGACTCAAAACAATCTCTTCTGGAAACTAGAAGAGGAAAAACTTCCCAATTCATTTTAAGAAGCTACTATTAAGAAGCTAATATTAGAAGCTAATATTAAGAAGCTAATATTAGAAGCTAATAGAAGCTAATATTAAGAAGCTAATATTAGAAGCTAATATTAACATTTTAAGAAGCTAATATTAGGTACTGTACCTAAAGACAGTACAAAGTACAGAACAATATATATACAGAGACACAAAAATATACAGCGAATTATTAGCAAGTAGAATTAAACAATATATAAAAAGAATTCCACATCATTGCCAAGTAGTTTCATTCCAGGAATGTAAAGTGGGTTCAACAGTCAAAAATCAATGTAACCCACCCTATTAATAGGCTAAAGAACAAAAATCACATAATTACATATCAATTGATTTAGAAAAAGCAAATGACAAAATTCAATACTCATGAATGATAAAAATTCTCAGAAAATAGCAACAAACGGGAACTTCATCATCTTGATAAACAGCATTTACAACACCTTAAGCTAAAACCTATGCCAAAAACAATGTCAGAAAGGGTCCTCCCAGACCTATTTACACGGCAGAGAGAATCATTAAGAATGATTTAGATAGTTACTAAGAGTTTACTCCCCTAAAAGATTACAACACCCAATGGCCAGCAAGCCCTTTTCATTAGACAAAAAGAAAAGCTGTGATCTGTCAACACTCTCAGAAGGTTCACTGTGAAATGTGCACTTCTGAACTCCTGCTGAGGGCCTACACGCTGCAATGTTGAGAAGCAAGTGTCCAGAGGTCTCCTTGGAAACATTGCAAAAAAAATGTGAGGGACTGATGGATGAATAGAGGGACAAAAAAGTGGAGAGAGCGGTGATAAAGCACGTGGGATAATGCCAGCGGCACAGTCTCAGGTGGTGAATATGTGGGTGCGCGCTGTAAAATTCTTTCAACTTTTCTGTATAATTTTTTTCATAATAAAACGTTGGAAAAAAATAAACCTGTGAAAAAGGAAGCTTTAGTCAAACATATCTAAGCAAAAGAAAAAACAAATTCTAAATTCCTATGGCTCAAATTAATGTGTTTTTCTTTTTAGGCTGAGATGGAAGAGCAAAAAAACAGAAAAAGAAATGAAAGGAATAGGAGCTATTCTAACAGCTACAAATTCCACCTGCAGTTTGATTAAAGATGGAGTGGCTCAAGAATATGCTTTGAATCCAAGCCCCTTCAAGGCTGCCAGGTAGAGAGTCGGTTCTGCGAAAGCTCTGTACCTGTGAGCAAGCAGAGCTTCCAAGTAAACCCTCTTCATTAAAGCCACCCTGAGTCAATAAGCTGGGCTTTAATCTGAGCAAGAAAGGTGTATTTCGGGTCTAGTTACCCACCCATAACTGTAGGTACTTTGATACCTAGGTGAGGGGAAACAAGGAGAAAGGCAAAACAACAGATTTTTAAAATCACAACAAATCTTTATCAAACATTTGTGCCAGGCACTGACTTAGGAGCTTCAAATGCATTACTTCATGTCAGTTGCACAGCAACTCTCTAAGTACTTTCACTTATTTTATATATAATTTTAATTATTTACATTATATTATACTTATTCCTCTTTTTTTTTTTTTTTTTTTGTTTTGAGATGGAGTCTCACCCTGTCACCCAGGCTAGAGTGGTGGTGCAATCTTGGCTTACTGCAAGCTCCGCCTCCTGGGTTCACGCCATTCTCCTGCCTGAGCTTCCCGAGTAGCTGGGACTACAGGTGCCCACCACCACGCCCAGCTAATTTTTTTGTATCTTTAGTAGAGACGCTGTTTCACCGTGTTAGCCAGCATGGTCTCGATCTCCTGACATCATGATCCACCCACCTCAGCCTCCCAAAGTGCTGGGATTAGGCGTGAGCCACTGCTCCCAGCCACTTATTCCTACTTTATACATGAGAGGCCCAAGGTGAGACAAAGTGATTTGTGTAGAGTCAGAGATAAAGCCAAAATTGATACCCAGACAGACTGAAAAACTTCTCTGTCAGAAGATCTAGAAACGGTAAAGGGAGATCTTCAAACTGAAGGAAAACGATAACACAAGGCAGCTGGGACAGAAACAAAACCTTAAGGGCCCATAATGGTAAAATGTAAGTTAACATAAAAAACTTTTTTCTGGCCAGCCATGGTGGCTCTTTGGGAGGCCGAGGTGGGTGGATCACCTGAGGTCAGGAGTTCGAAACCAGCCTGACCAACATGACGAAACCATGTCTCTACTCAAAAATACAAAATTAGCCAGGTGTGGTGGCGTATGCCTGTAATCCCAGCTACTCCGGAGGCTGAGCCAGAATCGTTTGAACCCAGGAGGCAGAGGCTGCAGTGAGCCAAGATCATGCCATTGCACTCCATCCTGGCAGCCTGGGCAACAAGACCAAAACTCCGACTCAAAAAAAAAAAAAAAAAGAGGCCAGGTGTGGTGGCTCACACCTATAATCCTATAATCCCAGCACTTAAGGGTGGCTGAGGCACGTGGATCACCTAAGGTCAGGAGTTCAAGGCGAGCCTGGCAAACACAGTGAAACCCTGTCTCTACTAAAAATACAAAAACATTAGCCAGGCACGGTGGTGCCTGCCTGTAATCCCAGCTACTAGGGAGGCTGAGGCAGGAGACTCGCTTGAACCCACGTGGGGGAGGTTGCAGTGAGCTGAGATTGTGCCATTACACTCCAGTCTGGGCAACAACAGCAAAACTCCATCTCAAAAAAAAAAAAAAAAGACTTTTTTTTCTCTTTTCAAATTTGAGGGGAAAAAATGTAATTGCCTATTTAAAGCAAAAACAAAAACATCATATTGTGGGGTTTATACCATGTTTCACTTGGACATGACACAGCAACACTGCCAACCAAGAACATGTCAGAAGCAGGAAGCTACAGTCAGAGCACTGCCCCGCAGCTCAGGCAGTGTAATACCATTTGAGAGTGGGCAGTGACAAGTGAAAGATGTAACTGAAAACGCCAGAGATGATAGATTTAAACCCAAGTAGTCTAAAGATTCCAAATAAAAAACAGAGGTTGCCAGGGTGAATAAAGAAGCAAGACCTAATTATATGATACCTGAAAGAAATGCACTTTACACATACACAAAGTTTGAAAGTGAAAAAAGCTAAACCTGGCAAACACACCACGCAAACACCAAATCAGAAGAAAGGAGAGTAGTCAGACCAAGGTGACTTCACAACAAAGAATGTCACCGGAGATTAAGGGGGTCAAATTTATGAATATGGCGTAAAAATCCTAAAAGTGCATGCACCCTATAACATTCTCAAATACATGAAGCAAAACCTGCAGAGCTGAGAGAAAATAATCCATAATTAGCATGAGAGATTTCAATCCTCCTCAGAAGAAAGAGGAACTAAGCAGTGAAACTGCTCTTCATGCCTCCCCAGCACGATGGAGATACTCCTGGGAAATAAAGCCAGTCGCTGGAGCTGATCTCCCCAGAACGCTGAGACTGGCTTCTCTATAAATAAATGACTGGTATTCGCTAAGAGAAGTGTCCTTATCTATGAAATGTTTTTAGCAAGATGTGGTTAGTTTAGGATTGTGTTTGGTAAACATACCTAAAATCCATGGACTTACGGGACATGGCTCCCTGGAAAACGTTCCCTAAGGTGTATAAACTATCTGACTACAAAAGGGAAACACTGCACATCCTTAATGCTCCTTGTGCAGTGAGAGGACGACACACCTCAGTGAGAGGATGACACGCCGCAGTGAAAGGACGACACATCTGAGAGGAAGACACACCTCAGTGAGAGGACTACACACCTCAGTGAGAGGATTACACACCTAAGTGAGAGGACCACACACCTCAGTGAGAGGACAACACACCTCAGTGAGAGGTCTCATCTCTCAGGCGGGGTTCAAAGAGGACGGACCTGCAGGAGTTGCACAGACTCTCCCACATCTCTCCCCACTTTGCCTGAGCACACAAGTGAGGATATAACTTGTATCTTTAAAGTTACTAAATACTCAGGTACGGGTAAGATCTCTGAGATTCATGTCAAACTAATGCAGTAAGCCAACCTTGTGTGTTAGTTCAACTCCTCTCCTAACAGTGAATAGAACAAGTAGGCAGAAAATTATTTCAAGTCAAGGATACCTGAACACTATCAACTTGATCTCATTAAGCTTTACAGAGCAGCAAAACACACTTTTTTTTTTTGAGATGTAGTCTCGCTTTGTCACCCAGACTAAAGTGCAGGGGTGCAATCAAGATTACAGGCACCCACCACCACACCCAGCTAATTTTTGTATGTTTCATAGAGACAGGGTTTCACCATGTTGGCCAGGCTGGTCTCAAACTCCTGACCTCAAGTAATCCACCCACCTCAGCCTCCCAAAGTGTTGGGATTACAGGCATGAGCCACCACACACAGCCACATTCTTATTATGTGTGCATGAAACATTCCACAGAATACACCATATTCTGGGGCTTCAGACAAGCCTCAACATTGAAATCACAGAATATGTTCTCTGACTACAACTAATTTAGAAATTAACAGGAGATATTTGAAAATCCCCAAATACTTGGAAATGAAATAACAATTTCCAAATAATAAGCGGGTAAAAGAAGAAATTAAAAGGGAAATTAGAAAATATTTTCAACTGAATGAAGATGAAAATGAATAAACATTTCCAAATTTGTGAAATGTGGCTAAACAATGCTTAGAGGGAAATTTATATTATAGTTTTGAACACTTGTTAGAAAAGACAAAAAATCTAAAGTCAATGATCTAAGCCTTTGCCTTAAGAAACTAGGAAAGACAGAAGAGCAAATGGAACCCAAAGCCAGCAGAAAAAAGGAAATAATAAAGAGTAAAGCAGAAATCAATGAAAAAGAAAACAAAATCAATAAAACCAACAACTGGTTCTTTGAAAAAACTCAAATTGATAACTTCTGGGAAGACTGATCCAAACGGAAAGAGAGAAAATACAAGGCACATTTCAGCACATTTCTGGATAACAGGTAGTACATGCTGGTACTTACTACATGCAAGATAATAGCATACGCACTTTGTCTGGCCTACTGTGCTGATCCTATAATAACCTACGAGGTAGGTACTACTATTAACCCCAAATACGAATTTTTTTTTAAGAAACAGAGACCCTGTCACCCAGGCTGGAGTGTAGAGGCACAATCATAGATCACTGCAGCCGCAAACTGCTGGCCTCAAGCAATTCTCTCACCTCAGCATCCCAAAGTGCTGGGATTACAGGCGTGAGATACCATGGCAGGCGTCACAAATTATTTTTATATATGTACATTTACATATGTATGTCCATGCAAGGAAAAAAAACCCTGAATATCCACACCGAAGGGATAATAGTGGCTAACTCTTAGAGGAAAGCTGAAACTGGGGTGGGCAGTCAGGTGAAATTTCTGCTTTTATAATCTATACATTTTTATAAGAAATATTCTATGTATATTTTTAATTGGAATGAAAATGCATTAGACATTTAAAAAATTGAATTACACAAAAAAAAGTAAGCAAAGAATAAATGTATGGGTTTTACTGGGCTGGATAAAGGGAAGAGATTATGAAAGTCCATCCATGATAAAGAACTCCTATAACCCAAAACAAAAACCTCAATTAAAAAATGGAATTAGCCGGGTGTGGTGGTGCACGCCTGTAGTCCCAGCTACTCGGAAGGCTGAGGCAGGAGAATGGCATGAACCCGGGAAGCGGAGGTTGCAGTGAGCCAAGATCACGCCACTGTACTCCAGCCTGGGCGACAGAACAAGACTCCGTCTCAAAGGAAAAAAAAAAAAAAAAAAAAAAAAAGAGGCAAAAGGGCCAGGTGCAGTGGCTCATGCCTGTAATACTAGCACTTTAGGAGGCCAAGGTGGGTGGATCACCTGAGGTCAGGAGTTCAAGACCAGCCTGGCTAACATAGTGAAACTTCGTCTCTACTAAAAATACAAAAAATTAGCCAGGCATGGTGGCGGACACCTGTAATCCCAGCTACTCGGGAGGATGAGGCAGGAGAATCACTTGAACCTGGGAGGTGGAGATTGCAATGAGCCAAGATTGCACCACTGCACTCCAGCCTGGGCAACAAGAGCCAAACTCCATCTCCAAAAAAAAAAAAAAAAAAAAAACCAGGCAAAGTATTTGAATAGACATTTCTCCAGTGAATGTATACAAATGGTCAATAAGCATGTAAAAAGATGCTCAGCATGACTACTCAACAGGGAAATGCAAATCAAAACAATGAGATGCTGTACCTACTCACACAAATTAGGATGGCTATCATCAGAAAACAAAAAGTGTTGGTGAGGGTGTGGAGAAATGGGAACCTTAGTATACCGCTGCAAGAATATAAAACAATGTAGCCACTGTGGAAAACAGTTTACTGCTTCCTCAAACAGTTACACGTAGTGCCAGGTGCGATGGCTCACATCTGAAATCTCAGCAACTCAGGAGTGTGAGGCAGGGAGATCCCTTGAAGCCAGGAGTATAAGACCAGCCTGGGCAACACAGTGAGATTCTGTCTCTAATTAGTCAAGCGTGATGGCTGGGCAACAATGTGAATATACTTCATGCCAATGAACTCTACACATAAAAATGGTTAAAACGGTAAGTTTTATGGTATGTATATTTTACCACAATATTTAAATTTTTTATTTACTTTTTTTAAAATTGTTACCAAAAAAATACTAAGAATCCATCCAAGTTATTTAGAAAGGGAGCGTCAGATCAACCTTTCCAAAGTGCCAAAATTCACAAGATTACCTGGTTGCTTGCCCCATACCCAGCTGTCCAGAATTGACTTGGCCCTATATATAGGTGCAGGAGTTTCTTCTTCATCTTTTTTCTCTTTGTCATTCAGATCTTCTTTCTTTGTTCCACTTGGTTCGACACTATCATCTGCAGAATTAAAAATTTTTTAATCTGTCACCGCTTTTCAGAATGCCATACCATTAGTCTCTGCAAATGTCCCTCCCCGAAAAGTTACAACACACATCATTAACTGAATGTTGGACAACGTAAAAATAAAATACATCAATCATACCTGTAACAGACCCAGTATAATTTTCATAAAGAAACCAATATATCGGCCAGGCGTGGTGGCTCACGCCTGTAATCCCAGCACTTTGGGAAGCCATGGCGGGTGGATCACAAGGTCAGGAGATCGAGACCATCCTGGCTAACACGGTGAAACCCCATCTCTACTAAAAATACAAAAAATTAGCCAGCCGTGGTGGCGGGCGCCTGTAGTCCCAGCTACTCAGGAGGCTGAGGCAGGAGAATGGCGTGAACCCGGGAGGCAGAGCTTGCAGTGAGCTGAGATCACACCACTGCACTCCAGCCTGGGTGACAGAGCGAGACTCTGTCTCAAAAAAAAAAAAAAAAAAGAAACCAATATAACAAATTATTTAAAGCATGTCTTCCAAAGTGATATTCCATCTACTTCCTAGTACATTTCTCAACTGAGAAACTTAAGTCTTTGATATTTACCTACTTCAATTTCACACCAATTGCTTTTATCCAGTGAGTCCCAATGCTTGTGTATCCATGGGAAAAGGGAGGGTGTAGAACAGGAGTATGATTCAAAAATCTTTTAACTCTTTACAAGGCCCTACTCCACTGCCAACTGGGAAGCACTGCTATGCAGAGGCACTGTGACTGATAGCATAATTCAAGAGCACTGGGAAACAAAGGAAAAGCTGAGAAAAATCACTTTAGGCCACTGACAATGTCAAGTTTCAGTCAAAAACAACTGTCATAAAACTCCTTACACAGTAAGCGAAGAGAAGAGAGAACTAACCTTAACCTTGAAGTGTAAACACGTTCCATCACAGAAGGCTGTGACTAAATGTCTAACAACATAATTAGAAAAATGTATCTCAATCGGTGAAAGACACGATATCCCATCCAGATTACAAATAATGACTATCTAAAAATCTCGAAGGAAACAGTTCCTCTGTTTACAACATTTCTGACACCAAATGCATGGACTTTTGCACCAAGTAATTCTCCAGTTCTCTGCGACATCCAGCTGTGTGTCCCACAGTGCAATTCAATTCTGAAACTAACTACCTAGAATTAGCACAGACCCCACAGGTTAATAACAGGAGAGAAAAGGTGAATGCTGAAAAAAATATCCAAAGAACTAATGGCTGAAAACTTCCTAGGTTCAGCAAATGACATAAACCCAGGCAGACTGAAGAATCTGCACAAAGCCCACACAAGATAAATCCAAAGGAAGCCATGACGAGGCACATCATAATCAACTGCTAAACACTAAGGACAAAACCTTTTGAAAAGTGCCACGGAAAGTAGATACAGAAGAATTTCTCGTGTGGCCTGAAATTAAGACTAAATATTACGTGCTGCCTTGACATTGGTAAAATCAAGAAGGCCTCAAATAGCCTAACCACAAGGTCTCCCCTGAGCTCTGCTCTCACGGATAAGATCCCAAAGCCAAACAACCTCCTTATCGCGGAAACCCGACCCCAGCCTGCTCATCCCTGCCGGCCCAGAGTTATTCAAACAAGCCAGTCACATCTTCCCATGGGAAGCAAGGTCACTTCACCCTGTTCTTACTACAAAATGTGCCTCCCACAGCCCCTCGTGGTTCACTCTGTTCCCAAGTGCAGCCCCCGTGTGGCATGCGGTGTCCCCCACCCCCAGGGCTGTGAGCATGCGTGACTAATAAACTGCTATTTCATCTGTCCAGTGTCAGTGTCCTACGTTCAGCCATCCCATATCCCTAGGGCAGGAATCTTCTAGGGTTATAAACAGAACTTTAATCAACCTCTCCTTGGTTATTTTACTGGTTCCATGATACAGCTTTTTCTGTGCAAAAGATCTGAACAGAAACTCACAGAGGATACAAGAGTGGCAAAAAAGAACATGATATTCAGCATTGTTAGCCATTACAGAATTGCAAATTAAAACCACAATGAGATCCCACTAGACTTGTTAGAATGGCTCAACTAAAAAACACTGATAACACCAAGTGCTAACAAAGACACAGACCAAGAGAAATGTTACAGATTGCCAGTGGGAATGCAAACTAAAACAGCCTCCAGTTTACCAAGGTAGACACCTTGGGTCACAGAATACAGAATAGAACCCAGCCAGGAACACAGCTCAGGTGAGAACACAGGTGCTGCTTCTAAAGGCCAGACTCTGTCCTACATGTGTGTGGGGGGGGGGAGTGGGGGGGAGGCGGTGGGGGGGTCACTAACCACAGCCCACAGGACAAACCCAGCCCACAGCCTCTTTGTGTATGGTCTGAAAACAGGGAAAGTATTTTACTTTTGTTGTTCTTTTGAGACAGAGTCTTGACTCACCACAACCTCTGCCTCCCAGGTTCAAGTGATTCTCCCAAGTTCAAGTGATTCTCGTGCCTCAGCCCCCAAGGAGCTGGGATTACAGGCGTGCATCACCATGCCCAGCTAATTTTTTGTTTTTAGTAGAGATGGGGTTTCACCATGTTGGCCAGGCTGGTCTCGAACTCCTGACCTCAGGTGATCCGCCTGCCTCGGCCTCCAAAAGTGCTGGGATTACAGGTGTGAGCCACCACGCCCGGCCACCGTATTTTATAGTTTTTAATAATTGAAAAATAATCAAAAGAAAAACAGTATTTTGTGACTTGCAAACATTCTGTGGACTTCATCTTTTCGTGTCCATAAATAAAGTTTACAGAATGAACGTCCCCTGCCCGCTGACATAGTACTGTCTGTGGCTACTCTGGCACTACAGCTGCAAGGTCCCATGGCTATGACAGAGACCATAGGGTCCACTGAGACCTTAAAATATTTACTATCTGGCCCTTTACAGAAAGTAGGCCACCCCCACCCTACATCTGGCTATAAATTTTACATATTTGACAAATTCTGAGACCCTGTCTCAGAAAATAAAATAAAATATTCATAGTCTTAATAATGGAAAACAAAAACATTTATTGAATGTCAAAATTATCTCCCTAACACCCCGAATCAGTTGGGATCTACATAAAAAACAATTATGCTCTGCTTTCCAATCATGATTTTTAAAAGAACAAAGGACAAAAAAATTCATCAAATGTGGGCCGGGCATGGTGGCTCACACCTGTAAACCCCACACTTTGGGAGGCCGAGGTGGGCAGATCATGAGGTCAGGAGTTCAAGACCAGCCTGACCAAGATGGTGAAACTCCATCTTTATTAAAAATACAACAATTAGCTGGGCATGGTGGAGGGTGCCTGTAATCCTAGCTACTCAGGAGGCTGAGGCAGAGAACTGCTTGAACCGGGGAGGCAGTGGTTGCAGTGAGCCAAAATCATGCCGCTACACTCCAGCCTGAGCGACAGAACAAGACTCCCTCTCGAGAGGAAAAAACACACAAAAAATATTCATCAAATGTAATGAATAAAACATATACTTTGGATTTTGCCATGTACTTAGCTTTTCTTAGAGCACCTTTTAGAACTATTGTTTCACAGAAAACACTTTGGGAAAAATTTTAATTTATAAACAAATACTGGAGGGCTAGGAAGAAGAGGTTAAAACTTTTTAAAATATACAGAATGAATTACTGATACATAAAAAAAAAAAAAAAAAAAGGTTGCTGATTCCTGTCTTGGAAGACACTGTCATATGGACACTCTTAGCCTCAGCATCCAGAGGTCCAGAAAGGGAAAATTTCAAGTCAGAGAGAATTCTATATATACCACTTACTTGGAACATTCAGCCCTCAAAATCCCAACATCATGACCTCAGTTTCAACACAATTGTCCTTAGTCCTTATGTCACTGCTTTTGGTGCTGCCTGCTGTCAAGGCAGTGGAAGCCAGTGATGCAACTGCTCTCTCGTTAAAAGGTGTGGTTCTCAGTATTACAGGTGTTTGTACTTGCTTGCGGGCATACGCACGAAAGATAAAAATGAACAGATGTGACTTTGAAGGGCCTAATGAATGAAACCTCACCCTGAAAACCTTTGTGCTACTGAAACTAAATGTAAGCTTTGGTGTCTGAAAGTTTCCAAGAATTACTAAGTAGGAGAGTTTTACTTTCTGAGTTGATTCCATGAAATGGGAACAAATTGGTACATAAATGGATTTTGCCCAGAATCCTAGGAAATCGCCACTGTTCAGTCGTAATCACTGCCTCCTAAATCACTGAGTCTGTTCTCTGTATTTTTATTAGACTTTTGTCATCTCCCAAATTCAGATATCCAATAGTCAGCCAAAAAGGGAAACTTTTATCTCTGGAAAGAAAAAAAATCACTTAGAAAAATGTATTCAGTGTATCTAATACTGAAATGGAGAAAAGACTTAATGTTAAAGAAAAAAAAAACACTATAGACATTGACATGGAAAAGAGATTTAATGTTAAAAAAACTTTATATTAACTGAGTAACACCTCCTGATGAGAAGTGCTATATTAAATATAAACCCATTATGTTGTTTAAAAAAAAAAACATGAAAATCAAAAGCACTAAACAGAGTGAAAGAAGCCAGACACAGAAGAACCCGACTACGTGATTCCATGTATGGAGTTCTAGAACAGGCGCAATTTGTCAAATGCTGGAGAAACATCAGGCCAACTATTGCCTCTGGGAAGAAGGGGCAGGACACCAGAGAACTTTCTGAGCAAGAGTCATGATAAAGATGTGGGTTACATGGGTTACATTTGTCAAAACTTGTGAAATGGTAAACTCAAAATAGATACATTTCATTATATATAAATTTTACCTGAAAGTCAAAAACAAAGTTGAACTAGAATCAATTACATACATGAGTGTCTAAGGAGCTAGGTGAGACAAACGGTGGATGGACAGACAGCAGGATGTGGAGCCAAATACGGTGGCAGAACATGGAGGTGGGTCTGCAGCCACTCACTGTACACGTCTGTCAGTTATTGTGTGTGTGTGTGTGTGTGTGTGTGTGTGAGTGAATATTTTCAAACAAATATAAAAAATAAATTAAAATAAAAACACAGGTAACTCTGCTTGACACTGAAACTGAAAAGGGAGACTAATACTTTTTCCCATGGTTTGTTTTGTGTTTTTTGTTTTTTTTTTTTTTGAGATGGAGTCTCACTCTGTCACCCAGGCTGGAGTGCAGTAGCACAATATCTGCTCACTGCAACCTCCACCTCCCGGCTCCAAGCAATTCTCCTGCCGTGCCCTCCCAAGTAGCTGGGATTACAGGCGCCCGCCACTATGCCTGGCTAATTTTTGTATTTTTTAGTAGAGACGGGGTTTCACCATGTTGGCCAGGCTGGTCTCAAACTCCCAACCTCAAATGATCTGCCCGCCTCAGCCTCCCAAAGTGCTGGAATTACAGGCATGATCCACCACGCCCGATCCCCATGTACTTTCAAGTGGACACCATCCCCATTCATTCCACAAAAGAAGAAGAAATACTTGCCAGGCACGGTGGCTCACGCCTATAATCCCAGCACTTTGGGAGGCTGAGGCGGGCGGATCACGAGGTCAGGAGCTCGAGACCATCCTGGCTAACACGGTGAAACCCTGTCTCTACTAAAAAATACAAAAAATTAGCCGGGCGTGGTGGCGGGCGCCTGTAGTCCCACCTACTTGGGAGGCTGAGGCAGGAGAATGGCATGAACCCGGGAGGTGGAGCGTGCAGTGAGCTGAGATCGCGCCACTGTACTCCAGCCTCAGCAACAGAGCAAGACTCCTTCCCCCCCAAAAAAAAGAAGAAGAAGAAATACTTTCTTCAGACTAATGCTCTCCCAACTGAGCTATTTCAACTTAGAATAAATACTTTCTAAAGTGGTAGCTTTATCCACGTTGATGACTCTCAAGCAGGGGGACCAACGAACTTCAACAATGGTTCTCAACCAAGGATCTTTTCAGATTCAACAAGTTTAGGGTGTATACAAGCAGCCATTTTTTTAAACCTCAATGGGGACTCTGAAACACAGCCACTGTTATGAACAACATAATGATAGTCTTACTGAGCATGCAAAACTACAAAGCTAAATAAGATTGTTCAATGGCATTTCCTTGCAGGCCAAAGGCTTCCAATAAGTGTTTAATACACCCCCAAAGAACACCACAAATGCAGCAAGATGGTTTTGCAATAAAAATGCCTTCAATTCACGTAAAACAATAAAATCCGAGCAGCTTGTATTAACTACCATTTTAGACAACAATCTCCAAAGTAAAAAGCAAAACTTCAAAGAGTTAAGCTCAAAGCTCCTGTTCCTATAGCACATTACAAAATTTCTATAAAATGCATTTTATAATGGTCTTTACCAAATAAAAAACACTAGTTAAAGGCCCTTACCTTTTCTAGGAGGGAGCTCTCCGTTCTGGGTTGATTCTGTTCCAGTGTATACAATTTCTCCATCTTTAACCATTTCATTCCACAGACCACAGAGCCCATCTCTTGTGAATGCAAGCTGGCAATGATAAACGAGATAAGCTTACAGAGTGCTCACACTCACATTGCAATTTTTAAAGAATGATATGGGAAAAAAATCTCAATCCCCCTTATGTATTCGATCATTTGGTAATAAAATCAATGATTTACTGAATTAGTGATTTAATCATTTTACATTTCAGGAAAGTCATCCAAGAAATATAAATGAAAAGGTGCATAATAGTATAAATACTATGCTACCTCTTATGTAACATACAAGAAAAATGACACGTGGTCGGGCGAGGTGGCTCATGCTTGTCATCCCAGCACTTTGGGAGGCCGAGCGGGGCACATCACGGGGGATCAGGAATTTGAGACCAGCCTGGCCAACACGGTGAAACCCCGTCCCAACTAAAAATACAAAAAATTAGCCAGGCGTGGTGGCGGGCGCCTGTAATCCCAGCTACTCACGAAGCTGAGGCAGGAGAATTGCTTGAACCCAGGAGGCAGAGGTTGCAGTGAGCCGAGATCGCACCACTGCACTCAGCCTGAGTGACAAGAGCGAGACTCGGTGTTAAAAAAAAAAAAAAAAAGAAAAGAAAAGAAAAAAAAGACACACACACAAACACACACACGTGCATGTGCTCTGAAAAGATAAACCAAAAGCAAGTACCAATGACTACCTACGGGGAAATGGGGAGGGGACATGGACAAAGGCAGCAGGACCAGAAAAAGCAACAACATTGTGAGTATACTTTAGATGTCTTTACTTCTGAAACATACATGACTTTCATCCTCAAAAATTAAAATTAAATCATAAAAAAGCGAAACCTACAACTGGCAACAAGCAAATTAACCCATGCATATACAAAGAAAAGTATGTCAAGGGACTTTTGAACTACATATCATTAATATAATATACTATAATGAAAAATAAAATATTTATCGGTATTGATAACACTCTCACAATTTTAGAACTACTTCATGTTGCACAATAAAGCAGTGTAAATACAATAAAACATGTTTATGATAAAGTATTAAATGTTCTTAGAAATTAAGGTTTTAGGCCGGCCACGGTGGCTCACACCCGTAATCCCAGCATTTGGCAGGCCAAGGCAGGTAAATCACTTGAGGTCAGGAGTTCATGACCAGCCTGGCCAACATGGTGAAACCCCATCTCTACTAAAAATATAAAAAATTAGCCGGGTGTGCTGGTGCATGCCTGTAATTCCAGTCACTCGGGAGGCTGAAGCAGAAGACTAGCATGAACCCAGGAGGCAGAGGTTTCAGTGAGCCGAGATTATGTCACTGCGCTCCAGCCTGGGTAAACAGAACGAGACTCCATCTCAAAAAAAAAAAAAAAAAAAAAAAAAAAAAATTAAGGTTTTCAGTGGAAAAGAGGAAAAAAAATCAAAGAAATTTTGAAAAACAACTTAAATTGGAAATCTATGAACTTTATTTTTGAATATATTTGCTTACTCTGTTTTTTAAAGGACTAGAATCAAAGGCAATCTGACAGCGGCACCCAGATTTTGGTCTCTCAGAACCATTTCCCAATAAAAGACGCTAGGGCTCTAGGGAAAATAAGTAGATTCAAGGGCCAGGGCAGACAAAGATGAGCCTGTTTCCTCAAAGAAAAAGCTGTTTCCTCAAACATGGCCAGGTGCGGTGGCTCACGCCTATAATCCTAGCATTTTGGGAGGCTGAGGCGGGCAGATCACTTGAGGTCAGGAGTTCGAGACCAGCCTAGCCAACATGCCGAAACCCCATCTCTTCTAAAAATACAAAAATTAGCTGGGCATGGTGGCAGGCGCCCATAATCCCAGCTACTTGGGAGGCTGAGGCAGGAGAATAGCCTGAACCCAGGAGGCCAAGGTTGCAGTGGGCCAAGACTATGCCACTGCACTCCAGCCTGGGTGACAGAGCAAGACTTTACCTCAAACAAAAAAAAAAAGCAGCTGTTCAAAGACTGATAGGGACTCCTGACCAAATTTATAATAATTATAATAACTGTGAGCATCAAAATCAAAAACGCCTTTGCTTGTCAACATTTGTGAGTCAGAAAAGGCTTCCCAGAACAGGAAAAGGGAGCATTTCAGACACTGGGGGAAGGCATCCATTCTGAAAACTGCGTATGCGACAGAAGCTCCCTTGTCTGGCAAAAAAAAAAAAGCCATTTTTAATTAAAAGAGACACAGATGTTTGCCCATCTTTTTTTTTTTTTAAACTTCTGTGGATACACACTAGTTGTATGTATGTGTGTATATATATATATATATATATATATATATATATATATATATATGGGTTATATATTCTATCTAACTTTTTTTTTTTTTTTTTGAGACGGATCTCGTTCTGGCACTAAGCTGGAGTGCAGTTGTGCGATCTCAGCTCACTGCAACCTTTGCCTTTTGGGTTCAAGGGTTTCTCCTGCCTCAGCCTCCAGAGTAGCTGGGACTACAGGCTCACACCACCACACCCAGCTAATTTTTGTATTTTTGGTAGAGATGGGGTTTCACCGTGTTGGCCAGGATGGTCTGGGTCTCTTGACCTCATGATCCACCTGCCTTGGCCTCCCAAAGAGCTGGGATTACAGGCGTAAGCCACTGTGCCCAGCCCTATCTAACTCCATTTTTATACCCATTAACCATCCGCACTTCACCCCCACTTTATCCTTCCCAGTCTCTGATAACCATCATTCTACTCTATCTCCATGAGTTCAATTACTTTCATTTGCTTAGCACCTACAAATAAGTGAGAACATGCAAAGTTCGATTTTCTGGGTCTGGCTCATGACATTCTGTTCCTGACTTAACGTAACGACCTCCAGTTCTATCCATGTTGTTGCAAACGGCAGTATCCCATTCTTTTTCATGGTTGAATAGTACTCCGTTGAGTATATATACCACATTTTCTTCATCCATTCATCTGCTGGGAACACTTAGGTTGCTTCCAAATCTTGGCTATTGAGAATAGTGCTGCAATAAACATGAGAGTGTACATATTTCTTCAACATACTGATATTCTTTCCTCTGGGTATATACCTACCAGTGGGATTGCTGAATCATATGATAGTCCTATTTTTAGTTTTTTGAGGAACCTCCAAGCTAATCTCCATAATGGCTGTGCTAATTTACATTCCCACCAACAGTGCACAAGGGTTCCCTTTTCTCTATATTCTTGCCAGCATTTGTTCTTGTCTTTTGGATATAAGCCATTTTAATTAGGGTGAGATAATATCTCATTATAGTTTTGATTTGCATGTCTCTGATGACCAACCATGTTGAGCACCTGTTCGTACTGCCTGTTTGTCATTTGTATATCTTCTTTTGAGAAATGTCTATTCAAATCTTTTGCCCATTCTTATTGGATTATTAGATTTTTTTCTTATAGAGGTGCTTAAGCTAATTATATATTCTGGTTATTAATCCTTTGTCAGATGGGTAGTTTGCAAATATTTTCTCCCATTCTGTGGGTTGTCTCTTCATTTTGTTGATTGTTTCCTTTGCTGTGCAGCTTTTTAACTCAATGTGATCCCACTTGTCCATTTTAGCTTTGGTTGCCTGTGTTTACGAAGTATTACTCAAGAAATCATTACCCAGTGCAATGTCCTGGAGAGTCTCCCCAATGTTTTCTTTTAGCACTTTCATAGTCTGAAGTCTTAGGTTTAAGTCTTTACTCCATTTTGATGTGATTTTCGTATATGGTGAGAGATAGCGGTCTAGTTTCATTTTTCTGCATATGGGTGTCCCATTTTCCCAGCACCATTTATCAATGAGGCTATCCTTTCCCTCACGTATCCTCCGGGCACCTCTGTCAAAGGTGAGTTCACTGTAGATGTATAGATCTGTTTCTGGGTTCTCTATTCTGTTCCATTGGTCTAGGTGTCTGTTTTTATACCAGTACCATGCTGTTTTGGTATACCTTTCTAGTAAACTTTGCACTTGATCTAAGCCAAAAAAGACCAGGAAGTGACTGTAGTATAATTTTAAGTCAGGTAATGCAATTTCTCCAGTTTTGTTTTTTGCTCAGGATGGCTTTGGCTATTCTGTCTCTTTTGTGATTCCATACAAATTTCAGGATTTTTTTTTTCTATTTCTGTGAAGAATGTCATTGGTATTTTGATAGGGATTACATTGAACCTGTAGATTGCTTTGGGTAGTACAGACATTTTAACAATATTGATTCTTCCAATCCATGAACACGGAGTATCTTTTCCTTTTTTGTGTGTCTTCTTCAATTTTCTGCATCACTGTTTTACAGTTTTCGTGGTAGAGATCTTTTCACTTCTTGGGTTAGTTTTATTCCTACGTATTTTACTTTATTTGTAGCTATTATAAATGGAATTATTTTTCTTGATTTTTCATATTGTTCACTGTTGACATACAGAAATGCTACTGATTTGGCCGGGCACAGTGGCTCATACCTGTAATCCCAGCACTTTGGGAGGCCAAGGCAGGCGGATCACCTGAGGTCAGGAGTTCAAGACCAGCCTGGCCCATGTGGTGAAACCCTGTCTCTACTAAAAATACAAAAATTAGCCAGGCCTGGTGGCAGGCGCCTGTAATGCCAGCTACTCAGGCAGCTAAGGCAGGAGGATCGCTTCAACCCAGGAGGCAGAGGTTGCAGTGAGCCGAGATTGCGCCATTGCTTTCCAGCCTGGGCCACAGAGTGAGACTCCATCTCAAAAAAAAAAAAAAAAAAAAAAAAAACAGAGAAATGCTACAGATTTTTGTATGTTAATTTAGTATCCTGCAATTTTACTGAATTTATCAGTTCTAATCATTTTTTGGTGGAGTTTTCAGGTTTTTCCAAATATAACAATCATCTGCAAACAAGAATAACTTGGCATCTTCATTTCCAATTTGGATGCCCTTTATTTCTTCTTTTTTTTTTTTTTTTCCTGAGATGGAGTCTTGCTCTGTAGCCCAGGCTGGAATATAGCGGCACAATCTCAGCTCACTGCAATCTCCACCTCCGGGGTTCAAGTGATTTCCCTGCCTCAGCCTCCCGAGTAGCTGGGACAACAGACACCCGCCACCACGCCTAGCTAATTTTTATATTTTTAGTAGAGACAGGGTATCACCGTGTTGGCCAGGCTTCAAACTCCTGACCTCAAGTGATCCACTCACCTCAGCCTCCCAAAGTGCTGGGATTACAGGTGTGAGCCACTGCACCCGGCCTTTCTCTCTCTTATCTGACTCCTCTAGCAAGGGCTTCCATTTTTTTTTTTTTTTTTTTTTTTATACTTTAAGTTTTAGGGTACATGTGCACATTGCGCAGGTTAGTTACATATGTATACATGTGCCATGCTGGTGTGCTGCACCCACTAACTCGTCATCTAGCATTAGGTATATCTCCCAATGCTACCCCTCCCCCCTCCCCCCACCCCACCCCACCACAGTCCCCAGAGTGTGATATTCCCCTTCCTGTGACCATGTGATCTCATTGTTCAATTCCCACCTATGAGTGAGAATATGCGGTGTTCGGTTTTTTATTCTTGCGATAGTTTACTAAGAATGATGGTTTCCAATTTCATCCATGTCCCTACAAAGGACATGAACTCATCATTTTTTATGGCTGCATAGTATTCCATGGTGTATATGTGCCACATTTTCTTAATCCAGTCTATCATTGTTGGACATTTGGGTTGGTTCCAAGTCTTTGCTATTGTGAATAATGCCGCAATAAACATACGTGTGCATGTGTCTTTATAGCAGCATGATTTATAGTCATTTGGGTATATACCCAGTAATGGGATGGCTGGGTCAAATGGTATTTCTAGTTCTAGATCCCTGAGGAATCGCCACACTGACTTCCACAATGGTTGAACTAGTACCAAAACAGACATATAGATCAATGGAACAGAACAGAGCCCTCAGAAATAACGCCGCATACCTACAACTATCTGATCTTTGACAAACCTGAGAAAAACAAGCAATGGGGAAAGGATTCCCTATTTAATAAATGGTGCTGGGAAAACTGGCTAGCCATATGTAGAAAGCTGAAACTGGATCCCTTCCTTACACCTTATACAAAAATCAATTCAAGATGGATTAAAGATTTAAACGTTAGACCTAAAACCATAAAAACCCTAGAAGAAAACCTAGGCATTACCATTCAGGACATAGGCGTGGGCAAGGACTTCATGTCCAAAACACCAAAAGCAATGGCAACAAAAGCCAAAATTGACAAATGGGATCTAATTAAACTAAAGAGCTTCTGCACAGCAAAAGAAACTACCATCAGAGTGAACAGGCAACCTACAACATGGGAGAAAATTTTCGCAACCTACTCATCTGACAAAGGGCTAATATGCAGAATCTACAATGAACTCAAACAAATTTACAAGAAAAAAACAAACAACCCCATCAAAAAGTGGGCGAAGGACATGAACAGACACTTCTCAAAAGAAGACATTTATGCAGCCAAAAAATACATGAAAAATGCTCATCATCACTGGCCATCAGAGAAATGCAAATCAAAACCACTATGAGATACCATCTCACACCAGTTAGAATGGCAATCATTAAAAAGTCAGGAAACAACAGGTGCTGGAGAGGATGTGGAGAAATAGGAACACTTTTACACTGTTGGTGGGACTGTAAACTAGTCCATTATTATATTGAATAACAGTGGTGACAGTGGGCATCCGTGTCTTGTTCCAGATCTTAGAGGAAAGGCTTTCAGTTTTTCACCTTTCAGTATGATACTAGCTGTGTGTCAGCTGTATATGGCTTTTATTGCGTTGAGGTGTGTTCCTTCTATAACCAGTTTTTTGGGGGTTTTTATCATGAAAGGATGTTGAATTTTATCAAATGCCTTTTCAGCATGAATTTAAATGATCATATGGTTTTTTATCCTTCATTCTATTGATATGATGTATCAAACTGATTGATTTGGATACGGTGAACCATCCTGGCATCCCTGGGATAAACCCCACTTTGGTCATGATGAATGATGTTTTTAATGTGTTGTTGAATTCGGTTTGCTGGTATTTTGTTGGGTATTTCCGCATCAATGTTCATCTGGGATACTGGCCTGTTTTGTTTTTTTGATTATGTCTTTGTCTGGTTTTGGTATCAGGGTAATATTGGCCTTCTACAATAAGTTTGGATGTATTCCCTCCTCCTCTATTTTTCAGAATAGTTTCACTAGGATTGGTAACAGTTCTTCTTTAAATGTTTGGTAAAATTCAGCAGTGAAGTCACCAGGTCCTGGGGTTTTTCTTTGCTGGAAGACTTTTTATTATTACAGTTTCAATCTCATTACCTGTTATTGGTATGTTCAGGTTCTGGATTTCTTCATGGTTCAAACTTGGAAGGCTGTATGTGCCTGTGAAATTATCCATTTCTTTTTCCTTCTTTTTTTGAAGACACAGTCTCACTCTGTCACCCAGGCTGGAGTGCAGTAACATGATCTCAGCACACTGCAACCTCCACCTCCCAGGCTCAAGTGATTCTCGTGCCTCAGCCTTCCAAGTGGCTGGAATTACAGGCACACAAAACCACACCTGGTTAATTTTTGTATTTTTAGTAGAGTTGGAGTTTCACCATGTTGGCCAGACTGGTCTCGAACTCCTGACCTCAAGTGACCCACCCGCCTCAGCCTCCCAAAGTGCTGGGATTACAGGCATGAGCCACCACGCCCGGCCTGCAAACTTATCTATTTCTTCCACGTTTCCCAATTTATTGACATATAGCTGTTCATAGTCTCTAATGACCCTTTGAATTTCTGCAATATCAGTTGTAATGCCTACTTTTTCACCTCTGATTTGGGTCTTCTTTTTCTCTTAGCCTGCCTGAAGGCTTGTCAATTTATCTTTTAGAAAAACCAACTTTTCATTTCATTGATCTTTTGTATTATTTTCTTCATTTCAACTCCATTTTATTTCTGCTCTAATTTTTATTATTTCTGTCCTTAAAATTATGGGTTTGGTTAGCTCCTTCTTTTCTAGTTCTTTAAGATGTATCATTAGGTTATTTATTTGAAGTTTTTCTACTTTTTTGATTTTCCTCTTAGTACTGCTTTAACTATATCCCACAGATTTCGTATGCTGTGTTGCCATTGCCATTTGTTTCAAGAAACTGTTTAATTTCACTCTTAATTTCTTCACTGACCTGTTGGTCATTCAGGAGCATATTGTTTAATTCCCATGTGTTGGTGGAGTTTCCAAAATTCCTCGTTATCAATTTTTAGTTATAGTCCATGTGATCAGAGAAGATACTTAACATAATTTTTTTAACTTTTATATGGCAAAAGAGGAATCTAGCTTCATTCTTCTGCATATGAATATCAAGTTTTCCCAGCACCATTTATTGAAGAGATTGTCTTTTCCCCAGTGTATGTTCTTGGTACCTTTGTCGAAAATGAGTTCACCGTAGATGTGCGGATTTGTTTCTGGATTCTCTATTCTGTTCCGTTGGTCTGTGTCTGTTTTATGCTAGTACTATGCTGTTTTGGTTACTATAGCTCTGTAGTATAATTTGAAGTCAGGTAATCTGATTCCTCCAGTTTGTTTCTTTTCAATTATGAGAGCTTCGGCTATTCTGGGTCTTTTGTGGTTCAACATGAATTTTAGGATTTTTTTTTTTTCTGTTTCTGTGAAGAATGTCATTGGTATTTTGCTAGGGATTGCACTGAATCGGTAGATTGCTTTGGGTAGTATGGACATTTTAACAATATTGATTCTTCCAATCCATGAAGATGAAATATTTTTCCATCTTTTGTGTCTTCTTTAATGTCTTTCATCAGCGTTTTAGAGTTTTCATTACAGAGATCTTTGTAATTATCTTCTTTGGTTACTTCCCAGGTATTTAATTTCATGTGTGGCTACTATAAATGGGATTACTTTTCTAATTTCTTTTTCATATTGTTTACTGTTGGCACACAGAAATGCTACTGATTTTTGTATGTTGATTTCGTATACTGCAATTGTATTGAATTTATCGGCTCTAATCATTTTCTTGTGGAGTCTTTAGGTTTTTCCAAATATAAGATCA
This sequence comes from Homo sapiens, assembly GCF_000001405.40. Classification (NCBI taxonomy): domain Eukaryota; kingdom Metazoa; phylum Chordata; class Mammalia; order Primates; family Hominidae; genus Homo; species Homo sapiens. Next base: position 441,920 of record NW_011332701.1, read on the forward strand.
TATCATCTGCAAACAAGGATAATTTGACTTCTTCCTTTCCAATGTGGAGGCCTTTTATTTCTTTCTCTTGTCTGATTGCTCTAGCAAGAACTTCCAGTACTATGTTGAATAACAGTGGCCACACTGAGCATCCTTGTCATGTTCCAGATCTTAGAGGAAAGACTTTCAGTTTTTCACCATTCAGTATGATACTAGCTGTGGGTCTGTCATATACGGCTTTTATTATGTTGAGGTATGTTTCTTCCATAACCAGTTTTAAGAGATTTTATCATGAAAGGATGTTGAATTTTATCAAATGCCTTTTCAGCATCGATTGAAATAATCACATGGTTTTTATCCTTCTGTTGACATGATGTATCACATCAATTGATTTGCATATGTTGAACCATCCTTGTACCCCAGGGATAAACCCCACTTGGTCACAATGAACGATCTTTCTAACGTATTGCTGAATTTGGTTTGCTAGTATTTTGTTGAGGATATTTGCATCAATATTCATCAGAGACATTGGCCTGTAGTATTCTTTCTTTGATGTGTCTTTGTCTGCTTTTAGTATCAAGGTTTGAATTTTTAATGACTTATTTTGTGGCCTAACATACGGTCTAACCTTGAGGACGATCCATGTGCTAAAGAGAACAATGTAAATTCTGCAGCCATCAGATGAAATGTTCTAGAAATATCTACTAAATCCATTTGGTCTACAGTGCAGATTAAGTTTGATGTTTCTTCGTTAATTTTGTCTGGATGATCTGATCTGTCCAATGCTGAAAGTGGAGTGTTGAAGCCTCCATCTATTAATGTGTTAAGGCCTATCTCTCTCTTTAGCTGTAATATTTGTTTTATGTATCTGGGTGCTCTAGTGTTGAGTGCATATATACATATATTTATAATAGTTATAGCCTCTTGCTGAATTGGCCCCTTTATCATTACATAATGACTTTTTTGGTCTCCTTTTATAGTTTTGGTCTTGAAATCTATTTGGTCTGATATAACCACTATGCTCTTTTGTGATTTCCATTTACCTCTCCCTTTTTCCATCCCCCCGCACCGTCCTGAAGGGATGGTCTTCAATTTGAAGAAGCAAGCAGCCAATGAACTGCCTGTGGGGAGGGGCAGCCTCCAAGAGCCCAGGGTTTCAGTCCCACAACCACAATGGATTCAATTCTACCAATGAGGACCTGAGCTCCAGATGACAGCGTGCCCTAGCCAACACCTTGACTACAGCCTGTGACACCTGAAGTAGAGGATAGAACTAAGCTATGGCCAGACTCCTGACCCACAGAAACTGTGAGAGTGTAAATGCTTGTTGTTACAAGCTGCCAAATTTGTGTTTGGTAACTTGTTCTGTAGCGACAGAAACCAAGCCAGCATCCTTCAGTTTTTGTAGAAGGAACAGCTTTCTCTCAGCACTCTTATTTTTTCTGTTCACATCACTAACAGGATAACTGCCATAAACATACTTGGAACCAAAACATACGACTTTTGGTAAAAATTATCAGCTGGTGGGGGAGAGGTAAACTCCTTCCAAAAAGTGAGCCCTAGCCAGGTAGAGTGACTCACATCTCTAATCCCAGCACCTTGGAAGACTGAGGCAAGAGAATCACTTGTGCCCAGGAGTTTAAAACCAATCTAGGCAACATAGCAAGACCGTCTCTACAAAAAAATTGTAAAATTAGCCAGAAAGCTGAGCATGGTGGCTCACACCTGTAATCCCAGCACTTGGGAGGCCAAGGCAGGTGAATTGTTTGAGCTCAGGAGTACAAGACCAGCCTGAACAACATGGCAAAACCACATTTCTACCAAAAATACAAAAAATTAGCCAGAGGTGGTGGCGCGCCTGTACTCCCAGCTACTTGGGAGGCTGAGGTGGGAGAACTGCTTGAGACCAGGAGGTAGAGGCTGCAGTGAGTTGAGATCACTCCACTGTACTCCAGCCTGGGCAATAGAGCAAGACCCTATCAAAAAAAAATTTTAATTTAAATTTAAAAAATTAAAATAATATAAAAAATAAAATTAAAAAGTGAGCCGAAAACATTCAGGGCCCCTGAAGTTTAACTAGTGAATGGAAAGGTTTGACTCTTCTAGTCTTCAGTCAGAGGAGGGCAGTGAATACATGCACTGGGGTTCAGTCCAAACCCTACCACAATGCACATGATAAGAGGCTAACAGCGGTCAGAACTCACAGCTCCATGTGGGCCGTGCTCCAGGAGTTTCAGACTATCTTTAGGCACTCAAGGGAATACGACATTTGACCCGTGTCTTAAAGTGTTTCAGAAAACAGAAACAGAGAAGGTGAACTAAGAAGCTATTACTGGCCACGCACGGTGGCTGACGCCTGTAATCCCAGCACTTTGGGAGGCCGAAGCGGGTGGATCATGAAGTCAGGAGATAAAGACCATCCCGGCTAACACAGCGAAACCCCATCTCTACTAAAAATACAAAAAATTAGCCAGGTGAGGTGGCACGCACCTATAGTCCCAGCTACTCGGGAGGCTGAGGCAAGGGAATTGTTTGAACCTGGGAGGCGGACGTTGCAGTGAGTGGAGATCGCACCACTGCACTCCAGCCTGGGTGACAGAGTGGGACTGCATCTCAAAAAAAAAAAAAAAAAAAAAAAAAAAAGGCTATTACCAAGGGTCCAAAAAAGAAAGGATGACAGTAGAAGTCAACACAGGGAAGTACAGTCTTTAAGATTATTTCAGGCAGGGCACGGTGGCTCACATTTGTAATCCCAGCAGTCTGGGAGGCCGAGGTGGGCAGACTGCTTGAGCCCAGGAGTTCGAGACCAGCCAAAGCAACACGGTGAAACTCGGTCTCTACAAAAAATACAAAAATTAACCAGGCGTGGTGGTACGCACCTGTAGTCCCACTACTCAGGGGGCTGAGGTGGGAGGATCACCTGAGCCCGGGGAGGTTAAGGCTGCAGTGAGCCGTGACGGTGCCACTGCATTCCAGCCTGGGCAACAGAGTGAGACCCTGACTTAAAAAACAAAAAAAGAAACTATTTCAAATCACGTAAGTTAAATCAAATGTGAAAGGGAAAATAAGGGAGGGAACAGAAGAGGAATGAGAATTAGTTCCGTTTTAACCACTAAGATTTGCACTAACTACTGAACATAAACATGGAGCTCCTCCCCACTCCACCAACCCTCAGTAAATATAGATCCAGATCTTAGCAGAGTGTTCAGGGCTAGAGACTCAAATCTGGGAGTAGTCAACAAATGGACTGTAGGTGATGTCCTGGAGAAGATGCCAACACCCAAGCAGAGAGGGGAGACCCCTGCCCAGACCTGAAAGCACTCTAAGATCGCCCCAGACTGGCTGGGCTCCACACATCAGTGTTCTGCGGTACAGCCTAGATTGAGAAACATTAGTGTTACAGAGGTACCATTTTTAAAAAAAAAAGCCAAAAGATGGAACATTTAAAGACTAAGCCAAGGAGGAAGCCCAGTTTACATGGAAACAAGAATAATTACCACCACCTTTCGATTATTACCTGGGTAGCACTGGGAAGGAAGAGGATAGGCCAGACCTTGTCTTTCTGAGTGACAAGGAATTCTTTTTTGGAAGGTAGACACTGGACTCCTGGAAGGACATGCACTGTGGAAGCCTCCTAGGAACTGATGACCCAAATAAATGGTAAGCACCATTCAAAAAACTATTTGGGCACCTTAAAGGTGGAACATTACTAAGGCAATAAAGCAAGCCTCACTGGAGGAGGTCTCCAGAGAGTTAGACTGTGAACAAGCAAAAGTGAAGCCCAGGAGAAGAGCTCTCCAGATCACAGACAGTACAGGATCCTGACTGAGGAAGCAGCAGCCTGGGAACAACTGGAAGACAGCCGTGGCACTGAGAAGAATGGAGACTACAGGCAGGGCGTGGTGGCCCACGCCGTAATCCCAGAGCTTTGGGAGGCCAAGACAGAAGAACTGCTTGAGGCCAAGAGTTCAAGATCAGCCTGGGCAACATGGTAAGACCGTGTCTCTACAGAAATGTAAAAATTACCCAAGTGCATGGCACGTGCCTGTAATCCCAGCTACTCAGGAGGCTACAGCAGGACGGTCACCTGCACCCAGGAGTTTGAGGTTACAGTAAGCTCTGATCACACCACAGCATTCCAACCTGGGTGACAGAGACCCTATTCATAAAAAAAATAAAATAAAATAAAGAAAAAGAAAAAAATGAATGGGACTTTCCATTTGTAAAGTGAGAGTATTTATTTCTACAACTGTCTCCAATTAGCTTTTTATTAGTAGCTGACTTACCTAAACGTGCCCAGTAGATTTTCAACTTTTGACTTTTTTGGTTCAGATCCCAGAAGCTTCTAATTAGGTTATTTGGGCTGAGAACTCTTTTCCAATCTTTTCCAATCTCACATTCCTATCTTACACCTCTGAAATGACATGGCAAGTAAAGGCACTTTCATCGTCAAAAGACCCCAGCAAAAGAGGCAGTAACAGGCTCACTTTTTGTTAGTTACTAAACTGAAGCTCAGAAGGCCAATGACTTGACCAAAGGCCACACAACACTGAGGCTGTGAGAGGTGGGATTTGGGAAGAGGCCCAACTCCAAGGCTTATTCGCTTCCCACCAACACCATAACATGCACCCACACCTGCAGCACGGCAGCCAGGGCAAGCCTTCACGCTCCCATACATAGGCCACCAATATTTTAATACCAATCAGGACTAGGCAAGCAAACAGTTAAGGCATTTTTTTTTTTTTTTTTTTTGAGACAGAGTCTTGCTCTGTCGCCCAGGCTGGAGTGCAGTGGCGCCATCTTGGCTCCCCGGGTTCATGCCATTCTCCTGCCTCAGCCTCCCGAGTAGCTGGGACTACAGGCGCACGCCACCACGCCCGGCTAATTTTTTGTGTATTTTTAGTAGAGACGGGGTTTCACCGTGTTAGCCTGGATGGTCTCGACCTCCTGACCTTGTGATCCACCCGCCTCGGCCTGGGATTACAGGCGTGAGCCACCGCACCCAGCCCGTTAAGGCATTTATTAAAGTGACTTCAGAACTATAGAGTCAGGCAATAAAATCCAAAACTGAATAATATAACAAATGAATATCTGATTAATGTATAGGTTAGAAAATGTTTCTTTTTCATGTCCTTACAATTTGACAGAAAAGTAATCTTCAAATATTTGCAGATGAGTAAAGGTATATGGCTTTTTTTCTTAAACCTACAGAAAAATACTAAACATCTATTGAACGTAGGACAACATATAAAAAATGTTAAGAACAGGTTCCTAGAACAATTAGAAAGGTCAGACAGGAACATTAAGTACGTCGATTTGAAGACATCCTAGAAGCAGTAAGATAGTGAGGTCTTCCTAAAGTCTGAGACCCACGAGAGGAAGAAAGAGGCCCAGAGAACCTAAGCAAGCAGGGATGAGACTGAGAAGCAAAACGGAGCTTCTGAGAGACTCCCAGGGCCCTCACACAGGAGAAAGAGGCCTGGCAGACCCCATGCTCTGAGCTGGAACCTCAAAGGGCCACACACCAGAAATACAGGTGAGTTAGAAGTAGACCAGCCTTTACGGAAAACCAGCCCAGTTTCGCATTCTCTCAATTTCCAAAGGGACTGCAGTGACCTGGGATTGCCTAGAACATCCTCTCTGGGGGAAGTTATTGTTACCCAGAGCCTCGACTTATTGCTACAATATTGCATATACAATATCTGAAAGTCAAGCAAATATAATAATGACAAAGATACAAGACCACATCATTGAAAAATGAAAAAAAAAATAGAAGTCAACAGAACAGACCAAGAGTAGATCCTGAAAACAGAAATATAAAGACTTCTATCATGAAAGAAGAGCCTGAGGAATGAACTAAAGTGTTAACACTCTGCTCAGCAGATGTCAGCTCGGAACAATGGGGTGAGGGAAGTGGGAAAGTGAGACAAGGAGATCAATGAAGCAACGGTATGCAGTATATGACTTCACAGTCAGCTAAGTGTGATTTTAGCCTACTCTGCCTATGTAGGAGCCATTCTTATTTCCTTTAATTTCCTAAAAAAAGAAAAACATATATTTAAAAAGTGATTTTATATTTTTCAATGGTTGCAACATAATCAAAAGAATCATATGTCAGCCAAGCACGGTGGCTCACACCTGTCATCTCAGACTTTGGGAGGCCAAGGCGGGCGGATCATGAGGTCAGGAGTTCAAGACCAGCCTGGCCAACATGATGAAACCCCGTCTCTACTAAAAATACAAAAAAAAAAATTAGCCAGGAATGATGGTACACGCCTGTAATCCCAGCTACTCCGGAGTCTGAGGCAGGAGAATTGCTTAAACCCAGGAGGTGGAGGTTGCAGTGAGCCAAGATCGCGCCACTGCACTCCAGCCTGGGCAACAGAGCAAGACTCCCTCTCAGGAAAAAAAAAAAAAAATCATATGTCAACACATGAAAATTATCTGACATTCAAATTTTCCTGGAATATAGCCATACACATCTGGCAGCTTCTCGCAGGACAATAGCCAAGGTGAGTTGTTATAAAAGAGCACGTACGGCCCACATAAACATTTACTATCTGGTGCTTTATAGAAAAAATGTGCTGACTCCTATGTTACTGCCACCTCTTCTCAATGAGCTGCAAATACAACCAATTGTTCAGCCAGCACATTCACTAGGCACATGTGGCTTTTCCAGAAGGTCTGCAAGAAGAAACTACACCATAAAATAGTCCAAGGAGGAAAGAAAAAGGGGAGGAATAAAAACACTGAGTTCCCTCATCTCTCCTTGTAAAGTGGTGAACGTTCATACCACAGGGAATTCACACCCACACTCGCCACACCTTCCAGGCTGTGTCACTGGCTCCTTGGTAGGCAGTCAGGAAGCCATACTCCAACTCTCTTGCGTGACATCACAGCGGAGACTGGAGCCGAAGGGCGGCTCACAGGCATGAGTCAACCAAGAGGGACAGAGAGAGGCGGCTAAGGAATCTATGGGGTCGGACAAGGTTTATAAACACACTTTTAAAATAACTACCTTTAATAGGGTCAAGCAATTAAAAGATCCTATTAACAGCCGGGCACGGTTCATGCTTGTACTCCCAGCACTTTGGGAGGCCAAGGCAGGTGGATCACGAGCTCAGGAGTTCAAGACCAGCCTGGGCAACATGGTGAAACCCCATCTCTACTAAAAATATAAAAAATTATCTGGCTCTCGGCGTTAGCGCCATTTTCTTGGAAACCTCTGCGCCATGAGAGCCAAGTGGAGGAAGAAGCGAATGCGCAGGCTGAAGCGCAAAAGAAGAAAGATGAGGCAGAGGTCCAAGTAAACCGCTAGCTTGTTGCACTGTGGAGGCCACAGGAGCAGAAACATGGAATGCCAGACGCTGGGGATGCTGGTACAAGTTGTGGGACTGCATGCTACTGTCTAGAGCTTGTCTCAATGGATCTAGAACTTCATCGCCCTCTGATCGCCGATCACCTCTGAGACCCACCTTGCTCATAAACAAAATGCCCATGTTGGTCCTCTGCCCTGGACCTGTGACATTCTGGACTATTTCTGTGTTTATTTGTGGCCGAGTGTAACAACCATATAATAAATCACCTCTTCCGCTGTTTAAAAAAAAAAAAAAATTATCTGGGTGTGGTGGTGCACACTTGGAATTCCAGCCACTTAGGAGGCTGAGGCATGAGAATGGCTTGAACCTGGGAGGTGGAGGTTGCAGTGAGCTGAGATACTGCTACTGTACTCCAACCTGGGCAACAGAGTGAGACTCTGTCTCAAAAAAAAAAAAAAAAAAAAAAAAAGGAATTGTCATCAAAGTCCTACGGCTAAACCCTTTTCCTTTTTTTTTAATAACTAGTATTACTAGTCTTTTCCAAGAACCAAAGTTAAAAGTTAGTTCTTTAAAACACCAGGCCAGGCACAGTGGCTCATACATGTAATCACAGCACTTTGGGAGGCCAAGGCAGGAGGATCACTTGAATGCAGGTGTTCTAGACCAGCCCGGACAACAAAGAAAGACCCTGCCTCTACAAAAAAAAATTTTTTTGCTGCAAAATGCTCTCAATTAACCTGACAAAATGTCACATACAGGGTTACTACATCTTTTTTATCATGGAATTTTGAAAACAAAAATTGTTCTATTGAGGCACCAGTATTTGGATATTAGAGGTAAAAACCACCCTTAGAATCCAGTCCTAAAAACGTCAATGAAGACTCCCATGTTTACAAATTCTTTTATTTCTACATGTCATCTATCAACTGGATTATGAACCTGAAAGCCTGAGAACAGAATTTATCAAGATACTCATGTTTATACTTTTTTTATCTACTGATCGTTTTTATTTTTTTTGAGACGGATTCTCGCTCTCTCACCAGGCTGTAGTGCAGTGGCGCGATCTCGGCTCACTACAACCTCCGCCTCCTGGGTTCAAGCGATTCTCCTGCCTCAGCCTCCTGAGTAGCTGGGACTACAGGCACGTGCCACCACACCCAGCTAATTTTTGTATTTTTAGTAGAGATGGGGTTTCACCATGTTGGCCAGGATGACCTCGATCTCCTGACCTCAGCCTCCCAAACTGCTAGGATTACAGGCTGAGCCACCACACCCAGCCATGTAGCCATCTACTGATATTTCTAAGCATGAAGTGACAATTTTTTTTTTTGAGATGGAGTCTTGCTGTGTTGGCCAGGCTGGAGTGCAATGGCATGATCTCGGCTCACTGCAACCTCCACCTCCTGGGTTCAAGCACTTCTCCTGCCTCAACCTCCCAAGTAGCTGGGATTACAAGCGCACACTACCACGCCTGACTCTTTTGTATTTTTAGTAGAGACAGGGTTTCACCATGGGCGCCAGGCTGGTTTTGAACTCCTGACCTCAAGTGATCCGCCCTCCTCGGCCTCCCAAAGTGCTGTGATTACAGGCGTGAGCCACCGCGCCCAGCCGAAGTGACAATATTTATATACAATAAGCTTAACTCTAAGAGCTTACATTTATGCGTAGTCATTCTTAATTGATGATTAGAGGAAGAGACAAATAAATGGTCCCAGTTTAGCTACTGATATACTCAACAAACCTTGACGGACCTGAGGGCATTATGCTGAGTAAAGAAAATCATTTCCGAAGGTCACATATCACTTGGTAATCTCACAGTAACAAAATTATAGAGATGGAGAACAGATTAGTGGTTGTCAGGAGTTAGAGATGGTGGCAGAAGAGAGGCAGGAGAGACATCTTTGTAGTGATGAAACAGTTCTGCATAGGAAATTGTAGTAGTAGTTACATTTACAGACCCTTGATAGAATGGCACAGAACTACGCACACACATTGTACCAACTTCAATTTCTGGGTTTTTATACTCTATTATAATTACATAAAATGTAACCACTGGGGCAGTATGCGCAAATACACAGTGACCTCTCTAGTTTCTTTACAACTTCCTGAGAGTCTATTATTATTTCAAAATAAAAAGTTTTTTAAAAAATTGCTTCATGCCTATCTAATTTCATGTGCCACTTAAAAAAGAACACAAAAATAGAAACTGTAGGAAATTCATCTGAGTGCAGCTTATGCAAGAAGGGGCAGGATAACTCCATTCTGGACTTATGCTCAAAGACATGCGCCTTTACCTTACAACAAAACTGGCGAACAGGCATGTGTTTTAAGAATAAAAAGCTTTTAAGGTATCATATATTGTTTTTTATAGTTCCTTTGCTTAACTGACGTTTTGGTTTGCTAAAAAACTACCAATCACATCAGATTACAAGTACTTTCACTGTAAAAATAAAAAGTGATGTGACTGACACCTCTTAGCTCTGTAACGTATTACTCTTTACGAGAGCAGTGAAGGAAAACATGGTGATTCAATCACTCCACACACCAAGCAGAAAAGTGTTGAACAGGCCGGGCGCGGTGGCTCACGCCTATAATCCCAGCACTTCCGGAGGCCGAGACGGGTGGATCACTTGAGGTCAGGAGTTCAAAACCAACCTGGCCCACATGGTGGAGCCCTGTCTCTACTAAAAGTACACAAAATTAGCCAGGCGTGGTGGTGGACACCCGTAGTCCCAGCTACTCGGGAGGCTGAGGCAGGAGAATGGCATGAACCCAGGAGGCTTGCAGTGAGCCAAGATGGCACCACTGCACTCCAGCCTGGGAGACAGAGTCAGACTCCATCTCAAAAAAAAAAAAGTATTGTACAATTAAACTGTTTATATGTAATAACCACATATATATGCCTGGCATAAAATGAGCCCTGCATTAGAGGTTGCTGGATGTAGGGCCCTAGGCCTGACGTATCCAAATAATGTCTATGATAAAGAAGTCAATAAGTGCTCTCTATAACACACAAGCATTATAAGTTTTCACACTCCAAAAACTCTTCCTTTCTAAAGTTACTAAAACTTTTAAGGGCATTTCAAACAAAAACAGCTGTGGAAAACAGATCGGTTAAATCCTATGGCTAAGAAACATCTTCCTATCCCATGTATTATTCATTACCCAGGTGTCAATTCTGTTTCCAATACAAAAGTCTCAAGCAGTGAAGCGCTTCCCACTCCAGCTGGGAGAGCCATCCTCAACAAGATAAGGGTAAAACCTGTGAGCACAAGGCTTCCATCTGCAATTCCTGTCTGCAGGGAAGCTCCCCAAAGAGGGAAACCATGTCTTATTCCTTACGGTAAAACACCACCATTCATTCCTTGTGTTTAACAACCAATGCTGGTGGAACATAAAACAAAGCTTAGCAATCACTTTTTTCATGCTACTTAGACCTGTAACACATTTTTCCTCTGGTGCACACTATCCAAAACCTAGTCATTTCCCTTACTCCTAGGAGGAATTTAGATGACTTTTTTTTTGGCCAGGTGCAGTGGCTCACGCCTGTAATCCCAGCAATTTGGGAGGCCGAGGCAGGCAGATCGCTTTGAGGTCAGGAGACCAGCCAGGCCAACACAGTGAAACCCCATCTCTACTAAAAATACAAAAATTAGTCGGGCATGCATGGTGGCACACACTTGTAATCCCAGCTACTCGGAAGGCTGAGGCGGGAGAATCACTTGCATTCGGGAGGCGGAAGTTGCAGTGAGCCAAGATTGCGCCACTGCACGCCAGCCTGGGCGACAGAGCAAGACTCCGTCTCAAAAAAAAAAAAAAAAAAAAAAAGACTTTCTAATCATATTGGAAATGTGTAACAAGGACCAAGTACTGTGTATTAAACTTAATAAATCAAAACAACAGGCCCTCTAAGATATAAATGGTGCTTCACTGTATGTTTATCTGCCCAACCCATCATAGGAACTCAATTCAGCATTAAACTGGTTTTAGATCAAGACACTAGAACTCATGTTTAGCAGTTATTAAATTACAATTATTAAGAAAAACACTTTATTACGTAAAGTCCTTTACTCCAAAAAGTTTCTCAAAATACATAAACACTAATATAAAACAATTATTAAAACTTTGCCTGAATCTCAGGATTTCAGAAATATGAAAGTACTCATCTCTCACCTCTCCCATCCACTTAAAATGACAAAACAGATCATTATAGCTAAATCAAAGGAAATGTTTAAAGAGAAACAAACCCAAAGAGTAACTACACCAATTCTTGACCCAATTCTCTGTACTCTGTCTTATGTAACATTACACTATGAATAACAATCCCATCATCCACAACAGCTTTTTTTTTTTTGAAACAGTTTTGCTCTCATTGTCCAGGCTGGAGTGCAATGGCATGATCTTGACCCATTGCAACCTCCACCTCCCGGGTTCAAGCGATTCTCCTGCCTCAGCCTCCCGAGTGGCTGGGATTACAGGCATACACCACCACGCCTGGCTAATTTTGTATTTTTAGTAGAGACGGGGTTTCACCATGTTGGTCAGGCTGGTCTCCAACTCCTGACCTCAGGGCATCCACCCGCCTCGGCCTCCCAAACTGCCGGGATTACAGGCGTGAGCCACTGCGCCCGGCCACGCAACACAGCTCTAAACACTGGACTCTCATATCTACCAACACTCAATACCTGTTTAAAAAGAAAAAAAAAATTAGGAAGGGGCAATAACACTTCAGTGTAAGTATCCATGATCAACTACTGCTTAACAGCCTACACGACTTTTGATGAACAGTCAAGGCACATTACTTAATACTTAAAATGGTTAACCTTAGGGAGTAGGAAAATACAGACACACACAAAATATTTCAAACACTTCTTTTTGCTGCTGATAAGGAGTTCCAAAAGTAGTTTTTCCAAGCCATTTCCAAATAAAAGTAGATTGGGTGTAAATAATTGTCTATCGAAATATTAGTTATTATTTATTTAATAATGTCCTGACAAGCTTGCAGTTATCTCATTAAATCAAAAAATTAGGATCTAAGGCCAACATTGTTTCCTCACATTCTTGATGTGAAAATCTGAGCACTCCTCTTAATAAGGAGTTACAAAGACAAAACAAACAGCTCAACTGAACTAACTCTTGTCTCTCCAGAAACACAAACACAAGACCTCATAAAATGAGTGAGTTTCTATAGGCCATAATTACTGCAACTTACTTCTCCAATTTTCCCCTCCACAGTTAACTCAACAGCTCAAAAACGATCAGTAACAAACAACAGTCACCATGATATGGTTAGGAGTGTGGCAGATTTCTTAACCAGTAATAATAAATAGGAAAAAAATTTTGCCTATTAATAGATCTCAAGTTTCGTGCACTTGCAAGAAACTAATTAAAAGGCAGCCGCGCACGATCTACAAAAACAGCCATAAAGACTGTTACATTTTAAGTTACAGGAAATAAACCTGCTCCTCTAATTCAGCAAGATACAACTGACTTCCCCTTACATACCCTAAAAAAAAGCCTTACACGAGAAATTTAAACATGGAAGCAGAAACACACCAAGAAAAAGACATGTCAAACCCCACCTGTATATCTGTTTTCAACCATTTGGAGTCGAGGCGAGCCTGGGCAGCCAAACAGAAAGATTCAGAGGGCATCTTTTCTCCAGCTTCCTCCCAGGTCTCAGGCCTGCAAGTAAACACATACGCTGAAGACCTAACGCTTTTTAATAGTTTACAAAGACACTCCCGAAAGCCAGAAAAGAAAAAAGAGAGAGAGAACAGAAAGGGGGGAGAGAAGAGCTGGTGGAGGGGAGAGAAAGGGAGAGAGGGAAAGAGGGAAGAGATGGAGGGAGAGGGAGGTGGGGAAGGGAAAGCCTCCTTCCAAGGTAGGCAGGGTGTGCCGAGTTTCTGCACCACGCTGACGAGACCTTGAGAATGGACGGTCACAGGAAGCCAAGTCACAATGTCATCCCCCTGCCCTCAAATCCAAGAAGTACACACACATAACAGGGAGCCCATCGTTTTAACGACAAATGACAGCAGCATGAATCTGCCGCTTTACCCCACAGCAGGGCGCGTGCGTGAAACAAAAAATTACTCAAAAGGATCGCCTGCAGAAAAACCCACAGCCACCACCACTTAAGAGATGGAGAGAGGCCCGAGGCTGCCCCGCGGGTGGTCCGCGCAGGCCCCGGTGCGGCCGCCGCGCCCACGCCCGCCTCCCGGGCTCGGCCGCCCGCCAGCCCCGCGCCCGTACCGCCCCCGCCACCGGCCGCCCAGGTGCCCCAGGCCAGGACCTGACGCGCAGGGCCCGGCCGCCTCGCCTCGCCGGCGCGCGGACGCAGCCTCCCAAGAGCCGCTGGCTCAGCCGGCGCCCGCGATCCCGGCGCCTCTCGCGGCCCGAGGGGCGGGCCGACGCGGGACTGCCGCCCCCCGCGTACGGCCAATCGCAACGAGGCTGCTCCGTGGGCGCAGCCAATGGGGAAGAGGAGCCCTTCGCCGCTCCTCCCGACTCTCCCGCTTCCAGCAATCCCGCTTATCTTCCTACTTGGAGCGCCCTGGCTGCGGCCAAGGCCAACAGCGGGCGCCGGAAGGCGGGATTTCCGCCGCACGCACGCACTCCCGCACTCCCACGGGAGACTGCTTGGCCCGGAGCGCTCTTGATCACGCCGCGGCGGGTGGTGGCGCTCACACTAACTATAGCTATCCAGGGCGCGGGTCGAGTGGCGAGACCAGCTCCCCTGGGTATGAGAACGCATCTTTGTGCGGTCGGCTGGCTGGGGCCTGAAGAGCTTCCTCCTGTGTGTTCAACTGAACGCAGCAAAAGTCTTGGGCAGATTCCATGGAGCAGCTGTGGAAGCACTGTGCAGGGAATCGAAGAAGGAAACACCTCCAGCGACCACAAAACAAAATTGAAGAACTATAAAACAATATAGGCCGGGCGTGGTGGCTCACGTATGTAATTCTCAGCGCTTTGGGAGGCCGAAGCGGGAGGATCCCTCGAAGCCAGGAGTTGGAGGATCCCATGTTGCCAGACTGGGCAACATAGCAAGACCCCATCTCTAAAAAATAAAAATAAAAAAATTTAACAATTAGCCAGGTGTGGTGGCACACACCTGTGATCCCAGCTGCTCGGGAGGCTGAGACAGGAGAATCGCCTGAGCCTGGGAGATCAATGCTACAGTGAGCTTAGATCGTGCCACTGCACTCCAGCCTGGGCGACAGAGTGAGATCCTGCCTCTAAGAAAGAAAAATAACGGCCGGGCGTGGTGGCTCAGGCCTGTAATCCCAGCACTTTGGGAGGCCAGAGCAGGTGGATCATCTGAGGTCAGGAGTTCAAAACCAGCCTGGCCAACATGATGAGACCCCTTCTCTACTGAAAATACAAAGATTAGCCAGGTGTGGTGGCACGTGACTGTAATCCCAGCTACTCGGGAGGCCGAGGCAGGAGAATCGCTTGAACCCGGGAGGCGGAGGTTGCAGTGAGCCGACATTGCACCACTGCACTCCAGCCTGGGGGACAGAGGCTGCACCACTGCAGCCTTGACTTACCGGGTTCAGGTGGTTCTCCACCTCAGCCTTGCCACTAGCTGGGACTGCAGGCACATGGAACCACACCTGGCTAATTTTTGTAGTTTTTGTAGACGGGATTTTGCCATGTTGCCCAGGCTGGTCTCGAACTCCTGGGCTCAAGTGATCCGCCCGCCTCAGTCTCCCAAAGTGCTAGGATTACAGGTGTGAGTCACTGCACTCGGCTAATAGTAATGAACTTTGAACAGAAGGAAAGTTGTTATTATTTTCTTGGTTATGTTCTATCTATATTTTCTAATTTTTCTAAACATGTAAAGATAAAATTCTAAAAACTCAGACCTCAGAACAAAAAAATTAGAGTATAAATATTTATTTTAGTTAACTTGTACAAATTTGGTTTCTGGAAAAAGAATGGAATAGATTTTCTGAGAAAAAAAATCCACCACTTTGGCCGGGCGCAGTGGTTTACGCGTGTAATGCCTGCACTTTGGGAGGCTGAGGCGGTGGATCACCTGAGGTGAGGAGTTCAAGACCAGCCTGACCGACATGAAGAAACCCCTGTCTCTACTAAAAATACAAAAATTAGTCAGGCCTGGTGGCACGCACCTGTAATCCCAGCTACTCAGGAGGCTGAGGCTGGAGAATCGCTTGAACCCAGGAGGCAGAGGTTGCAGTGAGCTGAGATCGCACCATAGCGCTCCAGCCTGGGTGACAAAAGGAAAACTCTGTCTCAAAAAGAAAGAAAGAAAAGCAGACTGGCTGAAAGGATTGAAGAACAAAATATGATCCACCAATGTGCTATCTACAAGATAAACATTTTAAATACAGAAACAGATTGAAAGTAAAGGGATACAAAGATACAATTAAAATAGTAACCAAAAAAGAGCTGAAGGGGCTGTACTAATATCAAATGTAATACACTTTAAATTAAAGCAGGGCTGGGCATGGTAGCTCAGGCCTGCAATCCCAGCACTTTGGGAGGTGGAGGCAGAGAGACACTTGAGCCCAGAAGTTCGAGATCAGCCTGAGCAACATGGCATAATCCCATCTCTACAAAAAATACAAAAATTAGGCGGGCATGGTGGTACCCACCTGTGGTCCCAGCTATTTGGGAGGCTGAGGTGGGAGGATCATGTGAGCTGGGGAAGTTGAGGCCGCAGTGAGCTAAGATCGGGCCCCTGCACTCCACCCTGGGCAACAGAGCGAGACCCTGTCTGAAAATAAAAAAAAATAAAAAACGGGGTTGAGAGACAAAAAAGGACATCCTTTTTTTTATTATTGTATTTTGAGATGGAGTTTCGCTCGTTGCCCAGGCTGGAGTGCAATCGTGTGATCTTGGCTCACTGCAACCTCCGCCTCCCGGGTTCAAGTGATTGTCGTGCCTCAGGCTCCCGAGTAGCTGGCATTACATGTGCCTGCCATCACGCCCAGCTAATTTTTGTATTTTGGTACAGACGGGGTTTCACCATGTTGGCCAGGGTGGTCTCCAACTACTGACCTCAGGTGATCCACCTGCCTTGGCCTCCCAAAATGCTGGGACTACAGACGTGAGCCACCGCGCCAGCCGAAACCTTCATTTTAAAAAAGGCTGGGTCAGGCATCATGCCTCATGCCTGTAATCCCAGCACTTTGAGAGGGCAACGCAGGCGGATCACCTGACGTCAGGAGTTCGAGACCAGACTGACCAACATGGTGAAACCCCGTCTCTACCAAAAATATAAAAATTAGCCGGGTGTGGTGGCACACACCTGTAATCCCAGCTACTCAGGAGGCTGAGGCAGGAGAATTGCTTGAATCTGGGAGGTGGAGTTTGCAGTGAGCCGAGATTGTGCTACCACACTGCAGCCAGGGTGACAGAGTGAGACGCCATCTCAAAAAATAAATAAAGGCTGGGTGCCAGATGTGGTGCATAGGCCTAGTTTGTTGACTCCTGTACTTAACATATAAAACTCTAAAGAACAGTGGGAAGGAGCTTCCCTCTAGAGGCACAGGACCGGCCAAGTTGGTCCCTGAGCAGTGACTTTATAATAACATGTTACACTGTGTTTTTTGTTTTTGTTTTGTTTTTTGTTTGTTTGAGACGGAGTTTCGCTCTTGTTGCCCAGGCTGGAGTACAATGGCGTGATCTCAGCTCAAAACAACCTCTACCTCCCAGATTCAAGCGATTCTCCTGCCTCAGCCTCCAAAGTAGCTGGGATTTCAGTCATGCAACACCATGCCCGGCTAATTTTGTACTTTTAGTAGGGATGGGGTTTCTCCATGTTGGTCAGGCTGGTCTCGAACTCCTGACCTCAAGGGATCTGCCCGCCTCGGCCTCCCAAAGTGCTGGGATTACAGGCGTGAGCCACCACACCCAGCCTATATTTTTTTTCTTTTTTTTTAGACACAGTCTGACTCCGTTGCCCAGGCTGGAGTGCAGTAGCGCGATCTTGGTTCACTGTAACTTCTGCCTCCCAGGTTCAAGCGATTCTCCTGCCTCAGCCTCCCAAGTAGCTGGGATTACAGGCATGCACCACCACATCCGACTAATTTTTGTATTTTTAGTAGAGATGGGGTTTCACCATGTTGGCCAGGCTGGTCTCAAACTCCTCACCTCAAGTAATCCGCCCGCCTCGGCCTCCCAAAGTGCTGGGATTACAAGGCGTGACCCACCGGGCCTGGCCCTGTGTGTTGTTTTATGTATGTTTCTATATGTGTTATATTTCACAATAAACTAAATATTAAAACAAAGAATAACTGATAGCTATGCACAAAGGTATTTAAATTTCACCCTCACAAATAATTTTTTTTTTTTGAGACAGGATCTCACTCTGTTACCCAGGCTGGAGTGCAGTGGCACCACCTTGGTTCACTGCAGCCTTGACCTCCCAGGCCCAAGCGATCCTTCTACCTCAGCCTCCTGAGTAGCTGGGACTACAGGCACACTCCACCACACCCACCTAATTTTTGTATTTTTGGTAAAGATGGGGTTTCACCATGTTGGCCAGGCTGGTCTCGAACTTCTGGGATCAAGGAATCCTCCAACCTTGGCTTTCCAAAGTGCTGGTATTACAGGCGTGAGCCACTGTACCCGGCCAAGAATAGTTTCTTCTCCTTACCTAGGTAGAGACCTCTGCAGAAATGCTGGGAGATCTTTGGAGAGGGGAGATTTTTTAAATAAAAAATTTAATACTTGGAGGGGCGTGGTGGCTTACCCCTGTAATCCCAGCACTTTGGGAGGCCAAGGCGGACAGATCAGGAAGTCAGGAGATTGAGACCACCCTGGCTAACACGGTGAAACCCCATCTCTACTAAAAAAAATACAAAAAATTAGCTGGGCATCGTGGCGGGCGCCTGTAGTCCCAGCTACTCGGGAGGCTGAGTCAGGAGACTGGCGTGAACCTGGGAGGCGGAGCTTGCAGTGAGCCGACATCGGGCCACTGCACTCCAGCCTGGGCGACACAGCAAGACTTCGTCTCAAAAAAAAAAAAAAAAATTAATACTTTGGGATGCCAAGGCAGGTGGATCACGAGGTCAGGAGTTCAAGAACTGCCTGGCCAAGATGGTGAAACCCCGTAAAAATACAAAAATTTGCCGGGCTTGGTGGCAGGTGCCTGTAATCCCAGCTATTCAGGAGGCTGAGGCAGGAGAATTGCTTGAACCTGGGTGGCAGAGGTTGCAGTGAGCCAAGATAGCACCACTGCACTCCAGCCTGGGCAATAAGAGTCAGACTCTGTCTAAAAAAAAAAAAAAAAAAAACTGATCTAGTTCAAAACCTCACTTTGAATCCACCCACATTGCTCTAAAATACTTTCATCTTTCCTGTGGCTAAAACCTTAAAGCCTTGCCAGTAACTCCCATTGCACTTAAGGAAATCCAATCTCCCTTGTTGTGGCCCCTGAACAGGCTGCTGCTGGCCCACCACGGTGCCTCTAGTTTGTGTAAAATGCATATGTTAATTTATAATATATGAGGCTTTTTTAGCTCTAAAAGGCTATTATTCACTAGTTGCTGTGTGAATCAGTATTTCTGGGTGCAGTTAGAAATTATTAGAGTTGATGCCCAAGACTCATCTCCATCAGCACGGGGGAGGCATCTGCTCGTTTTATGGTCAGTGACTCTGGGCCTCCTGCTGGGCTAAGTCCTGAGGTGGGTCTGACTCAGGTCAGAGCTGTGCACCCCGGCCCTCCTCCTCAACGTGCATGAGTGCTCTTTAGGATGGAGCTGAACACTGGCTTCTCAAAACCACTTGGCCCCATCACAGGCCCTGAGAACTGATTGGGTCACTCTGGTGGGCTCCCCAGCCCTAGCCAAGAAGGGTTTCTCTAGGGAGCCTGGCCCCCCACTTATGAGACCTGGAGCCCCAAAGATCCTGACCAGGGGCCTGCCTCCTCCAGGGAGCGGCCACTCGCCCCCACCAAGCTCCCTTCACAGAGACCCATCCAACAGAGCTGAGGAAAACCATGCCTCATAAATGAATAAATACATAAATAAGAATGCCGGGGACCTGTGGATTTTGTAATTCCTGAAAGAAGGCAGAGTGGCTGGCTCACAGCAAGCGCAGTAGGAGATACTGCTCCCCGGCCAGGCTGTTCTCTGTCTCTTTGGAGGGAGCCCTAGGGTACAAGAAAAGCCAGAGGAGACCAGCTGGCCCAGAAGGTGCCTCTCCACCCCTTCCCCAGAGTTTCTGGGAAACAAAGCCCACCCGAGGGACACATGCCTTCTTGGGAGTTGTACCAGGCCTCCTTCCTCATCCAGCCATGCAGTGGTTTTCAGTGCCCGAAACAGATGAATAAAATAGGCCCTTTACGGGATGTTCTTCAGGAACATGCACACTTCTTTGGATCTTACCATCGTTTTATCTCTATTTAAAGTTAAATGCTGTGTTATACAGAGTATTGGTAAAGATGTAGAGCTACAAGAACTGTCAAGCTGGCAGTAGCATAAAATTGTATAAGCACATTGGAAACCTGTTTGGCAGCTTCTACTAAAGCTATATCTATGCCTACCTTCAGAAATTCCATCCTAAGCATGTACACAAGAGAAACGAGTGCATATGTCCACAAAAAGACTTATATAAGAATGTTCACTGCCATTTTTATTCATAAGAGCCCCAAATGAAAACAACCTAAATGTCCATCAACAGGAGAGTGAATAAATGGTGATACAGTCACATCATGGAATACTACACAGCCAAAAAAGAAAAATGAAGTGGTAGGAACACTCAACGACATGGGTGAATAGAGGGAGCCAGGTATGAGAGACAGTGCACAGTACCAGCCCACCTAGATGAAGCGCAGGAAGGCAGAACTGACGATGATTGAAGTCAGAAGGGTAGTTTCCTTTGTGGGAAAGTGTAGGTCAGGAAGGAGCCTTCTGGGGTACTACAAATCTGCCGTATTTTGGCTGGGTGCAACAGCTCACACCAGCACTTCGGGAGGCATAGGCGAGAGGGTCACTTGAGCCCAGGAGTTAGAGACCAGCTTGGGCAACACAGCGAGATCCCATCTCTACAAAAAAATTAAAAATTAGCGTGGCATGCTGGTGTGCACCTGTAGTCTCAGCTACTCAGGAGGCTGAGGCAGGAGGATTGCTTGAGCTTAAGAGTTTGAGGTTGCAGTGAGCTCCCAAAGTGCTGGGATTACAGGTGTGAGACACTATACCAGCCTGATTTTTAAATACTGACCAAGCCTTGTGTTACTGGGATAGGCATCACTTGGCCACGATTTACTACTCTCTTTCTTTCTTTTTTTTTTTTTTTTGAGACAGAATCTCACTCTGTCACCCAGGCTGGAGTGCATTGGTGCAATCTCAGCTCTCTGCAACCTCTGCCTCCTGGGTTCAAGCAATTCTCCTGCCTCAGCTTCCTGAGTAGCTGGGATTAGAGGTGTGCACCACCACACCTGGCTAATTTTGTTTGTTTGTTGTTTGTTTTTAGTAGAGATGGGGTTTCACCATGTTGGCCAGCCTGGTCTCCAACTCCTGACCTCAAGTGATCCACCCTCCTTGGCATCCCAATATTCCTATGATTACAGGCGTGAGCCACTGCGCCCGGCCCTATTCTGTTTCTATATTGCTAAATTTGACTTGCTAACACGTTTTTGAGGATTTTTCTGTTGATGCTCATCAGGGATGTTGGTTTGCAGTTTTCTTTCTTTGTATTATACTATCTCGTCTGGCTTTCTGTCAGGGGAAAGCTGACCTTATACAAAGTATTGGCATGTGTTCCCTCCTTTTCCATTTTCTCTAAGGGATTGTGTAGAATTAGTGTTATTTCTTCTTTAAATGTTTTTGAATCCATCTGAACCTGGAGATTTCTTTCTAAAAGATTTTACGCCGGGCACGGTGGCTCGTGCCTATAATCCCAGCACGTTGGGAGGCTGAGGCAGGTGGATCACCTGAGGTCAGGAGTTTGAGACCAGCCTGGCTAACATGGTGAAACCCCGTTTCTACTAAAAATACAAAAAATTAGTCGAGCTTGGTGGCGTGCGCCTGTAATCCCAGCTACTCAGGAGGCTAAGGCAGGAGAATCACTTGAACCTAGGAGGCAGAGATTGCAGAGAGCTGAGATTGCACCAATGCACTCCAGCCTGGGTGACAGAGTGAGACTCCGGCTCAAAAAAAAAAAAAAATTTTTTACAAATTCAATTTATTTAACAGATACAGAACTATTCAGGTAACCTGTTTGTTTCTAGGAGGATTTTCCTGGTTTGTGGCACTCGGACATTGCTTTATTTCATCTAAGTTGTCTGATTTTTAAGTGTCAAGTTTTCCTTAGTGTTCTCTTGCTAACCGTCTGAAGTCTGTGGGGCCTGCAGTGATGTCCCTTCATTCATTCCTGATACTGATAATTTGTATCTTTTCTGTTTTTTTCTTTGTCAGTTTTCCTAGAGTTTTTCAATTTTGTTGATCTTTTCAAAGAATGATCTTTAAGTTTCATTAATTTTTCCCTTCTTTTTTTGCTTTCAATCTCATTAGTTTCTGCTTTTATCTTGGCATTTGTTCCTTTGGCTTGTTTTGCGTTCACTTTGCTCTTTTTCTGGTTTCTTAAGGTGGAAACTTAGATTGCTGATTTAGACCTATCTTTTTTGTAATATATAATGATTTGATGCTATAAATTTTCCTCTAAGCAGTGCTTTAATTAAACCCACAAATTTTGGTGCATTTTCATTTATGTTCAAAATATTTTCTAATTTCTTTTGAGAATTGTTCTTTGACCCATGGATGATGATGATGATTATTATTATTATTATTTTTCTTCAATACGGAGTTTCACTGTTGTTGCCCAGGCTGGAGTGCAATGACATGATCTCGGCTCACTGCAACCTCTGTCTCCTGGGTTCAAGCGATTCTCCTGCCTCAGCCTCCTGATTAGCTGGGACTACGGGCACCCGCCACCATGCCCGGCTAATTGTTTTGTATTTTCAGTAGAGATGGGGTTTCTCCATGTTGGCCAGGCTGATCTTCAACTCCTGGCCTCAGGTGATCCCCCCAACTTGGCCTCCCACAGTGTTGGGATTACACGCGTGAGCCAGTGCGCCCGGCCTGACCCATGGATTATTAAGTATGTTGTTTTATTTTGAAGTGTTTGCAGATTGTTTTGTTAATGATTTCTAGTTTAATACCATTGTGATTGGAGAACAAACTGCATATGATTTCATTTCTTTTAAATTTGTTAAGATTTATGTGTCAGGTTATGTTCTCAGTGAACATTCTGTATGTGCTTAAAAAGTATATGTATGGTCTGTATATGTATGGTCTGTATATACATATATGTATACATATATGTGTAAAAAGTATATGTATGGTCTGTATGTGCTTAAAAAGTATATGTATGGTCCAGCACTTTGGGAGGCCAAGGCAGGCAGATCACAAGGTCAGGAGATCGAGACCATCCTGGCTAACAGGGTGAAACTCCGTCTCTACTAAAAATACAAAAAAAATTACCCGGGCATGATGGCGGGCGCCTGTAGTCCCAGCTACTTGGGAGGCTGAGGCAGGAGACTGGCTTGAGCCTGGGAAGCAGAGCTTGCAGTGAACTGAGATCGTGCGACTGCACTCCAGCCTGGGCGACAGAGCTAGACTCCATCTCAAAAAAAATAAAATTTAAAAAAAGTATATGTAAAGTGTATGTATGGCCGGGCACGGTGGCTCACGCCTGTAATCCCAGCACTTTGGGAGGCCAAGGCAGGTGGATCACGAGGTCAGGAGATCAAGACCATCCTGGCTGACATGGTGAAACCCCATCTCCACTAAAAATAAAAATTAAAAAAATAATAATAATTAGCCAGGCGTGGTGGTGAGCACCTGTAGTCCCAGCTACTCAGGAGGCTGAGGTAGGAGAATGGCGTGAACCCAGGAGGCAGAGCTTGCAGTGGGCTGAGATCCCGCCACTGCACTCTAGCCTGGGCGACAGAGCGAGACTCTGTCTCAAAAAAAAAAAAAAAAAGTATATGTATTTTGCTGTTGTTGGGTGAAGTGTTCTATAAATTAGATCCAGTTTATTGAAGGTGTTCTACAGTTCTCCTAGATTTTTGCCGATTACTTGTTCTCTCACTATGAAAGGTATTGTGTGTGTTATATGTGTCTAACAATTCATTGTCTAGTTAGAGTTGCTATTATACCACTTCAAGTGGATGGAGAGCCTCACTGCCATCCATTAATGTGCATTAATCATTTTGAGAGTGAAAAGATTTTTTAAAATGTTTTTACTTTTTTAGGTATGGCCAAGTGAGATGGGGCTAGTGAAATGGGTGGGAGAATTGGAAGCTGATAGTGTGTGAGCTAGACACCCATGAATGCTTTTCCACTGGGCAGTTAGAGGGATGATAGGTAATAATATAAGGCAGCTCCATCACACAAGCTGGTGACTCCTGTGCGACAGACCAAGAGCTGCATTTGGAGATTCATTTCCGATTGTTGCGTTTCCTCTTAGAGCATTGCTTGGTCATCGTGTTCTGAGTGGTCCATTGGCCTCCATGTCCCTTTTGGGGTGGATATTTGCTCAGTGACTTTTGAGCAGCTGGATCTCCTGCTTCGGCAGGTGAGTGAGGGGATGGATGGCTCCGCGGACTGGCCCCCGCCCCAGGAGAAAGAGTGCGTGGCCGTGGCAACGTTGAATCTTCCCCGACTTCAGGTATTCGTGATTTCCCTTCCTCTTGCTCCTTTTATAAGTGTCTTAGCGATTTGTAAGAAGGTTTATGTATTCTGAAGGACATAGGTTTTAGCCTGTTGGGGGAAGTATTTTAAAGTAAGATTGTAATGCACTAATAATGGACGCAAGGCTTAAAAAACTTGATCTGTTTATTTTATGTTTGTCCTGGAAGTCAGCCTCGGCATGCAGGAAGAGTGTATATGGATTGTGTTATTTTTGCTATAATCATTAGTTTGTTGGTATTCTTACTGTTTTACTGTTGGTGCGTGTGGAGAAATGACTGGGTGAGATCACAGGTGATGGAGAGAGACAGAGCTCAGCTGAGAGACCAGTGCTGGCCTGTCTCTCCTCTGTCCTGTGAAAACCCTGCTCCAGGAGGGTCCAGTCTTTTGGTTTCCCTGGGCCACACTGGAAGAAGAATTGTCTTGGGCTACACATAAAATACACTTATGATAGCTGATGAGCTTAAAAAAAAAATCCCAAAAATATCTCATGATGTTTTAAGAAATTTTACTTTGGGCCACATTCAAAGCTGCCCTGGGCCACATGCTGCCCTCGGGCCGTGGGTTGAACAAGCTTGATCTACTCAGTAAGCTCGGCTCCCAAAGCAATACCTTCCTTTCCTCACCATGAAGGCTGTGGTTAGGGTCACAATAAAAGCTACAAAAGCCTTCCTCCCTAGCAAAACTAAAGCTGAAGTGTTTGATCATCATCTTTTGTCTTTGTAATAAAACCCTCTAACTTAATGACAAGAACCACGGTTTTCTCGACATAGTAATTTTTCCCTTTTATTACAGTGGTTTCTTGTAACAACCCGTCATGTCCCTCTTCCAGCCCCTCCCCTTTTTGCCCTGCTTCTAGAATGTACAGAACTGAGTGTAGTGTTTAGTTGCAGTAATGAACTGAGCAGAGGTCTGGAGCATGCTTCTCCTCTAGTCCTCTGTAGCACTCATTTATCACCATACCTGTGGCATCCTGGCGTTTGCGTGGTTGCGCCCCAGGTGTTTGCTGCCCCTCCTGGTTTGCGGTGATGTGTCTGTTCTGGTCAGTGCTGTGGGGCGTGGCCTTGCGTATGTCTTAGGCTGTCGAGGTGTCCCAGCGTATGGTTTTGCATTTGCCTCTCCGGGGTCCTGAGGGTTCTGTAGGTTTCACAGACTCCAGGTGAGTTTCGGTGGTCATTTCCTGACCTGTGATATCTATACCTAGATGAGTGGTGTGCTTTTGATTTCACTTCTACTCACAGGGCAAGGCCGGGTCTCTGATTTCTCATGGGGCCTCTTGCTACCCAGAGCCTGGGACGGGCAGTGTGTTGCCCCCTGGCTGCGGTTGGCTGGCAGGCAGGTGATCCTGAGTGGCTCCCAGCCTTCTGCAGGAAGCTCGGGTTCAGTGGGTCCTTGTGTGCATTCCCGTGTGGGAGGTTGTGCTGAAGCCTGGCGGCTTGGCTCTGCTTTCAGAGCCCGGAACCTCTTGACTCCTGCTGTGTGTGCCCATGTGAATTTTGGTTTTGCACTTGAGGAGTTTCCCTGTGTACTCTCAGCTCCGCAGTCTAATTTTTAGCAGCTCTTTTTTTTTTTTAGACAGGGTGTCACTTTGTCACCCAGGCTGGAATGCAGTGGTACAGTCTTGGCCTGCCAGGTTCCAGTGATTCTCCTGCCTCAGCCTCCCAAGTAGCTGGGACTACAGGTGTGTACCATCACACCCGGCTGATTTTTTTATAGAGATGGGGTTTCATCATGTTGGCCAGGCTGATCTTGAACTCCTGATCTCAAGTGAGCTTTCCCGTCGGCCTCCCAAAGTGCTGGGATGACAGGCATGAGCCACCGCCTGTGGCAGCTTTTGTGGTTACATTGTAGCCATTATTTCTGTGTTTGGTGCAGATTGTTGGGGCGGGGTGGAGGTTGCTGTTGCTAGTTGTTTAGCTCTTCTGCTCATCTTGAGCTTTTCCATATATATGTTCATAGCGGGGTTAAAAAAAATTCCTCTAGAAAATATTTCAACTATTGTGGGTAAGAGTTTTTTTAGTCCAGTTTTTAAAAATACGTAAACTGAGAAGTTATTTTGTCTATTTAAATAATACTTCAAATTGACTTTTATTCAGTGTTTAATAAGACTTTGAAATTCACTCATTTTTAGGGGTTCTAAGTGAAAATTGTTTTTCTCCTTTCAGTTGCATGCTGCCATTAGTCACCAGGTTGACCTGGAATTCCTTGGTTTAGGTCTGGGCAGCGTCTTCCTGAACAGCCTGAAGCAGAAGGTGGTGACCCTGGCAAGCAGCGCAGACGTGCTGAGCACCGTGCAGTCGGCCTCCCAGGCCATGCTGCAGAGCGGCTGGTCCATGCTGTTGCCCACCGCTGAGAAGCAGGCCCGGGCACTCTGCTCTCCTGTCCTGTGGAGGTGGGCTCGGGGAAGGAACAGGAGAGGGCATGGGTCAGGGTGCTGGGAGGGGATGGCGTTTCACTCAAATTGGCACAGACTTTCTATTTCAGTTTCAGGCAATGAAGTGAACATAAGTCCAGGTCATCGATTGGTGATTGATCTTCTGGTGGGCAGCTTGATGGCTGATGGAGGGTTGGAGTCAGCCTTACACGCAGCCATTACTGCAGAGATCCAGGTATGGCCTTGGAGGCACACGTGACCTGGTGGTGGGCTGAGATCGGAAATACCACACTCACACATGTGAAGAATAACTGAAAACAGTAAAACACTAAACTTATATCCAAGTATTTTTTTAAATTAAAATTCTTTTATGTGCTAATTTTAAAAATTATTGAGATGATTTGTGATAAAATACTGCATGTTGTCTGTTTCAGTGAAGTTAACAGGTAACCTGTTCCTCATGTAGACCATTCCCGTCACCCGGAAAGATCCCTGTGCTCCTTGGCACTTGCAGCCAGGATACTCCCCTGCCCTGAGATTAGATTCATTTTTCCTGCTCTGAGTGTCGCAGCAATATAACTGTATAGTATGCACTCTTTCCTGCTTTGCCTTGGAGAATGATTTTCAGATTCACTCACTGTTGTGTGTATTGCGACTTCGTTTTTATTATTGGGAAGTTTTCCATTTTATAGGTGTAGTACTGTTTGTTAGTTCATTCTCCTATTGAAGGACATGTAATTGTTTTTGGTTTTTGTTTTCTTTTTTTTTTTTTTTTTTTGAGACAGGGTCTTGCTCTGTCACCCAGGCTGTATACAGTGACCTGAGGTTGGCTCACTGCAGCCTTGTCCTCCTAGGCTCAAATGATCCTCCCACCTCAGCCTCCTGTGTTGCAGGGACCACATACATGTCACCATGCCCGGCTAGTTTTTTGATTTTTTTGTAGAGACAAGGTTTCACTGTGTTGCAAGGCTGGTCTTCAACTCCTGGGCTCCAGTGATCCCCCCACCTTGGCCTCCCAAAGTGTTGGGATTACAAGCGTGAGCCACCGCGCCCAGGCTTTCTGGTTTTTGGCCGTGTAGAGCTGCCACAATTGTGCTGTGAACAAGTACTTTAGTGAACATATGTTCTCCCTTTGGATAAACACTTGGAGTGGAATTTGTTAGGTCCTGGGGTAAGTGTGTGTTCATAGTTTCCCAAAGTGGCTTTGCCATTTGCATTTGAACCAGGACTTTTGTGTGTGAGAATTCTAGCTCCTTCTTGTCCTTACAGAGCAGCTGGATGCTGCGTGTGTGGAGCCGATCACATTGGGTTTTGTGTGAGCCATTAGCAGGGTTAAGGATTTTAGGGACTTCACAGAAGGAGGCTGGAGAGCATCAGCAGAGGCAGCCTGGACCTTGGATCTGTAAAAAGAAGACACTGTTTGAAACTGCACAAATGAGTTGGGGTTTCCAACAGGGCAGGTGGGGGGCCTGTGGGTGGATGGGTGTGGCAGCCACAGAGGCTGGGATAGCTTGGCACTGGGGTCAGGGCTCAGCCAGCCTGTGTGCCTTCACACCTGGTAATGAGATCACTTGTAAACAATTTCTGTTTGTCAATTACAGGATACAAAAAAAGAAGCACGGAAGGAAAAAGAAATTTATGAACAGGAGGCAAATGCCTCAACATTTCATAGAAGGAGGACTCCATTGGATAAAGACCTTATTAATACGGGGATCTGTGAGTCTTCTGGCAAACAGTGTTTGCCTCTGGTTCAGCTCATACAACAGCTTCTTAGGTAAATCATATTAGCTGTATTGTATTGTGTTTTATTTATTTACTTTTTTTTTTTTGAGACAGAGTTTCGCTCTTGTTGCCCAGGCCGGAGTGCAGTGGTGCGATCTTGACTCACTGCAACCTCCGCCTCCCAGGTTCAAGTAATTCCTCTGCCTCAGCCTCTCGAGCAGCTGGGATTACAGGCATGCGCCACCATGCCCCACTAATTTTGTAGTTTTATTAGAGACAGGGTTTCTTCATGTTGGTCAGGCCGGTCTTGAACTCCCGACCTCAGGTGGTCCATCCACTTTGGCCTCCCAAAATGTTGGGATTACAGGCATTAGCCACCACGCCTGGCCTATTTATTTACTTATTAATGGTGTTTTTTGTTTTTTGTTTTTTTTTTGAGATGGAGTCTTGCTCTATCGTCCAGGCTGGAGTGCAGTGTCACGATCTTGGCTCACTGCAACCCCCGCCTCCTGGGTTCAAGCTATTCTCCTGCCTCAGCCTCCCGAGTAGCTGGGACTACAGGCGTCTGCAACCACACCTGGCTGATTTGTGTATTTTTAGTAGAGATGGGGTTTTACCATATTGGTCAGGCTGGTCTCAAATTCCTGACGTCAGGTGACCCACCTGCCTTGGCCTCTCAAAATGTTGGGATTACAGGTGTTAGCCACTGTTCCCGGCCTGTATTGTATTTTAATAGGTGATTATTGGTTTTCATATTAAGATAGTGAAATCTAGCGCAAGGGTCTCAAAAATTTGTTTGATGATTGAAGGAATATTCTGAAAATTACCTAGTATAGATGTTAGGATAAAGAGCAGACCCTTCTCAATATAGGTGAGAGGAGAAGTTGGAGGGTGTGATGATACTCAGAAGTTTTTCACAGAAGAGAAATTGGGGCGTGCAGTAAACATGTAAAAAGATTCTTACTAATAAGCAGGTAGGTGCGAATGAAAATCATCATGGAAGGTTATTTTTAAAACTGGTTCTATCATTGCCTCACTTTACATATTACAGAGTTGTACCTACTACTTTGTAAGATAACTTTTCTTTTCAAAACTGAAGTCAATGTGATAGAATGGTGAGCATTATTTTGGAAGGCCAGACTAGGAGGAGGTGGGAGGAGGAAGTCAGACTCAGCCTGTGAACAGACGCTAACCTTGGCAGAAGCCAAAACAGTCAGACAGTGTTGTGTAAAAATGATCATTCAAGAAGAGCGAAACAGCAAGGTGATTTGTGAAAGAGATTTATTAGAAAATGAAACACATTTATACCTCTGTTCAATAAAAATCTGCTTTTCGTCAACTGATGCTCCTGGTTTTTGTTTCTACACATAGAGAAAGCAGAGCCCTGGCAGCTTGGGTCAGGCAGCCGAGTACAGACCAGGGAGCCCTGGGCAGTGGCTGCAGCTCTCAGCTGGCCTGTTCATGGGGCCATGGTGGGTCTGTGGCGTGGGGTGGGCCCGTGGCGTGGGGTGGGCCCGCGGCGTGGGGTGGGCCCGCGGCGTGGGGTGGGCCCGCGGCATGGGGTGGGCCTGCTGTCCACAGCCAGCAAAACTAACTTAGTGCACACACAGTGAAATTTTGAAACAGGAAGTTTTAGAGCTAGTTTCTGTCATAGATTTTAGTAAATGCTATTTTGCAAAACCTTTTTCTGATGTTTGTTTTGTTTTTCTAATCTGATAATGCATATTTCACACATTCTGGTCTTTAACAAATGGAAATAAAGAGAACTAAACAATATAGTTTGTGTCGATGGAAAGAGCTTGGGATTTGTTCTCAGAAAATTTCAGTTACAACAGTTTGTTCATATAGGTGGACTTCCAACACAGTAACTATAGGAGTAAGAATAAAAGCTGTGTTTACTTTCACAGAGTTAATTAAGAATACATGAGAAAATGGATGTTAAAAACCTTGTAATTAAAATGTACAGTTACATGCAAAGTTTTAAAGTGAGCATTTTCCAGAGGTGCTTTTCTAAGTTCTTGAATGCCTCTCCCTTTTCTGAAGTGGCTGCTTCGTGGGGCTGTTGGTCTTTGGCAGGGGGTGAGTGCAGGGTTCCTGTTGTGGGTCCTTTGTTCTCACGAGGGCAGTGCCCGTTTTCCCCGTCTCCTGCTTGCCCAGACTGTTCCCGTGCGCAGAGAGACTGGCCTGTTTGACCTGCAGCTGTGCTGTTTGAGCTGCAGCTGTGTAGCCTGCGCTGGCCCATCTGGCTACACTCAACACCGTTTGCTGATCAGCACTTGAAGTCTGTCCGTCATAGCTGAGACACTGAATATTTTATCTGTTTAATTTTTATTCATTAAAATGCAGGTTTGAAAATTTGATTCTGTTATTAGAAAGCACTTAAGTATGTTTAGAATCACTTGGCCTTGGGAGTCTACTTTGTCAACTGTGTATTTTATGAGTCTAAATGGAGATCAGATGTTTTCAATGCAAATTTCACGGTCCAAATTGAAATGTGTTACATATGTAAGCTACTCAGATGGTTTTTGAGGACTTAATATGAAATAACCTATGTAAAATATCTCAATAATTTTTCTTAGATTGATTTCATGTTGAAATGGTCATATTTTTGATCTGTTGGAATAACTATGATACATTATTAAAATTATTTTTATTTTTTAAGATGGAATCTTACTCTGTTGACCAGACCGGAGTGCAGTGGTGCAATCTTGGCTCACTGCAACCTCCGCCTCTTGGGTTCAAGTGATTCTCCTGCCTCAGCCTCCTGAGCAGCTGGGACTACAGGACTACAGACTCCCGAGCAGCTGGGACTACCACCACGCCTGGCTGATTTTTGTATTTTTGTAGAGACAGAGTTTCACCATGTTGGCCAGGCTGGTCTCGAACTCCTGACCTCAAGTAATCTGCCCGCTTTGGCTTCCCAGAGTGCTGGGATTACAGGCATGAGCCACTGCAACCAGCCATTAGTACAATTAATTTTATGTGTTGTTGTTTTTCTTGTTGGTGTGTTTTTTTTTTTTTTTTACTTTTGTTAATGTGACTAAGAACAATTTTTTTTCCCCACCCGGAGATGGATCCTCACTCTGTTGCCTGGACTGGAGTGCAGTAGCACGATCTCAGCTCACTGCAGCCTCTGCCTCCTGGGTTCAAATGATTCTCCTGCCTCAACCTCCTGAGTGGCTGGGACTAACAGAAGCATGCCACCATACCTGGCTGATTTTTGTATTTTTAGTAGAGATGGGGTTTCACCATGTTGGCCAGGACGGTCTTGAACTCCCAAACTCAGGTAATCTGCCCACCTCAGCCTCCCAAAGTGTTGGGATTACCGGCGTGAGCCACCGCACCTGGCCATGTTTATTAATACGACTAAGAACATTCTGAATTGCACCTGTGGCTCCATTGGTGTCCTGGGCAGGTGGCTCTGTGCTGTCCACACAGGTTGTCTCCTGTGTCTTCGTCTTCGCTGCGTGTGACTTTTTGGTTCCTGTGGCACGTGGGGTCCTGTATGGGACATTGGTTCTACAGCAGATTTATAGTAAGGATGTACCTACTAAAAAATACAAAATAGAAAGAATAGACACAAACATAGAAATAAGTATCACCTCACAAAAATTTTGGAAAGTAGAAAAAGAAAAATGCATTCGCAGCTTTCCAGTAGCCGATATCCAGGCTGTCTTCATAAGCATGGATCATGTGTCCCTCTCCCGCATGGGTAGACACTGTTTTCTCACCTTAAGTGTTTGTGAGTGAAGGATTCTTGATGTGTTGACTTGGCAGATGCAGTTGTTGAACAGTAGTTTATCTAAAGATCGTAAGAGACTTTTGGAGACATTTCATGTCCTTTTTTCCCTTGGAAAACGTGAGTTGGAGAAATCGCTGCTTGCCAAAAATAAGCCGTGAAACGTATTTCAGAGTAGATCGTTATTTACTTGCTGGCGAGGAGCCACAGAATACCATTTACATTTGAAAATAGAGCGCTGCAAAGTTTTTATAAGTAGTGAATCCCATCAGAATTACACATTTTGATTATGGCTCTAAATTTTATATTAAATAAACTAAAAATTTCATTGTATTGTATTACCGTCTCTTGCTCCTTCAGGTGTAGCATACATGCTAGATTCTAGACCTGTTTCTTGTGTTACAGTGGTGTTATCCAGGCAGGGTATCATGTAGTGAAGGTGATGTCGAGTGGTGGTGGTGAGCCCAGTGAAGGCGCATCCTTGCCGTGTGTGATGAGGGCCTGTGGGTTGCTATGGGATTCCCCAACCCTGGCTCCTCTGTCTCCTGCTTCTGTCCTTACTCACACTGCTGGTAGTTTTCTGGTGTGAGACACGGGGGCAAGTGGGATTGACAAGCCTGCTGTCACATTAGGAACCTGAGTTAAAGTGGAGCTGAAAGCATGTCCTCGCTCTTGATGTTGTGCAGAGAGCCACCTGTGCTCCTGGCTCAACGGGGCGGGTGTGGTGGGTCTGGAACCAGGCCCTGGTTTGGCTCTCCTCCCCTCCATGTTCCCCTGTCCTGTCTGATTTGCTTCACACTGACATAAGAGTTACTTTCCCTCGGCCTCCCAAAGTGCTGGTATTACAGGCATTAGCCACCGCGCCCAGCTAGCATCCTTTCAAGTACTGGGGTACACCCAAGCTCCCAGCTTCTAGCTAGGAGTCATTTTGTCCCTCTTTATCCCAAAGGACTTGCCACCATCTTTGGTTCCCAAAGCCCAGGAGGGTCCAGGCTCTTCAGCCTCCAACCACTTTGCATTTCTTGTCTGCTTTTCGTTCATGGAGATAATTAACTTATTTTTCAGCCTGGGCATGTCTTTTTTATTTACTTTATTTTTTATTTTTATTTTTTGAGATGGAGTCTCACTCTGTCGCCCAGGCTGGAATGCAGTGGCGGGATCTCATTTCACTGCAGCCTCTGCCTCCCGGGTTCAAGTGATTCTCCTGCCTCAGCCTCCTGAGTAGCTGGGACTACAGGTGTGCACCACTATGCCCAGCTAATTTTTACATTTTTAGTAGAGACAGGGTGTCGCCATATTGGCCAGGCTGGTCTCGAACTCCTGGCTTCAAGTGATCCTCCTGCCTCAGCCTCCCAGAGTGCTGGGATTACAGGCACGACCACCGCACCCAGCCTTTATTTACTTTGTATATCTCATCTATTACTGCTGCAGTTTGCAGAAGAGAGGATGCCCTCAAACCTAACTTCTCCAAACCATCCCAAATGGGAAGTCTGCTCCACGTCAACAGCATTGTTGCTTTTAAAGACTATACGTCAACATGGCAGATTATAGCAAAAGGATGTCGAGGGAGCAATAGGAAAGCAAGCCTGAGAGTCCTGGAGAGAAGGTGGCAGAGCTGCCTTTTGAAGGTGGTTCCTTCCTCAGACCCTGCCCTTCCTGCCTTGTTCCTCCAGTTGCCAGATTTGCTGTTGGAGCTCCTCCACGGGCGAAGAGGTGAGGCTGGACTGAGAGGGAGATGGAGAAGCTGCCAGAGATTCTTTTGGATCTAGAATTGAGACAGCAGTTCCAGCCAGGTCCAGAGGTGGGGGCTGTCACCCAGCCCCCAGGGGAATGGTACTGATTGCAGAATGTGGCGAGAACTCCCTGGCTGGGAGAGGGAGGTGCTTGCTCCCTTGAATCACCTGAGCCCAGGCTGGAAGGCCCAAGGGGGAGGACGAGGCCAGCTCACTCCAGCTCCATCCCCTCCCTTTAACCCTAAGCTAGTTAACCCTCCCAGACTCCAGTCCTTTTTCCTAAGTGCCCTCCCTGCAAAGTCTGCACCGAGCAGCGCTCCCTCGCACCAGCTCACCCTGCACTGTCTTGTCTTTCAGCAACCCCATGGGTTTGAACTTGAGACGATTCATTTTCCTAAAAGCCTCTTTGGGCTGAGGGAAGGCATGGGTGGCTCTGCCAGTTTTGGAGTGGGGGCCGACTCTTCTCAGAGCCGCTGCAAGGGCCAGGGCCACCCTCCCAGGCGGGTGTCTCTGGGCTGGGCAGCAGCTTTGTAGGCAGCCTGGGTCATCCCCACTGGCCTGGGAAGCTGGGGGTGCACCGGCTCCTGCTCCTGATAGGGCCAAGGCACCTTCCTTACCTAAGAGCTGACTTTCTTGAAGAGTGGGCACAGAGGAGCCGGCAACCTGGGCTGTGTAGGCACCCAGGAGAAAATCTGCAGCTCAGTATCAGAAGTCTCCACCAGCACGGCTGTTGCAGAGATGGGGAAACTGGGCTGAGAGGGAAGGGGGCTTGCCCAAATCACCAGCCCTGGAATGTTTTGAGCTTTGGGGGTGGATCTCCCAGGAAACGTGTTTTATGGCACCACCGCCTCTGGTCACCCACCCCGAGGTGTGGCGGGCCTGGACAGCCAGCTTGACTGAGGGCCAGGCTGGTGAAGTCAAAACTACCACTCAGGAAGAAGACCTAGCCCTTCTCCAGACAGAGTTCAAATGTGAGGACTGCCTTCTTTGGGCCTCAAATTCCCCACGTGAATTCCAAGGACCCCTCTAGCTCCTACACTCTGGGCCAAGGTTTCCTCTGAGCCGCAGTCAGCCTAGAGGACCTAGGATACATCTTCCTTGGACAGAGACCCACCATAGGGGCAGCAGGAGGTAGGGGTGGGGGTAGGCAAGATTCCTGTGGGGAGGTGGAGCTGTCATCAGAGATGGTGTCTGCAGGCAGTGGGTGTATCGTGGCTCTGCTACTACTTGCTGGGTGGCCCCATGACGTTTCTTTCCCCACTCTGACCTCAGTTTCCCTATCTGTTCTGTGGAGATAAGATGCCTGCCTACATATTTGTGGACTGGGATGTGTGTGGGCCAGTTGCAGTGTTTCTTGGTGTGGTCCTGGGGCAGGCTGCACCACCCCATAGAGATTTCTGGGCCCCACCCTAGGCTCACAGGACCAGAATCTCTGGGAATGAAGCCTGGGAATTTGCATTTCCACAGGCATCTGGCTGATTCTGACATGACTGAAAAGCACTAATAGTATATAGCAAGCTCTTTATAAAAGGTAAATTCATAGCTGCCTTTTACTAAACATAAATCTTACCTTCCCTTCCTCAGTTAAGGACACACACCGCAGTTGAAAATCACTGTGCCTTTCCAGATGCAGAGTCTGACCTTTCCGATAAGATTCTGTTAACTGCTGCTTTCTGCAGTTTGTATTCCAAAACAAGGGGAATATGTTTCCATTTTTTCAATACAAATGTTTAAGTCGGATATGCTTTCTCAAACTGGACACACACTCACACAGCTTAGGGTTTCAGCTATGGCTTCCTCTCAAATTATTAGCCTCTTTCTGCCAGGGAGCAGTTTTTCCCAGACAAGACCCTGGACAGAGGTTGGTGGGGCCCTCCTCATCAGAATCACTAGATTATGACTGACCCCTAGAGGTGGCTTTTCTGCTTAAGTGTCAGCCCATGGGCTGGGTTGTGACCCCCAAAGCTGCGGCAGAAGCTTCCACCCATCCTGGGTCCCCCCTGCCATCTATGGGGAAAGGCCTGTCCCTTGTCTTCTGGGCCCAGCCGGCCTCACAGGCATTCAGCAGATTGGAAAGTCGAAGCATGTGCTGTGCTTGGCTGGGCTCTCCTGCGCCCCTTTTTGGGGTGAGGTGGAGTGCATCCAGCCCCCGGCATCCCTGCCGTTTATTCCCACCCCTCATCCCCACCCCCATACACACTCACAAGTACAAACACAAGCACAGTCACTGGCACACACCACTCTGGACAGCACCATTTCCAGCCTCAGCGGGGCAGTTTCCTTACAGGGAAGTTAATGAGGCACTAACGAAGGCTCAGGGGACAGGGGGAACCTCTATCGAGAAGAGGCTCCTAGACCTGGTTCTGCCTCTGAATTGCTGGGGGTCCTTGAGAAAGTTGCTATCCCTCTCTGGTCTCAGTTTCCTCAGGTGAGAAATGGGGGGCCGGCCAAATGGTCTAAGGTTCTGGGAACCTCTAAATCAGAGCCCGTAGCTGGTGGTCAAGATGAGGGAGAGGCCCTCAGGGTCAGCCGAATGCCTGAGAGGCAGGACAGGCCCAAAGGTGAGCAACGTGAGCACATCAGGTGGGCTCAGAGCTGGCGCATGAGCCCCACAGCCTGCAGAGCAGCCCTGTACTCGGGAGCCCGCTCACACCCACCCAGTGGGACTTCAGAGATGTGGGGTCCAGCCTTTCCTACTATTGCTGGGCTGAGGGCTGGGAGCTGCAGATTCTGACCCCACAGCTGCCTTAGACATGCCAGATGGTCTGGGGCAAGACACACCCCTCTCTATGAAATGAGCAGCCAGTCCAAATAGGTACATTAGAGAAGGGCTGTGGGATGGACCCAGCTGTAGCCTGGGGCTACAGACTGGCTTCCGGGGTACTCAAGCAGCTGGCCTCTGGGGTAGCAGCCCCAGGTATGAGAGGCAGGACTCAGAATCTAGGCCAAGCCTCCATAGGAATCCCCTCTGGAGAGCCCGGGCACTCTGCAGGAGGGGCAGCAGGCAGCAGGTGCACCAGGAGCATGTTTCACAAGGTGCCCAATATCGCATCTGCTCAGATAGGCAGCGAGTTGGAAAGTGGATGCAATAGGCAGGGTGGCGGCTGCTCCCCACAGCCAGGAGTCCGGCCCAGCACCCACCTGAGTCCGCCTCAGTCCTGCTCAATTGGGTTATCCGTGCTCTTGGCCCTCTGGTCCCACCCACAGAGGGAGGTCTTTGGGGCGACCAGGTGAGCTGGCCCTTGTGGGAGGATGTAACTGACTCCTGAGCCTGGCGAGCCAGGCAGCCCCTCGCCAACATCCCCACCCCTACCTCTCCAGCCCCCCCGCATTCCCTGATCCTCCCATCCGCTCCCCTGACCCAGCAGTTGCCTCTGCTCACTCTCTTTTCCTGCTCCCAGGCTCGCCTGGTCATGTGTCCTTCACTCTCCTCTGAGTCTCCCTCTTTCCAAGCCGCCTCCACTCTACTTGACACACTCTCCCTTAAGACACCAGAGTACACAAGCGCAAGTCCCTGCACCTCACCTTTACTCCCAGACATGGGAGGGAGATGACATGAAGACCCAAACGCCACTTAGCAGGAGATCTGGGGTATGCAGAGGGGCAGAACGGAGGCTGTGGAAGCTCCAGGGGCTCCCTGCAGGAGGCCACATGTAAGCTGGCTATTGAATGTGGCTCTGAGCTGAGACCTCTCCTTGAAGCTCCAGACCAGGAGCCAGCTGCTAGCTGGACCCCTCCATTTGGTGCCTCAGAGAAACTTTGCACTCTGTAGGTCTAACTTTGAACCCAGAAAATTCCCCCATGTCGGCCCTGTCTCTTCACAGGGAAAGCACCACCTCAGACCCAGTTCTGCACCAAACCCACATTTGAGTCACGAGGCTCCTGCCCTGCACTGTGAGCACTCTGGATAAGCCAGTGCTGAGGGGGAAAGAGCTCTGAATGCCAAGCCAAAACATGAGCTTCAACTCCACCTCCAGCTCTGAGAGCTGTGGGTAGGGAAGGGCCCTCGTCCAGTTTGCTGTAGAAAGATCAGTCTGCCACTGTATGGCACATGGATGGCAGGGGCAGAGTGTGGGTGGAGAGAATAGAAGGTGGGCAGGGCGGGGGAGGCAGGGACATGGCTGTAGCCGTGGAGATGGGAGGACAGACAGGACTTGGTGGCCACTTGGGTGAACCAAGGGAGGAGTCAGGAAGAGACACCCAGTTTTGTATCAGATGTGTAGAGCGTGGGATGCTGTTCATTGACGGAGGGAGGAGGAGGAGGAAGAGATATGGCATGGGGAGGAGGTAGCTGAGCTCTGTCGTGAATGTCATTTGAAGTCCCCAGGGAAAGCCAGGCCGGCCAGCACCTTCACTGCTTCAGCCAGCTCTCAGGGTGTCTGTGCTCCCTGGCCCTCTCAGCTCCTGCTTCATAGCTGTCAGCTGCAGTGGGAGACAGCTGCACAAGGGCCCAGCATGTCTGTGTGTTTACCCAGGGGACTGCCGCATGGCCCATGCCGAGCAGAAACTGATGGACGACCTTCTGAACAAAACCTGTTACAACAACCTGATCCGCCCAGCCACCAGCTCCTCACAGCTCATCTCCATCCAGACGGCGCTCTCCCTGGCCCAGTGCATCAGCGTGGTAGGTGCAGAGGGTACCTGTGGCTCAGGCTCAGGTGAAGAGGAAGCTCATGCCCAAGCCCTAAGCAGTCAATGTCCAGAGGAATGAAATGACTAGAGTTGACTTAGACTCACCGGTACACGGTGGGGAGGCTGGAGGAGGGTCCATGAGGTTTATAGGTGTCCAGTATTTAATGAGGTCATGGTTTTGTTAACAAAGAAGAAATGAGGGTGGGAGCGAGATCACCACTGGCTAGGCAGCCAATGGGCCTGCATAGACTCTGCTCAGCTGAGTCTCCAGCACGACCATGAGCTTCTCCTCCTCATCCTCCCAGCCCCACCCTACTCTCTCCCCCAGCTTGCTCAACAGGTGACCTTATAGGCTCCCTACTCTTTGCAGGGAATAAGAACCAGACTGGGGGAACTGACGGGTACAGAGGCCCAGGTGTAGGCGCAGGACCACAGGCAGTGAAGCGTCTACTGACCCAGGCGGGTGAGGGTCTGGAGAGTGGGCATGGCTGCTGCAGGCATGGAAAGCAGGCACAGATGGCGGCACTCCCAGGGCCCATTGTCAGGGTCTCCACATGTGGACATGTGCAGAGGTGGGGGTGCTGAGGGAGGAGGGGCAGGGAATTTCTCATCTTCTCTCTACTGCCTCTGAGTTGGAGATGTCAGAGGGAGCCATGGCCCACTGTAAAGTAACACAATGTCCCCACCCACAGGATTAGAACCCCTCCCCTGGAAGCAGCTCTGAGGGGAACAGTCACATGTAGAGAGTGCAGGGCACTGTGTCC
This sequence comes from Homo sapiens, assembly GCF_000001405.40. Classification (NCBI taxonomy): domain Eukaryota; kingdom Metazoa; phylum Chordata; class Mammalia; order Primates; family Hominidae; genus Homo; species Homo sapiens. The sequence goes on from NW_011332701.1 coordinate 480,846, forward strand.
AGCCGGGGGAAGGAGGTCACCAAGGGGGTTGACCCCCCTCTGGCCAGGTGGCTACCTTCTGACACACCAGCCTCTGTCTCTAGCACGGTGGCCCCCACACACCCAGCCTGTGAAACCTACAGCCCTCAAGAAGGCTTTGGCCAAATTAATGAGCGGCTCCCTCTCCCAGGAGGAAGCACGGGTGAAGGATGTGGAGGGCAGTAGAGTTGTGTGTGCTCCGCCCCCTTTCTCCACAGTCGGATGGAAAGAAGGGGGCTTTCAGCCAGGCTCGCCCAGCCTGGGGTCTGAGTGTCACTGTCCAGCTATTGGCTTCTTGCTTAATGGGTGAGCCCAGCTGCTCCCGTGCAGCTGCCGCCCTAGTGAGGGTGAACCGGCAGGCGAGTTACATTTCTGAAAGCCTGGGAATACAGTAAATATTAGGCTGTGGGCTGCTGGGCCAGGAAGAGTTGTTTATTTTTCAGGGTTTGTTTATCTATTGACTTGATGAGGGAGGGTTATAGGTACAACCAGTTTAAAGATGGAAATTTTGAGAGAGCAGGCAGGGATTTAGTGCTGGGTAAGCCTGGTCAAAGCGGCTCTTTTGGGGCGGCCAGAATCCAGTACCAATGTCCTCAGCATGTTCATCAGCTGCTGGGGGAGTGCGGGACAGCATGAAAGCACAGGAGAACTTTCTGGATGATAGAAATACTCTGTATCTTCAAAGGAGGTGGGTTCCATAGTAATGTTAAATGAGTTAAAACTCATCAAAATGTAAACCAGACCTGTGCATTTCACTAATAGAAATTATACCTCCAATTAAAAACATGTTTTAAAAGACAGATGGGCCGGATGCAGTGGCTCATACTTGTAATCCCAGCACTTTGGGAGGCTGAGGCAGGTAGATCACCTGAGTCAGGAGCTCGAGACCAGCCTGGAAAACATGGTGAAATCCTGCCTCTATTAAAGGTATAAAAAAAAATTAGCCAGGCATGGTGGCACACGCTACTCGGGAAGCTGAGGCAGGAGAATTGCTTGAACCCAGGAGGCAGAGGTTACAGTGAGCAGAGATCGTGCCATTGCACTAGAGCCTGGGCAACAGCGCAAGACTCCATCTCAACAACAACAAAAAAAGGACAGATGAAGGTTTTCAACTTTCAATAAAGGCAGAGGAGCTTGTTACAGATTCGCCTCCCCACAAGAGCAGTTAGAAAAACTGGATAAAAATGTGCCCCGCCCCCAATCAAAAACAATTGTTGGAAGGTAATTGGAGACCTCAGTCAGGACTTGAGTGACCAGGCCTAGGAGGTGATCCTGACAGTCTGTAGTGCTTTCCCACATTTGGTGATTGGTCAACAGTAGAGGGCTAAGAGGCTAAGAAACTGAGTATGAAGTGGTAGTTAAGAGGCTGGAGAGCCTAGCTGAATGTTTGGCACTCTCACAGGGCTGAAATGACCTAATGAGAATTTGGGTCCCAGGAGGGAGATGGGACCTTGGTGGGGACCCTGGAAGGGCCACCCCTGGGAGTCCAAATGAATAAAACATAGACCAGCCATCAGAAAACCTAAAACCTGCTTTGAACCAGCTTAGTCCCGAAGTAGATGAAGGCGATCTGCCCTTACTCCAATTGTGTGCCATAAACTCAAAGTCAATACTCTCTGGAGGCAGATAAAAGTTTACTATGAATGCCAAAAGACAACACAAGACTAAATGAGAAAGACCAAGAAGAAAACTAATAGAAACATACATGTAAGGAAGAAACTTTTTTTTTTGAGACGGAGTTTCGCTCTGTCACCCAGGCTTGAGTGCAGTGGCACGATCTCAGCTCACTGCAACCTCTGCCTCCCAGGTTCAAGCGATTCTCCTGCCTCAGCCTCCCAAGTAGCTGGGATTACAGGCATGCGCCACCATGCCCGGCTAATTTTTGTATTGGCCAGGCTGGTCTTGAACTCTTGACCTCAGGTCATCCATTTACCTCGGCCTCCCAAATTGCTAGGATTACAGGCGTGAGCTACCATGCCTGGCCAGTATTTTGCCACAATTTAAAATAAATAAAATTTTTTTTTCAGGTTTGTGCTCAGACTATATTCTAAACAGTCACATGGCGGCTTACTCTTCTCCAGGCCTTGCTGCCGGCTTTTACATGTTTATTGTCTTTGCCTTCTTGTCATGTGCTCATTAGATGGCAGCTTCCAGGTGCTCCTAAGGGGCCAGGAAAGAGAGTGAGAAGGCACGGAGGTTGCCAGATCATCCCCCTTGGGGCCCCGCCCTCATCAACTCCCTCAACCGGGTCTCCTGCAACTATCGGTGGGCCATCTCGGCCACCGCTTCGCCCTGAGCTTCCTGCTGCTGCAGCTGGGCAGTGCCTCCTTCTCAGAGGCCAGCTGCTGATAGGCGGCCACGTACTGCTGCAGGTGACCCAGGTAATGGTCTCGCTGCTGCTGCAGACTCAGCCTCTTGGCTCTTCAGCTCCACCTGCAGGATAGGCGTCAGGGTAGGTAGTGGCTGGCTTCCAGATTCTGGGCCCATAAACAGGGTAGTGAGGGCACTGCGGGGCTCTGTCGCCTACCCAGGCCCCTGGCCCTGGCCCCTTCCTCCAGGCCTAAATGACTGCCTCCCTTGCCTAGAGGCCCATGCCTCCCTCCCCAGCCTCAAATCTCACACCCTTCTTCCCACCATTTAAACTGTAGGCCACAGACTGGTGGAAAAGCAGAGGGAGCCAACCACCATCTGCTAAGTTGTGGTGAGGTCGTTCTGTATGATCTCCAGGGTTTGCACACACCTCCGCCTGCTCCCCCCAAGAGCTCGGCCTTCTGCCCCAGCTTCCCCAGCCTCTCCTCCAGCTCCTGCAGCCTCACCTAGTGTTCCTGCATCTTCTCCTCCTGCTGCCGCAGCCTCACTTCCTGCTCCCGCATCTTCTCCTCCTGCCTCCGCATCTTCTCCTCCTGTTCTTGCATCTTCTCTTCCTGCTCACACATCTTCTCCTCCTGCTCCCACATCTTCTCTTCCTGTTCCTGCATCATCTCCTCCTGCTCTCGTATCTTCTCCTCCTGCTCCCGTATCTTCTTCTCCTGCTCCCTTATCTTCTCCTCCTGCCTCCGCATCTTCTCCTCCTGTTCTTGCATCTTCGCTTCCTGCTCACACATCTTCCCCTCCTGCTCCCCCATCTTCTCTTCCTGTTCCTGCATCATCTCCTCCTGCTCTCGTATCTTCTCCTCCTGCTCCCGTATCTTCTTCTCCTGCTCCCTTATCTTCTCCTCCTGCCTCCGCATCTTCTCCTCCTGTTCTTGCATCTCCTCTTCCTGCTCCCACATCTTCTCCTCCTGCTCCCCCATCTTCTCTTCCTGTTCCTGCATCATCTCCTCCTGCTCTCGTATCTTCTCCTCCTGCTCCCATATCTTCTCCTCCTGCTCCCGTATCTTCTCCTTCTGCTCCCGTATCTTCTCCTCCTGCTCCCTTATCTTCTCCTCCTGCCTCCGCATCTTCTCCTGTTCTTGCATCTTCTCTTCCTGCTCCCCCATCTTCTCTTCCTGTTCCTGCATCATCTCCTCCTGCTCTCGTATCTTCTCCTCCTGCTCCCGTATCTTCTCCTGCTCCCGTATCTTCTCCTCCTGCTCCCTTATCTTCTCCTCCTGCTTCCACATCTTCTCCTCCTGCTCCTGCCTCTTTTCCTCCTGCTCCCGTATCTTCTCCTCCTGCCTCCACACCTTCTCCTCCTGCTCCCGTATCTTCTCCTCCTGCCTCCACATCTTATCCTCCTGCTCCTGCCTCTTCTCCTCCTCCCATATCTTCTCCTGCTCATGCATCTTCTCTTCCTCCCTCCACATCTCCTCCTGCTCCCGTATCTTCTCCTCCTGCCTCCACATCTTCTCCTCCTGCTCCCGTATCTTCTCCTCCTGCCTCCACACCTTCTCCTCCTGCTCCCGTATCTTCTCCTCCTGGTCGTGCATCTTCTCCTCCTGCCTCCACACCTTCTCCTCCTGCTTCCGTATCTTCTCCTCCTGCTCGTGCATCTTCTCCTTTTGCCTCCATATCTCCTCCTGCTCCCTTATCTTCTCCTCCTGCCTCCACATCTCCTCCTGCTCCTGCCTCTTCTCCTCCTCCCGTATCTTCTCCTGCTCGTGAATCTTCTCCTCCTGCCTCCACATCTTTTTCTCCTGCTCCCGTATCTTCTCTTCCTGCTCCCGTATCTTCTCCTCCTGCCTCCACATCTTCGCCTCCTGCTCCTGCCTCTTCTCCTGCTCGCGTATCTTCTCCTCCTCCTGCCTCTTCTCTTCCTGCTCCCGTATCTTCTCCTGCTCGTGCATCTTCTCTTCCAGCTCCCGTATCTTCTCCTCCTTCTCCCACATCATCTCCTCCTGCCTCCGCATCTTCTCCTCCTTCTCCCACATCATCTCCTCCTGCCTCCGCATCTTCTCCTCCTGCTCCCGTATCTTCTCCTCCTGCTCCTGTATCTTCTCCTCCCGCTCCTGTATCTTCTCCTCCTGCCTCCACATCTTCTCCTCCTGTTGCTGGTTCAGGCGGTTCCACAACTCGTTCTCTTCCACCTGGGCTTGGAGCTTTGCTGACACACTCTGCAGCTCCTTACCCAGGTGGTCAGCCTCCGCCTGCAGCTGCTGCTGGAATAGTGAAAGTGTTTTTTTGAACCTCAGAAGGAAGCAGAATCATGAGCTAGCCACATAAATGTAATCTATAGGCTGGGCGCGGTGGCTCACGCCTGTAATCCCAGCACTTTGGGAGGCCGAGGTGGGCGGATCACGAGGTCAGGAGATCGAGACCATCCTGGTTAACACAGTGAAACCCCGTCTCTACTAAAAATACAAAAAATTAGCTGGGTGTGGTGGTGGGCACCTGTAGTCCCAGCTACTTGGGAGGCTGAGGCAGGAGAATGGCGTGAAGCCGGGGGGTGGAGCTTGCAGTGAGCCGAGATTGCGCCACTGCACTCTGGCCTGGGTGACAGAGTGAGACTACTTCTCAAATAAATAAATAAATAAATAAATAAATAAATAAATAAATGTAATCTGTAAAATAATGGTTTTCATCCATGATCCTTTAAAAAAATATTTTTAAGCCCTAACTCTTGAGATTCTGATTCCCCAGGCAGGGCCCCAATTTGTACATTTTTAGTACACTCTAGAGGATTCTATGGCGGGGCCAGAACAAGGACCCAAATTTTCCAGCTCTTGGCTGGAGCCTCCCCATACCCTGCATGATCCCTAGACCATGGTCCCAGCTGGATGGGTCTCCCACAACCCCCGGGGCTGCAGCTGCTCACCTGTGGCAGCAGGAGCTTGGCCCTCTCCAGTTTCCTTTTTAGCTCCTTTACGTTGAGCTGGATCTCAGACTTTTCAGATTCTACAAGTTGAAGTTTTTCTTGTAGTTTGGCATTTTTCTCCTTCAGCTCCTCATCAGTTATGCTATGGCCAGAGGCAGTAGAGAAAGGAATGAATGAAGAACATAAAAGACCACTTTGGTGATTGACCCCCTACCCTCGCCCCACAACCACAGAACCGTGGCGCTGGAAGGGACCCCAGGAATTAAAAGTCCCAGGTGGCAGGCCAGAGAGAAGACATGAGTTGCCTGAGGCTACCCCATGAGTCAGTGGCACAGCCAGCACTAGAGCTTCCGTGTGCACACATGAAAACATGTATGAGCCTCTCCCCACACTCACCTGGACCCCCCACCTCCCAGCACACCACCCATGCTAAGGGCCCCCAGACCTCCCATTCCACCTTCCCCCATCCTACGTGTTCCTGTACAGTTCCAGACTCAGGGCGTCCCTCTCCTTTGTTAACTCCTCAATGTACTGCAAATAGAGAAAGGTTAAGTCAGGATAGAGCAGGCACAGCAGTAGCTGGACGACCAGGAACAACTGCTACAGTGACTACTCCACAGTAACACTTCCTCACTCTCAATCACACCTGACGTGTTCTCAAGGCATTTCCAAGCCCATGGTCTCATTTGTTTTTCTTTCTTTCTTTCTTTCTTTTTTTTTTTTTTTTGGCAGAGTTTCATTCTTGTTGCCCTCACTGGAGTGCAATGGCACAATCTCAGCTCACCACAACCTACACCTCCGGGGTTCAAGCAATTCTCCTGCCTCAGCTTCCCGAGTAGTTGGGATTACAGGCATGTGCCACCACACCGGGCTAATTTTGTATTTTTAGTAGAGACGGGGTTTCTTCGTGTTGGTCAGTCTAGTCTTGAACTCCTGACCGCGGGTGATCCGCCCACCTCAGCCTCCCAAAGTGCTGGCATTACAGGCGTGAGCGAGAGCACCTGGCCCTCATTTGTTTTTCAAAGAACTCAGTGGATGTGGAAGGGACAGGGAAAGAGATTGAATTTAGGGCTGGCTAACAGGGGCCCAGAGCGATCAGATAATATTGTTATTGTTATTACTGTTATTACTACCACTGTTGGAGCCTTTATTGGGTGCTTCACCAGGCACTATGCTAACAATCCCATTTAATCCTCACAACCTCCATAGGAGACGGTTACCATTATTACCTCTATTGTGTAGATGAAAAACATGCGGTATTAAAGGTTAAGTGCTGCCTAAGATCACTTGGAGCTGGCATTTCAACACCCAGGTATATCTGATTCTCTAAGCCCATTCTTCCGCTGGAGGTAGGGGCACAGTTAAGAAGGAGGAAATTAATCCTTTGTTGAATTTTTGAAAGGATGATACGTTCGCATAGTCCAAAACTCAGAAAGTCCAGAAGGGAAATATCTCCCCCCAACACTGTGCCTCTATCCTGAGTTTTTTAATGAATCCTTACAAACGTGTTTTATGTATGTTACCATAATACGTACACACACACACATATACACCTGCCCCCTCTCTCCACACAAATAATAACATACTCAAGATACTCTTCTGTACCTTTATGGTACAAGTACCCTAACCGCCACTTAGGACTTGGCCAAGGCCACAGCCAAGTATGGGCAGGGCGGGCACTTGGCCTCTGAGATCTATGTCCAGTGCTCGCTCCTCACAGTGCTCCCCAACTCACCCACAACAGCCGACTCAGCCCCAGTCTGCCTCTAACAACCACACACAAAAGCAGCAAGAAATGGCCATGCTGCCTTCTGGGCAGGACACTCCATCCTACAGAAGGGACCTTTAGGCTCACTCCTCCATCTGCGAAGCTGGGCTCCCAAGGGACGGGGCCGTGTTTGGACTCACCCTATCCGCCTTCTTCTTCTGTGTAGCGACAGCAGAGAGAGCCTGCTCTAACTCTCCTGCAAACTTCCATGAATCATGCAGGCGGCTGATCAGATCCCTGGCCTCTCCTGGAATGAGAGACATTCAGATGTGGCCCAAAGGACTCCCCCTAAAGGCCTGTCAAAGTGCCAGGTTGAAGGATGATGGGGTGCCAGATTCCCACCTTCCAACTGCTTGACAGCATGCTGGCTGTAGTAAAGTGCCATCTGAAGCTCAGTTTTCTGACATGTAAGGATTCGTATGGTTTGAACCTGGGCCTTTGGGAGAAAAGACAAGCAAATGCTGAAAGAGAAGCAAAGAAACATTCTCCAGAGGGCAGGAGGGAACTTCACACCCTCCACTCACCTCTAGCTCCCTCCTTAGGGCTTCCTGATGTTGGTGGCTTGCCTTCTGTTCCTATAGAAAGAGGAAAACAGAGCTCTTGCTAGGGGGAGGCAGAGATGGCACAGCAAGAGACATGCCCCCAGAATGGCACCACTGCCCCAGAACAGGCCCACCCATGGGACCAGTTTATCAGGGACCCTGTGGGGATGGGGTGGAATCTTGGGGGTGAGCCTTCTTCCCCAGGCTGGGAGTGGGTGAGATGAGCCTGGGGCCTCTACATCTGAGTGCCCCCAAACCCAGCGGTCATGTCGTGAGCAAAGAAATCACACGACTTCTTCCAGCTGAGCTCGGTTCTATTGTTTCTGTGGGGAGAGTCAAAGGAAGGTGACTGAGGGTGGCCCCCTTGACTCTATTCCCCAGGCCAGGAAGCGATAGGCAGGGGCCAGGAATGGATTTAAAAGGCACAGTTCTCAGACCCAATGGGAACATGAACTGGTCAACTCTCCTCAACTCCCAAAGAAGAAGGATTTGGGTCTTTTTGGTTTTTGCCCACAGCCACAGAACTCAAAGTCTGAAACTAGATTCTCTTGAAAAGACAGTAACAGAAACCTTCAGAGGTGGAGTGCGAGAAAAGCCCACCCTTCCGCCAGCTTGTGATTTAGAAAGGTGCATTCACTCAGCAAACGTTGAGCACATACGGGCCAGGGACGGTTCTTCACAGCGGGAATAGAGGTCAGAAAAGGCAGACAGGAGCCCTTGGCCCCGAGGTTTCCATTCTAGTGGGCCTTTAACTCTCGGGCTCTCAGAGCTAACAGAAACCTCTGATACTCTCTAACTCTACCTCAGGAAACGCAAGCCCAAGAAGGAGAGTTTACAGCAGGTCCTGGACGAGGGATTAACATAAAAACACAATGACAAATCTCATTTAAACTTCACAAATGTAAGGAAAACAATACCACTCGTATTTTACGGATGTGAAAAGAGAGGCCCAAAGAGCTCAAGCAATTTGCGCTAAATCATATCCCTAGCAGATGGAGGGGTAGGATTCAAACCCAGAATTCTTAGCCAGTACCTGGCAGTTCTTCCACAATCTTAACAATTACCCTCCACCACCCCTTGGGCCCTCTGTCCCCAGGAGCCCGGCCAGCCAAGACTCACATCCTCAGGCGAGTGGCAACCACCAGAAGTGGTTGTCTCAGGGTTAGTGCCATTATTTATTTTCTTCTTTTTGGTGTCGCTTGCTGCTGTACCAACACTAGGGTTGGTCTGGGGATGATGGTCTGTCAACTGTGGAAAGGAAGAGCAGTGATACTCATGAGAACTACAAGCTCCTACAGTCACATCCTGCTTTACAGTTTATACTAAATACTCTTATAGACCATCTGATTTAATGCCACCAACTGTAGGAAATGTTGTCACAATCACTTAGTGACTGAGAGAGATTGATACCATGGCTGAAAAAAAAGGCAGTAATGGAACTTAAACTCAGTCTTCTGACTCTGAGCTCTGGGATTTTGCCCTAAATCAGCAGCTGCCAGGGACCAAAACCAGAGGCAGAGGTAGAAAAGCAAATATTAAGTAGGCAGGAACTGTGCACTATGTGGTTTAGGGTTATTCACCCTCACACGTCTGTTAGTGTTAAAAAGTACACCAGTACCTCTCAAACCTTTACATCAATGTCTCCTCATGGCAGAAGGCAGCCTTTCTGCTAAATCTGGGAATTTAACAGAAAGAGGACAACCCAAGCCTCATTTCAGAGAGAAGTCTTGTATACGCTTATAAATCTATGTGACTTTCATCCCTAAGTACATTAATGTTTTGTCTCTCAATAGAATCAAGGGAAACTGATGCTTCAGAAAGATGCCCCATATTTATCCTGTGGCACTCAAAGTACCCCAGGTTGAGATGAGATGAGGAAGACTCAAGCTAAGTTCAGTTTCCCAAGATCTGTTCCACAGAAGATAAGCAGATCTCACTCCAGAACCAGTGACTGAGGGGCACTCTGGTCCCAGAACAATGGAGAATTCAAATCTGAGGTGCAGAACTGAGAAAAAATGTTAAAATCTCTCTGGAGAGTAGAAGCCTGGGAGAAAACCAAACCAAACCCGTTCTCCCATTGCCACCCAGAGACACTGTCAACGTGTTGAGCTCCTGGGGGAGGTGTAGGCTTTTCACACTGTCAAGGTCTGTGGTAAGGAAGTCAGGCAGCCTGAAACCTCTCTCTTCTAGGTCCCACAGTCCCCATTCCCCTTCCAGCTGGAAACCTGTGCTGCAACCAGAGGAAACAGAAGTGGGCAAGAACACTTAGGGGACTGGGTCCTAAGACCAAAGGCCGGTCTTGTGGTAGTAATGACAGTTTGTAGCGGGACTGTGACATCACTACATTCTACTCCTCGGTGGAGTGGTTGGGGGGGACACATGAGTGCAATGCCCAAGTTGCCGCTTTGAGACTGGGGAGGGGGTCACAAAATTGGGAGCCAGGTCCTTGGAGACGTGACCCCAAAGAGCCCCGGGAGGTCAGGCTTGGGGCGGCAGGAGGTGAGGGCCAATTAAGGAGCAAGGAGCTCCAGGAGTCACATCCCCAAAGTCACCCTGTGGCAACTGGTGAGGGCAGGTTCTGGGGCACCCAGGTCCTTGGAGCTGTGAGCTCAAGGAGCCCAGGGAGGTCGGGTTTGGGGTAGCAGGAGGTAAGGGCGGAGTATGGAGTTGGAAGCCCCAGGAGTCACCTGCTCAAAGTCACCCTGGTGTGCCGGGCAGAGCAGGGGCAGGACTTATGAGGGGGTTGGGCTGGCTGACAAGATTTTGGTGTGGGGAGCCCAGAGGCACTGGGGTGGGGGGCCCAGCCTGGTGTCCCTCAGGAGTGGCACAGACTCTGGCAGCAGTTCGGCTGTCAGAGGGGGCCTCGGGTTGGGTTGGGGTGTTGGTGCGTTTACCTGTTCCTTGGCCTCGGCCAATTTGCTCTGTCTGGTTTCTTTGGACATCATAGGATGGGTAGGGAGGTGGGGATGGGTAGGGAGGTGGGGATGGGTAGGGAGGTGGGGATGGGTAGGGAGGTGGGGTTGGGGCCACATCAGCATGATCCAGGTGAGGACAAGTATATACCTCCAGTCACCTCTACGTCGCTGTGTGACTGAGCCAGAGGAGGCGTAACCAGGGCTGCACTAGAATGCAGAATAGGGGTGTGGCCTTCATGCTTGAAGCCCATTGGTCAATGAGAAAGATGAAAGGAAAAGGAGGTGTGGCCAGACAGCAGCGTGTCATCAAGGACCTGTGTTGTCACAAGGAAAGCTGCCTATGCAACCGCTGTCCCCGCCCACTCCAGGAGAGGGGCGGGGCTGGCTTTCACTTTAAAAACTTTAAAACTTTATTACCTCAATTGAGGTACAAGTCCTATTAAAATGGAAATTTTATAGTGTGCTTGATGATTGATAAAGCAGACTTTATTATCCAACATTCCAATAAGATAATCACAATGTTTTCTCTTTTTTGGAAAAACTTTCTCTTATTCTCCTACATTAGCGTTTAGTTTTTTTTAAAAAAACAAACAAACAAGAAACATGTCTAATATCTTTAAAAATACAAAGCTTTGAGCCAGGCATGATGGCTCATGCCTGTAATCCCAGCACTTTGGGAGGCTGGGGCGGGTGGATCACCCGAATTCAGGAGTTCAAGACCAGCCTGGCCAACATGATGAAATCCTGTCTCTACTAAAAATACAAAAGTAGCTGGGCATGGTGGCAGGTGCCTGTAATCCTAGCTACTTGGGAGGCTGAGGCAGGAGAATCCCTTGAACCTGTGAGGCAGAGGTTGCAGTGAGCCAAAATCATGCCACTGCACTTCAGCCTGGGCTGCTACAGAATGTGACTCTGTCTCTAAATACACACACACACACACACACGCACAGACACACACACACACACACACACACAAGGCTTTCCATTTAATAAGCACTCAAAGTTCTTTACAAGGTTAAAGCAAATACAGGACCCTTCTAAAGTAAGGCTAAATGCTAAGTGATGGGGGAGAGAAAAAGGACATAAATAACTCCTACTCTCATGAGTTAATCACTAAATCCGATTTTTCTAGAATCACCTGGCCTCTAAGCCCTGAAAATGAAACTGAATTTCTCACTCGATACTTGGCTATGACTTGCAATCATAAAAACCAAGAATTGTGTTATGTCACTGTGTATTGCTTGTTACCTGGGATCAAGGGTTGACTTTTTCATGATTTGCTCCATTACCTGTGTGCTTCTTCTCCCAGTCCAAACTACGCTTTTTTCTAGAGATCTACAATTTACAGTTAGTATGTAAGGGTGGCTCTCAAACATGTAGTCTCCGGACCAGGAGCACCTGGGAACTTCTTATAAATGTAAATTCTCAGGCCCCACCCTAGACATGAATGAATCAGAAACTCTGCAGTAGGGCCCAGCAATCCGTGCTGCAATAATCCCTCCAGGTGCTCAGGAACCTCTGCCATACAGCAGGTAGAAAAATGTGTTTCCTTCTGTAGGGCCACAGCCAGGGATACTATACGTTCTGTCTCAATATGAAACAATGACATGCAATTAAAAGACATAAATCTCCTTCCTACTTCCACCCTCCAGCCAGTGTGTTTTATTTTTATGAGTTCAATAAGAAAACGTGTGGCAATCAGAGATTTCATCTAAAAAATATATCTACAGGTATCAGTTCTCATCCAGCCTGATCTCATCCAATATCATTTCTATCCTCTTACATCTAAAGTTTTAGAAAAGGATTTTCACAACGTAAGACTCAGGCGCACTAGGAGTTCTATGATAAAAGACCAAGTAGATCTGAATGTCCAAACTTACTAGAGAAGAAAAGTGGACTCATTGGCTATATTTTCAAATTGCATTCAACAGGAAATTAAAGGTTTGAATTTTTTCCACCTTCATCCTTCCAAGTTAATAGAATTAAACCAGAATACTCCATTCTTCCAAAGCCTGTAGCCAGGCAAACTTTTACTGTATTACTTCTTGCTTTTCAATGGATATAAAGCAGAGTCCTGGTAGGCACATTTTGTATACCTGCAAAGATGCAAAACTAAACAGTTCCCTCGGTTCAATATTAAAACAAAAGTCCTGTAAACCTCAGATGGTGAGTGTAATACTTCAGCACTAGCACGAAAGCCTCAAATATAAAAAGATACCAAGAACCTTGCTAGCAAACCAAAGTAAGCTCTTGGCCGGGAGCAGTAGTTCACGCCCGTACTCCCAGCATATTGGCAAGCTAAGGTGGGGTAAGTCAGGAGTTAAAGACCAGCCTGGGCAGCATAGCGAATTCATATCTCTACAAAGAAAATTTAAAAATTAGCTGGGCTTGGCGGCACACACCTGTAGTCCTAGAGCTACTTGGGAGGCTGAGGTGGGAAAATCACTTGAGCCCAGAAGTTTGAGGCTGCAGTAGCTATGATCATGCCACTGCACTCCAGTTGGGGTGACAGAGCGAGATCTAATTATTACATTCTCTCCTGCTCCTGTTTCCACTAAAATCACTAACTTAAAATGTGTTCATTCAGCAGGATAAAAATTAAGTGAAATTTGACTTTGGTGCTTTGCTAGCAAAAAATAAATAAAGTGAAATGACAAATTACTTACTGGGAGAAGATCTTTGTAACCTCAATGACAGATTAAAGGTTTGTATCCTTAGCCTATAAAGAAATCTTTAAAATTACTCAGAAAAAAAAATGAATGATTTGCAGCAGAAAATGGGCAATGGAGAAACCAGCACTTCCCACAAGAATAAAAATGGCCAATGAGCAAATGAAAAAGATTCAAAAGCACTAGAAATCAAAGAAAGGTAATGAAAACAATGAGATTTTCTGCTTAAAGACCAGCGAAGACGACAAATGGAAGGGGGAACCTGGAGCTCTGTCCCTGTTGGTGGGAGCATAAACTCAACCAATTTTCCTATAGGATGATTTGAACATTTCTTTTAAAAATCCTAAAACGGTTTTATATTATTTTCTTCTAGAAATTCTACTTCTATGAATTCAGTGCAAAAATCCTCACTCGAGTCCATTAAAATATATATAGAAGGAAATCCACCTCTGGGGTGGCAATGATTCACTTAACATACATCCAGCTGTTGAAAGTGATGATGCCAGGGTATATTTCTCCATAGAAACATGCTTAAAATATAGTAAGTGACAAAAGACCATGTATTGTGATTCTACTTTTTAAAATGTTTACAGCATAAAAAGTGTGAAAAGCAACAAACCGGAATGTTTTGAGTGGCAAAATTAAAGATTTTTCTTTACATTTTGTCATCCAAATTATTACAAAAACAATGTGATTTCCTTTATAATCATGGAAAAGTGTTATTTTCATTTATTTATATTTACATTTCTTTTCTTTTTCTTCTTTTTTCTCCTGTATGTATCCCACATAGGCTACAGAGCTTAAATCCCTGCCTCTTGAGAGAAATCAGCCCATTTTCAGGACATGCAATACACAAAGCTGCCCCATCTTCCCTTTATTTTTATTTTTATCTTATTTATTTATTTATTTATTTATGTTGAGATGGAGTCTCACTCTGTTGCCCAGGCTGGAGTGCGGTGGTGCATCTCAGCTCACTGCAACCTCCATATCCCGAGATCAAGCGATTCCCCTGCCTCAGCTTCCCGAGTACCTGGGACTATAGGCATGCACCACCATGCCCAGCTAATTTTTGTATTTTTAGTAGAGAGGAAGTTTTACCATCTTGGACAGGCTGGTCTCGAACTCCTGACCTCAAGTGATCCGTCTGCCTTGGCCTCCCAAAGTGCTGGGATTACAGGCATGAGCCACTGTGCCTGGCCTGTCATATTATTTCTAACATTTGAGGGACATTTCAATTAAGTGAAATTTAATTCTTACTGACCTGATCTCTTATCCTCTGTTTAATGATACCTTCCAGTTGAAAGGTGTTTCCTCTGTAATCACGGGTGCCAAAGGAAATACAACATGTATTCATTAGGTGGATATCCACTAAACCACGGATTCATGCATTGTAGTCCTTAGACCCTCAGCATCAGAAACACGTGGGAACTTGTTAGACATGCAAATTCCTGGGCCAGCCCCACACCTCCTGAATCAGAAAGTGGGGAAGGACAGCTATCTGTGCTTTAATAAGCCTTGAGATGCTCCCTGAAGTTTGAAAACTACAGAACTAGAATACATATGGTAGTAAGTGCTCATACTTTATCCAAGGTACTAGGGACTCTTCCCCTCTTTTCCATTCTCTTTTCTGTTGAAATAAAATGAGAGCTCCTTTTGACTTAATGGGTATAAGAAAGAAGGCAATGAGATGACCAGGGTTTCAAGTTAGAGTTCAAAATTTAATCAGTGGACAGTGACAGGATGCAAGCCTTCTAAACAGATTGCTGCAAGGAAGCTGATTATAATCTATACAGTAGGTATCATTAGTGTATTGATGTTAAATTTTGGGGGTGGATTAATGGTATTGTGATTATATAGGAGAAGTCCTGGTTCCTAGAAGATATCTGCGAAAGTACTTAACAGTGAAATGCTCTGATACTGCCAACTTACTTTGAAATGATTCAGAGGGAAAAAGGGCACATATACAATCTTCCATACGCAGAAGACAGAAAACAAGTGTGACAAAACATTAACTAGTGAATCCAGTTGAATAGCATACAGATGTTCACTGTATGATTTTATCAACTTTTCTGTGTTTGCAAGTTTTCAAAATAAAAGTTGAGGGAAAGAAACATCACCCCAAATCTTTCTATGAAATGGGACCATAGAAAAAGCAGAGAAGTGAACACTTTGCAGAAAAGAGCACTGCACCCATCCGGACAGCATGGTCAAAGTGCAGGCTCTCCTCCAGGAGGCTCTTCTCTGGTCTCTTCTGTGCTGTCACTTCCCCCACATGCAGCCAAGGCTTTTTTCTAACAACTCTTTTTCTAAAGATGTAATTTTTGTCATTCATCTAAGAAAGAGAAGAAAAGAATTAGTATACATTTAGAAAATAAAATTACACTTACATTTGTGAAAAAGCAAAAAATACTTTGAAAAGTGGGGAAGCAAGAAATGTACTGTTCTACAATTCTGTTCTGTTCTTACCATCTTTTTATTCTGCCAATGACTTCCTATTCCTGCTGTGTATGGTGGGGTGAGCTGCAAATGATTTCTTTTCCTCATTGATTTAAAATCTCATGTTTATAATGTGCCAAACTCCCCCAGAAGCATTTGGGTTTATTTCTGGGCTCTATTCTATTCAAGTAATCTATCTGTTCACAAGCCACTATCAGTTTTGATTATTGGAGCATCCTAAAGTTAAGTAATTGTTGTTTTTGTTTTTGAGATGCAGTCTCTCACTCTGCCGCCCAGCTGGACTGCAGTGGCGTGATCTAGGCTCACTGCAAGCTCCACCTCCCGGGTTCATGGCATTCTCCTGCCTCAGCCTCCCGAGTAGCTGGGACTACAGGCACCTGCCACCACGCCTGGCTAATTTTTTGTATGTTTAGTAGAGATGGGGTTTCACCTTGTTAGCCAGGATGGTCTCGATCTCCTGACCTCGTGATCCGCCTGCCTCGGCCTCCCAAAGTGCTGGGATTACAGGCGTGAGCCACCGCGCCTGGCCCTGAATTTGCTTGAGTTTTTAGCTCTCTCACCCATTTCAGGATTGTCACCACCCATATCTGACACGTCCTCCTCCTCCTCTAAATCTTCTAGGTCCTCCTGGCCATCAGCCTCTGTTTCTGAACCAGCCTCTTCATGCTCCTGTTCTTCACTCTCTGGGAGAAGACTGATATCTTCATCTTTCTTTCACTAACCGCATTCTGGAAGCACGGTAAAATTGCTTCATTTTGCAATTCCAGTTGTTGCAAAGTCTGCTCATCATCAAAACTTTCTATCACAAGTTTTTGTAAAGAGCTGCCATGGATTCTACCATTCTCTACTGTTTTATTAAAGTCATAAAGCACTTTTGTTAAAGAAGTGAACTTTGGTTCCAATCCATCTTGAAACCTATTGGGAGGAATTAAATGAGATTTAGAATTATAGATAATAATTTCACAGCCCTCTTAATTAAAAGAAAAATAAAAACCTCAACTCTTCTGTAAAATCAAATTTGAATAAAGTGTAAGTATAGATTCTGGCCCCAACAATATATAAGCTGATGAGCCACAATGATATATAAAACCTGTCAACCAAGTATTTGTGAATCAGCTGTATAGATTGTTGGCAGGAAAAGCATTACAAATCTATTTGCTTGGAGATATATAGTGAATTAGCCTTAAATTATCTACTCTGCTACATTATATACCACTCCATTCATTCATTCCCTTATTCACTCAATGATCAACATTTGCTTTGGCTACAGTGGTCAAGGAAAACCTCTCCTAGATGTGACATCTGAGATGAAACTTACAGACAAGTATAGTCTTATAAAGATTGGGAAACATGTATTCCAGGCGGAAGAAACAGCAAGAACAAATTCTCTAAGATGCAATTGAGCTTGGTAAGCCTGAGGAATAAAAAAGTGAGCATGGCTATAGCGTGAAGGAGGCAGAAGGTGAAGTTGGAGAGACTGATGGGAGCCAAATTCTGCAGGGCTCAAGGGTAAGAGTTTGCCGTTTTAAGTGTAATAAGAAAATGTGAGAAGATTTTAAGCAGAAGGATGAAATGATGATTTATACGAAGGAAGAAGAAAGGGAGGAAGGAGGAGGAGGAAAGTAGAGTGATTAGAAGGTTGATGCAGCATTCCAGGCAAAGGATGATGGTGATTTAAGCTGGAGTTAGAGCAGTGAATATGCTGAGTACAGTTTGGAGGTAGAACTGACAGGATTGCTAAGGAATTAGATACAGAATAGAGAAAAGTGAAGACATCAAAATAGCAGCCTAGTTTTATGTGCGAGCAACTGGAGAGACAGAACTGCCATTTACTGTGATAGGCAAGGCTTGAGTGGTGGAGCAAGGGGAAAGGACTTCAGCGGATGGCAGAGTGTAGGTGGGTAGAAACAACATTCTACTGTATTTTGGACACAGTGAATTTGTGATGCTGAGAGGACCAAAATTTAAAAAATTGTTAAAAGCCGTACGGTGCAGATATCCCAGTTGTGCGCTACTGAATTCCAACTAAGCTCAGTCTGGAGTTGCTTGTGAGCAAGGAACTCAAGGGAGAGGTTGGAGTTTGAAACATAAATGAGTCATAATTTTATAGGTCATATTTGAAGTTCTTCAACAAAATACACATAAAACGTTTGTGTTGGGAAGAGACATGAAAGTTCTAATTCTCAAGAAGCTTAGTGGGGTAGACAGACAAGTGACAAGTTTGTGCTTTCAATAAAGTATGATGGCAGGTAAACACTGAGTGCTTTAGGAGCACAGGCGGAAGGAGAAACCAACACAGTTGTGTGTAGGGGGATGGGGGCCGTAATAAGCCTCAAGGGGAGCTTATAGGCGTGAATAACTGAGGTTAGGTTGATTTCAATAACATTCAACTGAGAGATCCATACTGTAAAAGTTTTAACAATTTTTAAAATTTTGATAGCCTAGGTCCTCTGAAATGTGGGGAAAAGTGATTTACATTTCCCCTTACCTTCCCCCAGCTCCACAATTTGCCAGGGGTCTGCAACCCGTGTCCACGTGCGACCGCAGTCGCACCCGAGCCCGGGATCTGTGCACTTACGTGAGGATGCACTCGGGCCAGCCAGTGGCTTTGCCCACCTCCCTCAGACACCGCTCCGGGGTCCGTCAGCGCCAGGCCCATGGGCCATGGCTGTCTGCAACTCCCGACACAAGCTGCAAGGCAAGAGAGCCGCTGGGAAACCGCACCGCAAGGATGCTGGCATTGGAACAGGAATTAAAAGAAATGAAAAAATGTGTAAGCAAAAACTCAGCTGTATGTAAAAAAAACCCAATTCCCCCTGAGAATGAGAAAGAGCCTTAGTCCTTTAAAAAAACTACCTGTTTTCCTATGGCTAGTGAGCCTTATCGCTCCCTTCCCAGGCATTATCAAAACCCTAATTCCCTAACTGTGCAACTGCAAGGTCACTAAACAAACAAATGCAAGTCACAAAACATATTTTTCCTAAAAACGTAAAAAAAAAAAAAACATAATGCGTGCTTCAATTAAATAACCCTCTGTTTCTCGCTTCTGTAATATGCTTCCCCCTGCACAGATCTACCCGGGCTCCACAAAATGCTAAAAGATAACTCTTTATTCAGCTCAACGCTTTGATCTGCCTGGCGTGGTGGCTCACTCTTGTGATCCCAGGACTTTGGACGGCCAAGTAGGGTGGATCGCTTGTGCCTTGGAGTTCCAGACAGGCCTGGGCAACATGGTGAAACCTGGTCTTTTTGTTTTGTGTTGTTTTGAGACGGAGTTTCGCTCTTGTTGCCCAGGCTGGAATGCAGTGGCTGGGTCTCTGCTTGCCGCGACTTCCGCCTCCCGGGTTTCGGTCGTTGTCCTGCATCAGCCTCCAGAGTGGCTGGGATTGCAGGCATAAGCCACCAAGCCCGGCTAATTTTGTATTTTTTTTTTTATTTTTATTTTGGTACAGATGGGGTTTCTCCCTGTTGGTCAGGCTGGTCTGAAACTCCCGACCTCAGGTGATCCACCTGCCTAGGCCTCCTGAGGTGCTAGGATTGCAGGCTTGAGCCACCGCTCCCGGCCCAATTTGTTAATCAGAAAGGAATAGATCGTCCTGGTGTGGTGGCTCACGCTTGTGATCCCAGTACTTTGGATGGCCCAGCGCGGGGTATCCCTTGAGCCTAGGAGTTCCAGACCTGCCTGGGCAACATGGTGAAACCCGGTCTCTCTCTCTCTCTCTCTCTTTTTTTTTATGAGGTGGAGTTTCGCTCTTGTTGCCCAGGGTGGAGTGCAGTGGCTGGGTCTCCGCTCACAGCGACTTCTGCCTCCAGGGTTTTAGTAGTTCTCCTGCCTCAGTCTCCGGAGTGGCTGGGATTGCAGGCCTGACCAACATTGCTCTGCTAATTTTTTTTTATTTGTTTTTGGTAGAGACGGGGTTTCTCCATGCTGGGCAAGCTGATCTCAAACTCCAGACCTCAGGTTATCCGCCCACCTCGGCCTCCGGGGATGCTGGAATTGCAGGCGTGAGCCAGCGCACACACCCAATTTATTTTTATTTCATTTTTTATTTTTATATATATATACTTTTGAGACGGAGTCTCACTTTGTCACCCAGGCTGGAGTGCAGTGGTGCGCTGTCTCGGCTCACTGCAACCTCTGCCTCCCAGGTTCAAGCGATTCTCCTGCCTCAGCCGCCTGAGTAGCTGAGATTACAGGCGCCCGCTAGCACACCCATCTAATTTTTTTTTTTTTTTTTTGTATTTTTAGTAGAGATGGGTTTTCATCATGTTGGCCAGGCTGGTCTCGAACTCCGGACCTCAGGTAAACCCACCTCGGCCTCCCAAAGTGCTGGGATGACAGGAAGGATCGGCCTGGCGTGGTGGCTCACGCTTTTGATCCCAGGAGTTTGGACGGGCCGAGCGTGGCGGATCCCTTGATCCTAGGAGTTCTAGACCAGCCTGGGCAACATGGTGAAAACCGGTCTCTCTCTCTCTCTTTTTTTTTTTGAGGCGTAGTTTCCCTCTTGTTGCAGGGCTGGAGTGCAGTGGTGCGGTGTCGGCTCCCCGCGGCCTCTGCCTCTGGGTTTGGGTGGTTCTCCTGCCTCAGCCTCCGAGTGACTGGGATTGCAGGCGGGAGCCACCATGCCCGGCTCTTTTTTTTTTTTTTTTTTTTTTTTTTTTCTGGTAGAGACAGGTCTCTCCATGTTGGTCAGGCTGGTCTCAAACTCCCGACCTCAGGTGATCCGCCCACCACGGCCTCCCGGGGTGCTGGGACTGCAGGCGTGAGCCACCGCTCCTGGCCCAATTTATTAATCAGAAAGAAATAGATCGGCCTGGCGTGGTGGCTCACGCTTTTGATCCCAGGACTTTGGACAACCGAGCGTGGGGAATTGCTTGAGCCTAAGAGTTCCAGACCTGCCTGGGCAACATGGTGAAAATCTGTCTCTTATTATTATTATTATTTTTTTTTGAGGCGGAGTTTCCCTCTTGTTGCCCAGGCTGGAGTGCAGTGGCTGGGTCTCCGCTCGCGGCGAATTCTGCATCCCGGGTTTTGGTGGTTCTCCTGCCTCAGCCTCCTGAGTAGCTGGGATTACAGGCACCTGCCGCCACACCCGGCTAATTTTTTTTTTTTGTATTTTTAGTAGAGACGGGTTTTCATCATGTTGGCCAGGCTGGTCTCAAATTCCTGACCTCCGGTGATCCACCCACCTCCGCCTCCCCAAGTGCTGGGATGACAGGCGTGATCGGCCTGGCGTGGTGGCTCACGCTTTTGATTCCAGGACTTTGGACTGGCCAAGCGTGGGGGATTGCTTGAGCCTAGGAGTTCCAGACCGGCCTGGGCAACATGGTTAAACCCAGTCTTTTTTTAAATTCCTTTATTATTATTATTATTATTATTTTTTTTGAGACGGAGTCTCTCTGTTGCCCAGGCTGGAGTGCAGTGGCGCTATCTCGGCTCACTGCAGCCTCTGCCTCCCAGGGTCAAGGGATTCTCCTGCCTCAGCCTCCTGAGTAGCTGGGATTACAGGCGCCCACCACCACACCTGGCTAATTTTTTTTTATTTTTTAGTAGATCGTGGTAACTGCCTTAAAATGATGATTGTTCAGAAAGTCAGTTTAATTTAGATACTAAGGATATTGAGGTTATGTAACATTTGAGCAAGTTCTAAAAAAAAAGAGAAATAGTATATTTAATTGCTAATAAAGTATTGTCAACTCACAAATATATTCACATAGCATACATTTCAAGAGCAGAATAACCATGAATATAAAAGGAATTAGCAAAAACGAGACAAAAAAGACATGAAGAAATAAAAACAGATGGAACAAATAGCACAAAATACGATGAAAGTTATAAAAGAAACTATGCCAACAATCACAATAAATGTAAATAGACTGAATAATTAAGAGAAAATGACTATAAAACAGAATTAGGGCACGCGTGGTGGCTCATGCCTGTAATCCCAGCACTTTGGGAGGATGAGGCAGGCGGAGGGATCACAAGGTCAGGAGTTCGAGAGCAGCCTGACCAACATGGTGAAACCCCATCTCTGCTAATACAAAAATTAGCCGGCGTGGTGGTGAACATCTGTAATCCCAGTTACTCAGGAGGCTGAGGCAGGAGAATCGCTTGAATCCAGGAGGCAGAGGTTGCAGTGCCGAGATCACACCATTACACTCCAGCCTGGGCAACAGAGCAAGACTCCGTATCAAAAAAAAAAAACACACAAAAAAAACACAAAAAACAGAAAATAAACAGTATGAAAAGACATCTAAAACATAAAGTCACAGAAAGACTGAGAGAGATTGAAAAAAGATACACATGTCATATGTACCTAACCCAAAGAAGGGTTGGAAGCTATATTATTATCAGATAAAATAGGCTTTGGGCAAAAAGCAATATGGGAGATTTTTTAAGGTCACAATATGATGATAAAAATTCTAATAAACCAAGGGAGAAGGTAATCTAAAATGTTAATGTATCTAATAACTAGCACTCAAAATACATGAAAGCAAAATATGACAAAATTGCAACCCTCAGAGGGCAATTTAAATACATATCTCAGTATCTGATAAAAGAGACAAAAAACAATCAGCATAGACATAGAAGATTTACATCTCTCTAGAAAATTAACAAGCTTGACCTAATGTAGAGAAAAAACATATCTCTCCAAAGTGACAGCATTCACCCCCCCCAAGTACATATGTACTGAGCCATAAGGAAAATCTCAACAAATTCCAAAGAAGCGGAATCATGCATCCATCTTTCTCTCTAACCATAATCTCATTAAACTAAAAACAATAATAAAAAGATAAAGTAAAAAGCCAGAAAGGCAGATGCTAAATGAGAAAGTGACAGAAAAGTTACAGATTTTGTTAAGCATACAAAGCTTCTATAGGGTAAAGCAGTCAAAGGGATATGCAAATTTACACAGAAATCCAACCGATATAAATCCTTGAAAGATACTACATACAGATATTTCATCAGTTCTCACATGCCAAACCCAGCAAAGCCAAACTTTGGAGCCTCCCCTGCGAGCAGACCTGCCACAGGAGGAGAGGCAGCACAAACCTCCCTTTGCAGTGAAAATGCCACATTGTGTGTGCTTCTTACCCCATCACCTCTTTGGAAGTGGCCCCACTCAGTGCTAGCTGAGAATCGCTTCCCTCATACCACTCTCAGTAGTTCACCCCAAGACACACTGGACAACTCTGTACCTGGTAAGTCATTGTGAATCCAATTAATAATGGCATTCAGAAAGTTAGGAATCTTTGAATTATTAGATTCATAGTGATATTCAAAAGAAAGAAAACGACATCATTTCTGTTCCACGCATGTTGCCCACATTCACTGCGTAAAAGGCAAAGGGAACTGTGAGTACCCACAAAGAACCTGATATTGACGGCACATACATTTCTTCATTAGGAAGAATAAATTTAGACTGTAACAATTTAAAAAACCAGAAAATACAACTGTACATTTTAGCTCTTATTAAAATCCAAGAGGTTTAACTTATTTGCTCCTTGTTTAGGTAATTAGTGTCTAAAACATTTCAAAGATAACATATATAGTGGCTACGATTTCTAGTACTTTTTAAAAATTCAAGCCCAGTCTCTTCTAATTAAATGTATAAATGATTTATCTCTGTCTTTCTTAAAAAGAACCAAGAGCCCCAATTAAAAAGTAAAACTTAAATTTCCTCTTAAAAAATTGTTACGTCAAAATTATCGAATAAACCATAGTTCAGAAAATAATTTCTGAATTAAGAAAATATGAATAATAAAACCAACAGTTCATGTGCTGAATTTCAAATTTTTATTTTTTATTATTTTTAAAATTTTGTTTTAAGTTCTAGGGTACATGTGCAGGAGTGTTACGTAGGGAAACGTGTGCCATGGTGGTTTGGTCCACCTATCAACTCATCACCTCAGTGTTAAGCCCAGCACGCATTAGCTATTTTTCCTGATGCTCCTCCCCCACCCGCCCTGACAGGCCCCAGTATGTGTTGTTTCCCTTCCTGTGTCCATGTGTTCTCACTGAACCTCACATTTTTAAATACAGCATATGCCAGGTGTCATTTCAGTACCCATGATTATACATAGTATAATTATACATAGTATATGTATATGTGTAAATATATGTATATGTGTACATATATGTATGTAATATGTGTATGTAAATATTATGTAAATATGTATGTATGTAAGTATATATGTAAATATGTATGTGAATGTATGTAAATATATACACATGTAAATATGTATGGAAAAATATGTATGTAAATATATGTATGTAAATATATGTATATATATAAATGTAAAATATGTAAATATTTGTAAATGTAAAATATGTAAATGTAAAATAAATGTAGAATGTCAAATGTAAATGTAAAATGTAAAATAAATGTAAAATGTAAAATAAATGTAAAATGTAAAATAAATGTAAAATGTAAATGTAAAATATGTAAATATATGTATATGTGTAAATATATGTGTGTAAATATATATGTATATGTGTAATATATATGTATATGTGTAAATATATATGTATATATAACACAGCATACAGCATATGCCAGGTGTCATTTCAGTACCCATAATTATACATAGTATAATTAGACTACTATGTTAGCTAAAAAATGTTGATTAGATACAAATGTATAAATTTATCTTCTCTAAAAGTGGAAATTCTCTAGAGGCTATTTCCAGCTTCTGTGTGGATTGTAGAGCAGGCTGCTACCTGTACCCCAAAAATGAACACCTTAAAAAAAAGACAAGTTTCTCAGCCTCCCTATTGCACACACATATGAAAAATATGTTAAATTCAACGCCAAATATTCCTGAGATCAACACAGCAGTGATCCCAAAGAGAAAATTTCTCTTTGCTAATGGGCACAAACTTGAAGGGCAAAGCAGTGGAAGGGTAAGTCTGCAGACTCGGGTGGGGCTCAAGTCAGAATCACGTGGAAGATCATTGCCACATGTTTTTGTTTTTTTAAATAGCAAACACCACCAAGTGGAGCCCGCCGGGTTTAGTAGATATTAAACCTCTAAGGAGTGGCACATCCGAGACTGAAATTCCCATCTTTTGATTCCCAGCTCAAGGTCTCTGAAATGCCAGCACCAGCTGTGAAATTGTTCTTCTGCATTTTCATGGAGACCTTTTCTTCTATACTGCCATACTCTTTTTTTTGGAACAGTTATACCTGATCTTCCTATTTTTGTGTGTGTTCCACCGAAAGTTTTTCACTCTAAATACTTCCCTCTTTCCAACTGAGCATTTACATCTGTAACAAGGACAAAAACATCTAACATCTCTCTCACCCTTGGTTTGTGTTTTGTTTTGTTTGTTTTTGAGACAGGGTCTTGCTCTGTCACCCAGGCTGGAGTGCAGTGGCGTGATCACCGTTCACTGCAGCCTCGAGCTCCTGAGCTGAAGCAATTTTCCCACCTCAACCTCTGAGTAGCTGAGACTATAGGTGTGTGCCACCACGCCTGGCTAATATTTGTATTTTTTGTAGAGATGAGTTTTTGCCATGTTGCCCAGGCTGGTATTGAACTCCTGGCTTAAGTGATCCTCCTGCCTAGGCTTCCCAAAGTGCTGGAAGGAATTACAGGTATGAGCCACCGTGCCTGGCCTCACCATTGTTAAAATTATGGAAATCGTGTTTGCAAAGCAGCTTGGCCTGTTTGGAAAAGGGTGTCATAATTTCTCAGGTAACTCCAAAAAGAGAAAGCTACGAAAATTACTTTAATACATTCATTACAGTCCCAGTATAAGATTATAGCTTCCTCTCCCAAAGTGTAACCACAACCTGACGCAGGATGAGTTGGTTTGAAAATACCGCATACAATATCCTCTTGAGTAGAATCATAATTTAGAACTCTAAAATTGACCAGAAACAAAACTGTCCAAGTTTGTTTAACGTAATGTGTTTCAACTTATTTGACTAGAAAACCCTTCATTCGTGCAACACTTATAAATATCCCATGGCAAATCTAGTTTTCTATGAATAATGAACAAAACATTTATAATTTAAAACTAAAATTGTCTTCTAAGCAGAGATCTACGTATCAATAAAATGAAGAAATAAAATTTCCATACTGTTTTCTTCCCAATACAAGGATTAGAAGGAAAGGGAAAAGAGTAACAGCGAGAATCAATAGCCCATGTCTGGCCAGGCTCCATGGCTCAATCACACCTGTAATCCCAGCAATTTCAGAAGCTGAGGCGGGAGGATCACTGGCCTTTAGTGATCCTTGAATGAAACTCCATCTCTAAAAAATTAAAAATATTAGCTTAGAGAATCATTTGGGCCCAGGAGTTTGAGGCTGTATTGAACTATGACTATGCTACTGCATTGCAGCCTGGGCAACAGGCTGCTTAAACCTGGAGGGGCGGAGCTTGAAGTGAGCCGAGATCGCGCCACTGCACTCCAGCCTGAGCAAAGGAGCCAGACTCCGTGGCAAAAAAAAAAAAAAAAAAGAGATTCTATTCACAATAGCAACAAAACCCTGAGAATATATCTAGCAAAGTATACACAAGGCCTTTCATGAAGAGTATTGCCATAGCCTGAATGTGTCTCCCAAAATTCATGTATTAAAACTTAATTCCCAAGATGATAGTACTAAGAAGTGGGGCCTTTAAGAAGTGATTAAGACATAGGGTGAGCCCTCATGCATGAGATTAGTGCCTTCCTTATAAAAGGGCTTGTGGGTGGTGGTAAATCTGTCCCTTCTGCCTCATGAGAACATAGCATTTGCCTGCTCCAGAGGAAGCAGCATTCAACGTACCATCTTGGAAGCAGAGACCAGGCCCTCACTAGACACTGTGTCTGCTGGAGTCTTGATCTTGTTCTTCCCAACCTCCAGAACTGAGAAAATAAACTTCTGCTCTGTGTAAATTACCCAGTCTCAGGTGTTTTGTTATAGCACTATGAAGGGACTAAGACAAATATAAAAATTACCCAGGGACTTAAAGGAAGAACTGACTAAACTGAAATACATGCCATATATATTATGAATCGTAGGACTCAATGCTATAAACATACTACTTCTCAACAAATTAATCTATAAATTCAAGAAATTCCTACACAAATCCCAATAGAATTTTTTTGTGGAACTCGAGAGGCTGATCCTAAAATTCATACAGTCACTTGAGGGGCCAAGAATAGTGTAACAGGGCTGGCGGGGCTGGTGGCTCACACCTGTAGTCCCAGTACTTGGGAAGTCAAGACTGGAGGATGGTTTGAACCCAGGAGTTCAAGACCAGCCTAGGCAACATAGCAAGATGTTGTCTCAAAATATTAAAAATAAATAAATAAATAAAAAGAAGGTTAAGTATGCACATTTTGTTGTGAATTTCAATTTTATAGTGATTTTTTTTTTTTTTTGAGACAGGGTCTTGCTCTGTCACCCAGGCTGGAGTGCAGTGGTGCCATCTTGGTTCACTGCAACCTCTGCGTGGGCTCAAGCAATCCTCCCGCCTCACTCTCTGGAGTAGCTGGGACCACAGTTATGTGCCACCACACCTGACTAATTTTTATATTTTTTTTTTGTAGAGACGGGGTTTTTCCATGTTGCCCAGGTTGTTCTCAAACTCATCCACCTGCCTTGGCCTCCGTAAGTGAGATCACAGACATGGGCCACTGTGCCCGGTCTAGTGCGCTTTTTTTTTTTTTTTTTTTTTTTAACCAAACAAACGATGAAGTCTCAGGAGTAAAAGTTGATACACAAGTAAATTTTATTGGTAATGTTTTTGTGTGGTCTTTAAGCAGAGGGAAAATTAGTCTGCATTATGGTGTATCCAGACTAAATAACTGATATTAAAATGAAATTATCCTTAGGATTTGCAATCTTAGAGAAAACTTTTTCATTTTTTTTGAGTTACAAATTATCTTCACTTACATTTGAGAACAGTGAGTCACAGAGGGATTAAGTATCTTACTCAAGATCTTGCAAGTGTTTGGTTTGAACCCAATCTTTTCACTCTGCAGAACTCAGAGTCACTCTTATTTGGAAACTTTTTAACTGATGTGGATCCTCTAATATGGGCTTCCTATTATTCATTCCGTATTAGTCAGAAGTTTTGCAAGCAGGCAGAATTCATTTTGCCAATTACGGGATTTTCCCTCAGTTGCAGTCAAGGTTCATAAAACTATAACTATTTATCTTTAATTATAAATTTTGTTTTTGAGACAAAGTCTTGCTCTGTTGCTCAGACTGGGATCCAGTGGCACAGTAACAGCCCATTGCAGCTTTGAACTCCTGGGCTCAAGGGATCCTCCGCCTCAGCCTCCCAAGTATCTGGGACTACAAGTGCATGCCATCATCCCTGGCTAATTTTGTTAAAAAAAAAAAATTGTAGAGATAGGGTCTTGCTTCGTTGCCCAGGCTGGTCTCAAACTCCTGGCCTCAAGCAAGCCTTCAGCCTTGGTCTCCCAAAGGGCTGAGATTACAGGTGTCAGCCATTGCACCTGGCCAAAACTGTAACTATATATACACACACACATAACTACATATATATGTGTGTGTGTGTGTGTGTATGTATGTGTGTGTGTATATATATTTTTATATATAAATAGATATATCTGAAAGGCATCAAAAGAAAAAAGCTGTAACTTTTAGTCTTGATCTTGATAGTGACTTGATTAGGCTATCTGTTTAACATCAAAGATGCAAATTAATGCTTTCTTTGGGTGAGCATATTAAAAATGCAGAAAATATTGGAGTAGTTTTTTATGTTAAATAAATTGTATTCTGTGTATTTAAGGTATACAACATGATTTTATGGGATGCATATAGATGGTTAAAAAAAATTACTACAGTGAAGCAAATTAACGTATCCTTCAACTCAGATAGTTACCCGTTTTCTTTTTGTTTGGTGGCAAGAGGAGCTTAAAGTCTCATTTAGCGTGAATCCCAAATACAGCACAATTTTATTACCTATATTTCTCGCGTTGTACATTATATTTCTAGGCTTGTTCATCCTACATATCTGCTACTGTGTAACCTCTGAGCTATGTCCACCCATTTTCTCTCTTGCCCCCCAAGTAATTTCCTAAAGTGTCTCATATAAAAAGGCAGTAGCTTTCAGCTTAAACTTTTTCTCTGTATATATTTAAGTCAATTTCTTTGAGGTATGTTTTTCTCTCCAGAATAGTTAGATGTAGGCATACCACTTTAATGTTGACACTAGTTCACCTAGAACTTATCTTCTGCAAATCTGTCTCTATGTCCATCTCTGTCTCCATCTTTGTCTCTGTCTTTATCTCTGTCTATCTATCTATCCATCCATCCATCCATCCATCTATCTCTCTATCCATCTATCTGTCTATCTAACTAAAGCAAATTCATGCCCTTCTCCTATTTATGGAATCGAGACCATAAACAGAGGTGAGGGAAAGAATTTGGCAGGAATTGCGATGTGTATTACCTGTGGCATAAGGAAACTTTACAGAACTAGGGTCAAAAGTATACTTTCTAGTTCTTTCCCATGGCTTTTCACTTTGATGTAGTCCTTATCAGGCAACTGAGGTTTTATATAAGTCCCCTGATTCTTAGAACATGAAGGTGTAGTATTCAAGTTTGGTCCCTTGAAACCACAATTTTTGTTAAAAAAAATTAAGAAAATTGTATAATTTCCTCAGCAAATACATATTGATCATCTGTTATACAGCCATGAGAAGTGGTTCTGTTGAACACGTTTATTTTATCAGATCCCAATTCTAAACCAGGCATAGAATGGAAACCATGAAGGTAGGATGAAATAACTTCTGAATGTTTGAAAATAGTGTACTTAAAAATAAATATCAGGTGTTTTTGTTTTGTTTTTTGTTTTTTGTTTTTGAGACAGGGTCTCACTCTGTCACCCAGGCTGGAGTGTGGTGGTGCCATCTCACCTCATTGCAGCCTTGACCTCCCAGGCTCGGGTGATCTCCCACCTCAGCCTCCCAAGTAGCTGGGACTACAGGCACATGCCACCATGCCCAGCTAATTTTTTGTATTTTTTGTAGAGACAGGGTTTCACCATGTTGCCCAAGCTGGTCTAGAACTCCTGGGCTTAAGCGATCTTCCCACCTCAGCCTCCCAAAGTGCCAGGATTACAGGCATGAGCCACCATGCCTGGCTGAAAATACCAGGTTTTTAAGTATCAGCACTGCCTCTTCAATCTTTTCTATTACTATGTTGTGCTCAGTGGTATTTTTTATTGAATTAGAGCAGTGCTGTTCAATGGAACCTTCTTTGAGGATGGAAATCTTTTATGTCTCTGCTGTGTGGGTATGGTATTAGCTGGGTATGGGGCACCTGCCTATAGTCCCAGCTACTCAAGAGGCTGAGGTGGGAGGATCACTTGAGCCCAGGAGGCCGAGTCTGCAGGTTCGTACCACTGCAATTCAGCCTGTGTGACAGAATGAGACTCAGTCTCAGAATAAAATGAAATAAGGAAATAAAAATGTAATTGTTGAAATAAGAAACTAGTGGATGGATTAGACACGAGAAGAAAGAATTAATTGTTTAGGCGATTCTCTCCAAAAAGTAAGTCAGCATGTCACACAGAGAGACATGAGGATGGATGATAGGGCAGAAGTTGGTGGGCTTGGAGGGGAGAGGAAGATCAGAATGAGGTCCAAAATGTGTCTTAGTGAAATCCCAGGAGGAGATATTAAAATTATATTAGAAAGTGAAAGAAATAGAAGTTTTATTTATTTATTTATTTATTTATTTTGAGAAGGAGTCTCGCTCTGTAGCCCAGGCTCGAGTGCAGTGGCACGATCTGAGCTCACTGCAAGCTCCACCTCCTGGGTTCACGCCATTCTCCTGCCTCAGCTTCCCAAGTAGCTGGGACTACAGGCACCCACCACCACGCCTGGCTAATTTTTTGTATTTTTAGTAGAGATGTGGTTTCACCTTTTTAGTCAGGATGGTCTCAATCTCCTGACCTCATGATCCGCCAGCCTCAGGCTCCTAAAGTGCTGGAATTATACGCATAAGCCACTGCACCCGGCCCAAAAGCTTTGTGTTTTTACAAATATTACACATGTTTCTTGTTTAAGAAAAAAAGTCTTCACAATAACGTAGGAGAATAAGAGAAACATTTTTCCAAAAAAGAGAAGTCATTGTGATTATTTTATCTTATTGGAATGTTGGATAATATAGTCTGCTTCAGTAATCATCAAGCATGCTATGGATTTTCCATTTTCATAGGATCTGTATCTCGGTTAAGGTAATACTGGTAATTTTTGTACTCTATGAAAAATATAGGCCAAAATCATAGACCTTGCATAGAAGCTGGATCATGAAGACAGCTCTGGAGGAACACACAGGTACACACACACAGACACACATATATATAAAGTATACACATATATATATTTTTAAAAGCTTTTAAAGCAAAAGCCGGCCCTGCCCCTCTCCCAGAGTTGGCGGCCTCTCCCCTCTCTTAGGGTGGGTGGGGACAGTGGTTGCCTGGGCAGCTTTCCTTGTGAGCCAAAGGTCCCTCTGGACACATGATGCCTGGCCACGCCCCCTTTCCCTTTCATCTTTCTCATTAACCAATGGGCTTGGAGCATTAAGGCCACGCCCCTATTCTGCCTTCTACTGCATCCCTGGTTACGCCTCCTCTGGCTCAGTCGCACAGCTACCTGGTAGGTGACTGGAGGTGTTGATCAGTGCTTGGTGGGATTTTGCTGATGTGGCCCCAAGCCCGCCTCCCTCCCCACCCTGCGATGGCAGAAGAAACTCGACAAAGTAAATTGGCAGCAGCCAAGAGAAAGGTAAAAACACACCAGGTCACGGACCCCCAACCCAGCCATAGATCCTCTCCAACGACAAGACTGCTGCCAGAGTCCATACCACTCCCGAGGTTCACCGGACTGGGACCCCCACACCGGTGCCTCTGGGCTACCCCCACCAAAGTTTTGTCAGTCAGCCCCACCCCTTCAGCAAGCAGCCCAGTCTCTGCCCTCACCAATCACCCCAGGGTGACTTTGGGCAGGTGAATCCTGGGGCTCCCCGCTCCTTTACTGGGCCCCCATCTCCTGCCACCCCAAGCTTGACCTCCCAGGGCTTTTTGGGCTCACATCTCCAAGGACCTGGGTCCCACAGCCCCAGACCCCACCCTCACCAGTCATCCCTGGGTGACTTTAGGCTGGTGAATCCTGGGGCTCCCTGCTGCTGACTCTTCCCTTCCCTCCTGCTGCCTCAAGGTGGACCTCCCTAGGCTGTGTGCACTGGTGTCTCCAAGGACCTGGGTCCCAGCTCTGTTTTTCCCTCCCCTATCATGGAGCGGTGACTCGGACATCATGCTGATGTGGTCCCTCCCCCTCACCAGGAAGAGTGGAATGTAGTGATGTCACGGTCCATCCAGTAACTGTCATTACTGCAAGACTGGCCTTTGATCTTATGACCCAGTCCCCTAAGCATTGCCACCCCATTTCTGGTTCCTCTTGTCACAGCACAAATTTCCAGCTGGAAGGGGAATGGAGATTGGGACCTAGGAGCAAGAGGTTTCAGGCTGCCTCACTCCCTTAACATAAACATTGACAGCGGGAAAAGCCTACACTTCCCCTGTGAGCTCAAAACATTGACAGTACCTCTGGATGGCAACTGGAGAATGGGTTTGACTTGGTTTGGTTTTCTCCCAGGCTTCTACTTTCCAGAGAGATTTTAACAAATTTTTTGTGAGTTCTCCACCTCACATTCTAATTCTCCATGGTTCTGGGACCAGACTGCCCTTCAGCCAGTGGTCTGTGAAGTGAGATTTGCTCATCTTCTGTGGAATAGATCTTGGGAAACTGAACTTGACAGCTTGAATCTTCCTCATATTATGTAAACCTGGGGTACTTTGAGTGCCACAGGATACATATGGGACATCTTTCTGAAGCATCAGTTTCCATTGATTCTCTTGAGATCAAGAGAAAAAACATTAATGTACTTAGGGATGACAGTCACATAGGTTTCTAAGAGTATACCAGACTTCTCTCTGAAATGAGGCTTGGGTTGTCCTCTTTCTGATAAATTCCCAGATTTAACAGAAAGGCTGCCTTCTGCCATGAGGACACATTGATATAAGAGTTTGAGAGGTACTGGTGCACTTCTTCACACTAACAGACGTGTGAGGATGTATGACTAAACCACATGGCATACAGTTCCTGCCTACTTAATGTTTACTTTTCTACCTCTGCCTCTGGTTTTGGTCCCTGGCAGCTGCTGATTCTTGGTAAAACCCCAGAGTTTGGAGTCAGAAGACTGAGTTTCAAAGTTCGTCTGTCGCCTTTTTCTTTTCTTCTTTTTTTTTCTAGCCATGATATCAATCTCTTTGAGTCACTAAATGATTGTGACAACACCTTGTACAGTTGTTGGTATCATTAAATCAGATGGTGTATAAGAGTATTTTATAAAAACTGTAAAGGAGGATGTGGCTGCAGGGGCTGATAGTTCTCATGAGTATTACTGCTCTTGTTTCTGACAGTTAAAAGAATATTGGCAGAGAAACAGCCCTGGTGTTCCAGCAGGAGCCAAGAGGAACAGGAAAACAAATGGCAGCATCCATGAGACAGCCACTTCTGGTGGTTGCCACTCACCTGGAGATGTGAGTCTTGGCTGACTAGGTTCCTGGGGACAGGGGACCCAAGGGGCACTAGAGGGTAATTGTTAAGATTGTGGATGGACTGTTGGGTACCTGTGAAGAATTCTGGGTTTGAATCCTGCCTCTTTGTCTGCTAGGGATATGAATTAGGGCAAGTTGCTAGACCTCATCGGGCCTCTCTTTTCACATCTGTATAATAGAGGTGGTATTGTTTCACTTCCATTTGTGAAGTTTAAATGAGATTTGTTATTGTTGTTTTTATGTTAATCCCTAGTACATGGCCTGCTGTAAACACCCAGAACACCCAGGATATGGTCATTGCTGTTCGATTTTCCTCATCCCCAGTCTCAAGGGGAAGCCAGGACAATGAGAACAGTCACTTGGCACAGGAGTCACTGAAAGGGCCACAGGGTGCTGTGGTGGGGAGATAAGAACCATGAGAGAAGTTGGCACAAAGGAGTTATGGGACAAAGGGTCCAAGATAGGCAGAAAAGAAAATTGTGCCAGTTGATGGGGAAGAAAAGAAGTCAGAGGGCTTAGATACTGAGTGGGACAGAACATCTTCATGTGCACTCTCATCTCTTGTAGTCAGCAACAGGTATCCACGGGGAGAGCCCTACATCATCTGCTACCCTGAAGGATCTGGAGGTAAGAGGCTCTGGGCAGAGGTGCAGTGACCCTGCAGGCCAGCCCTCCAACCTCCTCCTCCAGGTGGGACGGGGTGCCCCTCTGCCAGCTGAGACAGTCCACACACACCCCAGCCCTAATGATTGCTCTCTCTACCTCTCCCCCCACTCCTCCTCCACCTCCTCCTCTCTGCATGCGCCTCAGAGCCCGTGCCAAGAACTAGCAGTAGTCCCAGACTCGAGGTCCGTAAAAGTCAGTCAACTGAAGAACACCATCAAATCTTTGGTAAGAGTCCACTGGGGTCCCCTGATTCCACGCTGCCAATCCTGGGCTCTAGTTTCCCCTTGGGGCCCTGAAGAAAGGGGACGGCGGCCCCTGGTGCCAAGGGCGAATAGGGAGCTGGGGCGCCCAGGCCTCACCTGGAGGGACCCCGGAGCATGCAGCATGGCTCTTTTTTTGCTGCCCTGTTTGCTGACTCTCCCCTCTCCAGACGCCCCTGCTCGAGTCCTTGCTACACACGCCCTGGGATTGTTGCCTCTTGGGGAAGTGCTAGCCTGACTGGTTGTCAGGGGCCCCGTATTTCTGCCATGACTCAGTCCCTAATTTGCTCTTTGATTCTGGACAAGCCACCTCTCCTTTTTGGGCTCATGTTTCCAGAGGAAGTAGTGAGTATCAAAGGTCTCTGTTAGCTCTCGAGTCTGAGATTTAAAGGCCTCCTAGAATGGAAACCTCAGGGCCAAAGGCTCCTGTCTGTCCTTTTCCGCCCTAAATCTTCTGTGAAGAACCGTACTTGGCCCGTACGTGCTCAGTAAATGTTTATTGAATGAATGCACTTTTCTAAATCACAAGCTGGCAGAAGGGGGGGCCTTTCTCAAACTCCATCTCTAGAGGTTTATGTTACTGTCCTGTCAAGAGATTCCAGATTCAGACCTTGAGTTCTGTGGCTGTGGACAAAAGCCAACAAAGACCCAAATCCTCTGTCCTTGGGAGCTTGAGGAGAGTTTACCAGTTCGAGTTCCCACTGGGTCTGAGAACTTTGCCTTTAAAATCCATTCCTGGCCCCTGCCTACCACTTCCTGCTCTGGGGAATAGAGTTGAGGGGGCCACCCTCCATCACCTTAATGTGACTCTCCCCACAGAAACAACAGAATAAACAAGTGGAACATCAGCTGGAAGAAGTAACATGATTTCTTTGTTTGCTCGCGACATGACTGCTCGGTTTGGGGGACACTCAGATGTAGAGGCCCCGAGTCTCGTCTCACCCACTCCCAGCCTGGGGAAGAAGGCTCACCCCCCAGAGTCCACCCCATCCCCCACAGGGTCCCTGATAACCCGGTCCCATGGGTGGGCCTGTCCCGGGGCAGGGGCAGTGGTGGCATTCTGGGGACATGTCTCTTGCAGTACCATCTCTGCCTCTGCCTGGTTAGATCTCTGTCTTCCTCTTCCTACAGGAAAAGAAAGCAAACAACGAGAAACAGAAAGCCGAAAGGGAGCTAGAGGTGAGTGGACGGTGTGCAGTTTTCTCCTGTCCTCCGGAGAATGTTTCTTTCCTTCTCTTTCAGCACTTGCTTGGCTTTTCTCCCAAAGGTTCAAATCCAGAGATTGAACATACAGAAAGGGAAACTAAATACGGACCTGTACCACACGAAACGTTCTCTCAGATACTTTGAAGGTGGGAATCTGGGTACCCTGTCATCCTTCAACCTGGCACTTTGACAGGTCTTCAGGGGGAGTCCTTTGGGCCCCATCTCAACTCTCTCATTACAGAAGAGTCCAAGGATCTGGCCGTCCGTCTGCAACATTCATTGCAGCGTAAAGGAGAGTTAGAGCGGGCTCTCTCTGCTGTCACCGCCACACAGAAGAAGAAGGCGGAGAGGGTGAGTCCAACCACCTGCCCCGTCCCCTGGGAGCCTGGCTTCGCAGACAGAGGAGTGAGCCTAAAGGTCCCTTCTGCAGGATGGAGTGTCCTGCCCAGAAGGCAGCATGGCCATTTCTCACTGCTTTTTTGTATGGTTGTTAGCGGCAGCTTGGGACTGAGTCAGCTGCTGTGGGTGAGTTGGGGGGCACTCTGGGGAGAGAGCACAGGACGTAGAGCTTGGAGGCCAAGTGCCTGCCATGCCTTTACCTGGCTGTGGTCTTGGCCAAGTCCTCAGTGGGTATTGGGTACTTGTACTGTGAAGGTACAGAAGAGTACCTTTAGTATGTTACCATTTCTGTAGAGAGAGGAAACGTGTGTGTGTGTGTACATATTATGATAATATACATAAAATATGTTTGCAAGTGTTCATAAAAACTCAGGAGAGAGCAACAGGGTGGCTGGGAGATACTTCCCTTCTGTACCTTCTGAGTTTGGGACTATGTGAATGTATTATCCTTTCAAAAAGTGAACAAAAGATTAATTTTCCCCTTCCTAGCTGTGCCCCCACCCCCAGCAAGAAAAATGGGCTTAGAGAATTGGATAGATCTGGGTGTTTAAATCCCAGCTCTGCCTAAGTGATCTTAGGCAAGCACTTAACCTCAAATACTCCATGTTTTTTCATCTACACAATAGAGGTCATCATAGTAACTGTCTCCCATGGTAGTTGCGAGGATTAAATGGGATTGCTAGCATGGTATCTGGTGAAGCACTCCATAAAAGTTCAAACAGTGGTAATAATAACAGTAATAACAATAGCAATATTATCTGATCTCTCTGGGCCTCTGTTAGCCAGCTATAAATTCGATCTCTTTCCCTGTCCCTTCCAACTTTACTGAGTTCTTTAAAAACCAAACCACGGGCTTGGAAATGCCTTGATCTTTACTGACCGAGTTGTATATTGGGCCTAGCCCTGGCCCTTTTAAGGGGCACTGTGTGGAATGGCCCGGCCTCACCAGATTGAAACTTCTCACTCTTCAGCAGTTCTCCAGCCGCAGTAAAGCACGTATGGAGTGGAAGTTAGAGCAGTCCATGCGGGAGCAGGCACTGCTGAAAGCGCAGCTGACACAGGTGAGGTGTTCAGAGGGAGGGATGTGGAAGGAAGATGACCCCAGGTAACCAGGAGCAGGTGAGGACCAGTGACAGCCCTTCCTAATTTCTGTGCCCATTCTTGCAGTTGAAGGAGTCACTTAAAGAAGTCCA
The DNA here is from genome assembly GCF_000001405.40 of Homo sapiens. Lineage (NCBI taxonomy): Eukaryota > Metazoa > Chordata > Mammalia > Primates > Hominidae > Homo > Homo sapiens. Next base: position 517,765 of record NW_011332701.1, read on the forward strand.
GCTAGAGAGGGATGAATATGCTGAACATCTAAAAGGAGAGAGGGCCCGGTGGCAGCAGAGGATGAGAAAAATGTCGCAGGAGGTGAGATCTGACCCTTCAGCCCCCCCACATTAGATAGGTCACTGGATCTTTCTGGGCACCTGTAAAATGGGAATAGTAGAGCCAGAGGTGGTCCTGGGACTGGGCTTTGTGGAGGTGGGGGCAGAGAGGGAGATGGTAGCATGTCCAGCCTCCAGCCCCTCTCTCCAGGGCCCTTTCCCCCTGTGCTTTGGGCAGGTTTGCTCGTTGAAGAAGGAGAAGAAGCATGATAAATATCGGGTAGAGAAGCTGGAGAGGAGCTTGTCCAAACTCAAACACCAGATGGGTAAGATGGGGCTGGCGTGACCTGGCAGCAGGACTGGCATCAGAGGGCTGTGAGGGTGGCTTGGAGTGCCCCAGCGAGGTGGGTGGATGGAAGGGCTTTGAGGCAGAGGGAAAGAGGTCTGTGCCAGGAGACGGCAAGTCTTGTCATCTCAATGAGCCTCAGTGTCCCCATCAGCAAAGAGGGCCCGTTGTCAGCCACCCGCAGTGCTCTTTCTCTGAAAGTGCTTTGGAAGACTGGCTACCATCTGGGTGCGAGGAATCATTAGCAGTGAGGCTAAGTTTGAGGAGCCGGAGAGGAGCTGTGCGCCAAGAGGAGGGTTTTTTCTTTTCTTTTCTTTTTTTTTTTTTTTTTTGGAATCCAGAGGCTCTTATTGTCTGCTTCCTTTCTCAGCTGAACCTCTGCCCCCGGAGCCCCCAGCAGTGCCCTCTGAGGTGGAGCTGCAGCACCTGAGGAAGGAACTAGAGAGAGTGGCAGGAGAGCTCCAGGCCCAGGTGGAGTACAATCAGCGCATAAGTCTCCTGAATGAGGGGCAAAAGGAGAGGCTTCGGGAGCAGGAGGAGAGGCTTCAGGAGCAGCAGGAGAGGCTTCCAGAGCAGGAGGAGAGGCTTCAGCAGCTGGCCGAGCCACAGAACAGCTTCAAGGAGCTGGTGCGTTGCCCCAGCTGGGGAGCCTGCCCTCCTCCCTAGCCCTCCAGGCCTTTGTTTCCCCACCTATAAAATGGGGCAGTGTAGCCCTCAAGTGAAATGTTACTCCTAAAGGCACCTGTGAGCCAGAGCCCTGCTCTGGTGGCTGTGGGAGACAGGGGATGATTTTTCTAACCTGCCTCCACCCTTCCCGGTGCCATGGGAGGCAGTCACCAAGTTCTGGGGTCTCCAGCTGCAGTGGGTGGCTGCTGATTGCTTCTCTCTGTCCAGAACAATGAGAACAAGAGCGTACTACAGTTGGAGCAGCAAGTAAAGGAGCTGCAGGAGAAGCTAGGCAAGGTGAAGGAGACGGTAACCTCCACCCCATCCAAGAAGGTCTGGGAGGTGGGTGGGCACCAGCCTCTGGGGAGGGGAGGTGCCAGGCCAGCGGTAGCTCCAGCCCGGGGGCAGGTGACCCCAGCACCCTCCAGGGCAGTCCTGTGGCTGTTTCTTGCTTCCTGCCCTCTGATTTTAGAGGTGGGTAGCCCTGGGCTCCTCCCAGGTCTGGACATCATCATTCCAGCTAGAGACATGGAGCCCCCCCAATCACAGGGGAAGAGACAGAGTGGTATAACAGTCTTCTTATGCCAGATGCGGTGGCTTACGCCTATAGTGCCAACACTTTGGGAGGCTGAGGCAGGAGAATCACTTGAGGTTTGGAGTTTGAGATCAGCCTGGCCAACATGGTAAAACCTCATCTCTACTAAAATTACAAAAACAAAAAACAAAAAAAGAAAGAAAAATTAGTGGGGCATGGTGGTGGCGCATGCCTGTAATCCCACCTACTCAGGAGGCTGAGGCACGAGAATTGCTTGAGCCCAGGAGGTGGAGGTTGCAGTGAGCTGAGATTGCACCACTGCACTCCTGCCTGGGCCACAGAGTGACACTCTGTCTCAAAACAAAACAAAAAGACTCCTTAGATTAAAACTGGATTCCAGCCTCAGTTCCACTGGTCACCATTCAAGTACTTCGCATCTCTAGGTCTCTGTTTCTTTAACTTCAAAAGGAAGTTAGCATTTTCCTTACAGAGGTGCTGAGGATTAAATGAGATAATACATGGGAAGCATTAGGCCTGTAGCACATTTAGCAGATGGTGGTTGGCTCCCATACTTTTCTACCATTCTGTGGCCTACAGTTGAAATGGTGGGAAGAGGACATGAGATTTGAGGCTGGGGAAGGAGGCATGGGGTTCTAGGAAAGCAAGGCAGTCACTTAGGCCTGAAGTAAGGGGCCAGGGGCCTGGGCAGGCGACAGAGCCCCACAGTGCCCTCGCTACCCTATTAATGGGCCCAGAATCTGCAAACCAGCCACCACGTGCCCTCACACCCAGGGTCTTCCTGCAGGTGGAGCTGAAGAGCCAAGAGGCTCAGAGTCTGCAGCAGCAGCCAGACCATTACCTGGGTCACCTGCAGCAGTACGTGGCCACCTATCAGCAGCAGGTGGCCGCCTATCAGCAGCTGACCTGTGAGAAGGAGGCGCTGTACAGGCAGTGACTGCAGCAGACCCAGCTAATGAACCAGTTGCAGCAGCAGGAAGCTTGGGGCAAAGCGGTGGCCGAGATGGCCTGCCAAAAGTTGCAGGAGACCCAGGGGAGGGAGCTGCCGAGGATGGGGCTGTGAGGGGGACGACCTGGCAAACTCTGTGCCTTCTCACTCTTTCCTGGCCCCTTAGGAGCGTCTGGAAGCTGCCAGCCAGCAGAACCAGCAGCTAACGGCCCAGTTGAGCCTCATGGCTCTCCCTGGGGAAGGTACGGGAGACCGCTCAGAGGAAGAGGAGAGAGCCCCAGGAGGAAGGGGGGACTGCTAGCAGCATAGTATTCAGGAGTTGGAAGAGACCTTTAGAACAGCTGGTCATTATACTAACCGGGTGCCTGCACTAAGTTCAGCATCAATATGGTGACCTCCTGTGAGCGGGGGGCCACCAAGTTGCCTAAGGATGGCTGAACTGGCCGAGGTCAGAAAGGGAGCAGGTCAGAACTCCCGCACCGACCAGTAGTGGGAATGTGCCTGGGCAGTATAGCAAGATCTTGGTTCTTCAAAGTAAAAATAAATAACAGCAGCTCATTCCTCTCTGGGGAGGGCCTGGCTCAGGGTTACACAATGAGGGTGGAGGCAGAGGTGGGCCCACAATACTTCCCTTGTTGAGTTGTCTGAGGACCCCTCTGGCCACCACCCCCACCCCCAGGAGATGGAGGAGGACATCTGGACAGTGAGGGGGAGGAGGCACCTCGGCCCATTCCTAGCATCCCACAGGACCTGGAGAGCAGGGAGGCCATGGTGAGCCTGACTCCACCTGAACCCATTTTGCCTCCTTCCTCTGTGGTCCCTCCAAGACCCCTTTATGCTCTTCGTTTCCCTGCCTTCTGATTTCTCTGGACCCTCACCCCTTCTGGGAGCCAGTGGTCAGACACCATTTCACCTGTGACCAACATGTGCAGTCTCTGGGGCCCCAAGGGAAGGGGCTGCGCTCCACCTCTCTGCCCCATTTGTTCTGTGTATGCCCCTGCAAGAATGCTCACATCTTGCCCTCAGGTGGCATTTTTCAAGTCCGCTGGAGCTAGTGCCCAGGAGAAGCAGGCACAGTTACAAGAGCAGGTGAAAGAGCAGAGGGTGTGCTGCCAGCGCCTGGCTCACCCGGTGGCCTCGGCCCAGAAGGAGCCAGAGGCAGCCAGAGGCCCTGGAGCCCCAGGGCCTGGGGGCGAGTCTGTGAGTGGGGAGACCCACCGGGCCCTGCAGGAAGTCACGGAGAAGCTGGCCCATGCCGGAACTCACCTCCGCCTTCTCCATGACTTGAAAATGCCACCTGAGGGCAGGTCGCTGGCGAGATGTGACCCCATTATTTTGGCTCCAGAGCGGCTTTATGGACCACCTGGAGGAGAAGGCAGACCTGAGTGAGCTGGTGGAGAAAGAAGAACTTGGATTCTTCCAGTACTACAGAGAGAGATGCCATCAGTGAGTGGGAGGCCAGGGCATGGCAGGGGGAGCTGCAGGGCTGTTGGAGGGGCCCCAGCGTCTGAGCCCTGTCCTCCCGCAGGAAAGTTTATCACCCTATAACAAAGCCAGGGGGCAGTGCCAAAGATGCAGCACCGGGAGGAGGACACCATCAGGCTGGCCCTGGACAGGGAGGAGATGAAGGTAGAGTGTGCAACATCTCTGCGGGGGTGGGGGTGGCTGTGACGGTGAGCGCTGGCAGCAGCGTGACAGCTGAGCACCCCTCCCTCCAGGTGAAGCTGCTGGAGCTGCAGGAGATGGTGTTGCAGCTGGTGGCGACTACAAGGGACACAGCAAATTCTTGGTGACTGCCCAGAACCCTGCTCATGAGCCCAGTCCAGGAGCCCCAGCCCCCCAGGAGCTTGGGGCTGCCCACAAGCATGGTGGTGAGTAGAGCCCTCAGGCGGGGTGGGCAGGCAGGAGCAGGGGGGCTCTCACTGAGCTCAGATCCCCGCCTCCCTCTCTCCAAAGATCTTTGTGAGGTGAGCCTCACTGACAGCGTGGAGCCTGTGCAAGGAGAGGCCAGGGAGGGTTCTCCCCACGACAACCCTACTGCACAGCCGATCGTGCAGGACCACCAGGAGCACCCAGGCTTGGGCAGCAACTGCTGTGTGCCATTCTTTTGCTGGGCTTGGCTGCCAAGAAGAAGGAGATAAACATCACCATCGTCAAAGAGCTGCTGAAGAAATTTTTAAAAAAGAAACAAAGTTATGGGGTTAATCTCCTACACAATTCATTTACTTCGTTTGAATGTTATAGCCACTTATGATTATTTGTGTTTCTAATTTATAGTTTAAGTTTATTTGTAAATAGTTAAAAGAGAGTGGGTCTCTGTGGCTTTCACTGATGTTCACTCTGGCATACTTTCGCAATTTTCTTTTTCAATTTCATAATTGTAGGTCATTAGCATGCATATTGAGTTTGCCCTTACGTGGTGGGAGTTCAAACACACAAAGACCCACTATTTGCACAAAACTATTCTTGCTGGTTTGGAATAGGCTGCCATGTGTTTTTAATGTTATTGCAGCATGTATATTCATTACAGAATTCAGATAAAATGTGCCTATGTTCTGCTGTTGTTTGATCTAATCTTAATCACAGTGAGCTCTTCATTAGCACAATATGTGGTTTGCCCCAAGTGTGCACTATTTAATACTTTGTAATATGCCACCAAGAGTACTGACATTTAGAGTTGTTTAAAGGCCGAGAACTGGAAACAGCCTTTCCCTCATTTTCTGTGTATTGGTGATGGGAGTAATAACATTTTGGGGGAGCTTTTTAAATTTCACAGAAGAGGAAAGTTGCCTGCTCTGGCAGGTATGTGCAAGATAGAGTGTGTTTCATTTGTTCTGTTGCCAAGAATTAGTGCTGTACTATTGTAGTTCCTTTAGGATTTGTATGTGCTCTGGGCTCATGAAGATATTGCATCATGAGCTTCAGCAGTTGTACTCTTTTTTGATGACCTAAAAAGGGCTTATTTCTGAGGAATGAAAGGTTCCCATCATTGACTACGGATGTGGAAAACCTTTCCTAGCTTAGAGCATTTGTATCTATATTTTAAAGTCAGAGTTCATGTTACCTGTTTTAATCACATGACTGCATGTCCCAGTACACAAAAGGGCACTGGTTGGCATTCTTCTTAATGTATTTAGTAAAGATCAGAAGAAATCCTTTAAGAGTTCAAATGTCCCTGGAACAGGCATACAGGCTCTAGTCAAGAATGAATTAGAGTGAAGGAAAGCTGTGTGACACCTGGCATTCCTCTGTTCATGGAGCTTCTTTGAGGCTTGAAGATTGATTTTACCATCTAGACCACTCTGCCTATTCTTCAACCACCTTGGTTACTTTGACATAGGAATTGACTTCTTTTCCTTGAATGGAAAACACTTTGAAATAATAATAAACATTGTTATAAACTAATATATGTGAGAGTGCTTAGTTGAAACAAAAAGGAGTTTTAGTAGACAGTATTATACTATCTTTGAAAATCAAGGAGAAGTTTATGCAACTTAAAATGTGTACAAACTGCAGTGCAATCTACTGTTGGTGAATGTCAGTGTATTATCAGGAAACATGTCTATACAATCACAGAGTTATATTTCCTCACAAACTTCTTTGTGAAGAGTGAAATGTGTTTCTGTACCTCTGGGTTTCACTTACGGGCATATTTTGTGCAGTATTTATGTGATTGTGCCTATGCATGATGAATGAATGAATTTCAGTTGTACATTGCCTAAATCATAACTTGATGATGCTTGGGAAAGACTCAACAGTTAAAACTTCATGAAGTTCTAATGTCTGTGTTCCAAAACACATCACATTATTAGGATGTAGGGAGATATGTATGTGTGCTCCCTGGGGTGGGGATTTCTAGTTACTAGACCATCTCCATTTTTAGCATTTGGCATCCTCATGATACTTTTATAAATACGACATTAACAGGAGAGCAGCAGTACGATTTTGCCGATGGAATAACAGATTTGCCGGCAATCACTGAAAGAGTGCAAACATCGGGTCCTTGTGACTTCAACGGACTCTTCCAAATTGTATGAATGTATCAATGTATTAGATAAACCCAGTTTCAGAATGATAAAGAAAAAATGTTAGACCAAATAATGCGGCTAGTTAACAGTGGTACGATTTCTCGCCCGTGGCTTTAAAATGCACTTAAAGTCCTGTCCTTGCCTTTTATTTTCTGAACTTGATGTTTTTGCATTCTTTGAGTTCAGTTTAAAGACAACTACGAGCATCTGTAACCAATCTGACAATAATGTGTTCATCAGGTGCCTGTGGATTAAATCACATACTGGCATATTTAAGCTGAATGTCAATCTGGAAAATAAATTGACTGTATTAACGGAAATACCACTCTTTGTGTAGATATTTGTCGTATATTGAAGAAAAAGCTAAAAAGAATGGAAATCGCATGACTATAACTTAAGTCTTTCTTCAAAGTGCATGCAGTCTTTTGCGATACCTCATTCAGCCAAGTATTGGTATTCTTCCTCATTCGGTATAAGGCAGCTTTCAATTTGCTTAGAGGGCAACATTGGAAGGTTAGAGTTCATCAGAAACAGAATTCTAAAATGTGAGTTCAATTCAATAAATTTGAATTTCTGTAGGAAGAATCAAATCACCGATTTAAAGATTGCAATATATAATAATCATTTTTAAAGTATTGGATTAAATCTGATAGGTTTTCCAGAAATGAACAAAAATCAGCTCTAAAACCAAAGCTGATTTTTAGAAAATTTGAAAATGTAAATCAGCCCTATCCATACTATAGTTTCTCTAAAACTTTATCTGAAAGAGTCATTTTAAAATAACTATTAAACAATGTAACTGCTATCTTAATGTTCTGAAATAAGTTAAAACATTTTAAAATATGAATACTGTAAAGGAAATAAACGGTGGGAAGGAAAAGTAGAGAAAGAAATGCCAATTCCAGTCCAAAGCTTTATTTGCCAAGTTTTCTTAGAATGAATTTTACCAATTTATGAATTCTTGTAAGCGGAATGTAAAACGGAAATACTGAAAGACTTTTGCCTAAAGTGGCATTATTGACTGCTGGTGTGATGCTACTGTAATGTAATAAATTATTAAGTTGTTGCAAAGTGCTGTTTTTGCCTTAAAATTTTATTCTGTGTGTCTTCAAAAATATAGTATTAAAGGTATTGATACTGTGCAAATGCTGGGCATGCTTGGCATGAGATAATGTTTCATTTTTACAAAATTGTAATATAACTATGCAAGGGTTTATTAAAAGAACACAAAATAAAAAAGTTATGGGATTAACAAAAGTTATGGGGTGAAAAAGTTATGGGATAAAAAATGTAAAAAAGTTGTGGCAAAAAAATCTTGTGACCAAAAAGTAGAAGAAAGTTTTATGAAAAGTTACCAAAAAAAGTTATGAAAAAGAAGTTATGGGATTTAAAAAAAAAGGCATGGGATAAAAATAAAAATTAAAATTAAAAGCAGGCCCCTGTCAGCAAAGCCTGGAGAAGTGGGGCCGGGGTCTCCACCACCACACTGTCCCTATCTCCCCTTCCCAGTCACCCCTTTACAATTAGGGTAGCAGGACAAGACCTCTGTCTAACGAGGAAAGACAAACAGACCCTTTGCCACCTTGACCAGAGCTGAGTCCTTAAATTTCTGGATGATATTGTTATTTAAGAGCCAGAGGCTGGTGGAGTTGGTTTGTTTGGAGGAGGCCTCATGGCCTCCTTACTCTCACCATAGCAACTTTTCCCTCAGTGGGGGCTCCAATCTTCTTATTCAGAGAGGTAGCTGAGGCAGGACAGTGGGGCTAACTGTGGACCAGGCGAAGGCACGGGCTGCTGGGGTGGCCCCCCTTCCCCGGTGTATATATTGTGTCTGTGTAAGGTTTTGTATATTCCAGAGGGTAGGGCCACCCCTGTATCATACCTAGCGGTGGTTGGAGGTGGCACATGGGGAGGAGGTTCTAATAATTATTTGTGGCTGGGAAACTTACTTATTGCTAGCATAGGACAGAGGAAGAAGGCAGGGATGGGGTCATGGCTTCCCAGTGGTGTGATCACAGTTCACTGCAACCTCCAACTCTCATGCTCAAGTGATCCTCCCACCTCAGCCTCCCAGGTAGCTGGGAGTATAAGCATGCACTACTATGCCTGGCTAATTTTTAAATTTTTTGTAGAGAAAAGGTCTTGCTATGTTGCCCATGCTGGTCTTGAACTCCTGGGCTCAAGCGATTCTCCCATCTTGGCCTCCCAAAGCACTGGGGTTACAGGCATGAGACATTGCTCCTGTCCATAAGATTTTCTCTTTATTACTGTTTTGTTGTTGGTGGTGGTGTTTTGTTTTGTTTTTATTTTTTGACAGAGTCTCGGTCTGTTGCCTAAGCTGGAGTGCAGTGGTGCAATCTCTGCTCACTGCAACCTCCGCCTCCTGGTTCAAGCAATTCTTATGCCTCAGCCTCCCGAGTACCTGGGGTTATAGGCATAAGCCACTGCGCCTGGCTAATTTTTGGATTTTTAGTAGAGACAGAGTTTTGCCATGTTGGCCAGATTGGTCTTCAACTCCTGGCCTTAAGCAATCCGCCCTCCTCAGCCTCCCAAAGTGCTGGGATTACAGGTGTGAGCCACTGCTCCTGGCTAAGATCCCATCTCTATTTAAATAAAAAAAGAAAATTCAGAATCTATGGAACACAGAACACCAAAGGCCAGTTATTTACCTCTCTGAGGTAATCTGTGTAAACAATTTGATATATATCCTTTCAAGTTCATACTTGCTATGCATACATATATATATACACACATACATTGACATATTCCCCCTTCCCTGCTGTCATGCTATTAGTCTTCTTTTTTTTGTAGAAATTGGACCAACTCTATGTTCTTTGCTGGCCCGTATTTCTCCTATTCAGTGATGTGTTATGAATATCTGTTTAAGTCAATGTATGCAACTCTTTAATATCATTTTAAAAGGTTACGACATACGATCATATGAAGGCATTAGAATTTATTCCAACAGTTCCCTTTTGCACATTTAATAATTTCCATTGATTTGCCAGGAAGAACATTCTCGTGTCATGGCTAAATCCTTTTGTATGGACATCCTTAATTATTCCCTTAAGATAAACTTTTAAATAAAGTTGCTAGATTAGTCTCGTTTCTTAAGTTCTTTTTTGGTAGTTTATATGTAACACTGTAGTTTTATATGTACTTACAAATACCTATAGTGCCAGTAGAAAATGGGATAAAATTAAACTCTTTCACATATGCCAAATATATTTTGATTTAGCGCTTTATTAAGTGCATGATTACAGTCTCTGTATCTTTTGATTTACCTTTCTATCTTTACAATTTTCAGCCGAGATACTTAGAGGTCACATGATAAATTAAGGTTTTCTTTTTTTAATAATCTCCATCTTTCTAAATATGGTGAGTCACAGTCAGCTATTTTTGGATTGTTGAAAGCTGTGACTGTTCTAAATCGGAGCCCAGAAATCACGCCACTTACCAAATATGCTTTGTCTTCCAACATCAGAGTGTCTGGTAGAAGGTGACTGTTCTTGGAATTTAAAAAATCTGAACAGGACAAGACAAGAATCTGGACACTTTTTCTGTTTCTGATAATATGATTGAGTAGGTAGACACGCTGGATAATCCTTGCAAAGACATACTTGAACTTCCCAAAAAAAAAAAAATAAAATCCAGAATCTCTAAGAATGAAGATGGAGTGAAAATCAGAAGGGCTGCTGAGAGAATAATGGGGAAGCAGCCCCAGTTATCAAGGGACATGTCCATGTGTTCAATAGAAAGTTTCAGATGTAAAAAAAAGTTGAGAAAAATAATATATATATTATATATAATAAATGATATAATTGCCCTACATATACACATCATCAACAATTTTTCATTCATGGTATGGACAGTTTTTTTTTTTGGTTGCTTTTTGTTTGTTTGTTTGTTTTTAAAGGTGGGATTTTGCTGTGGTTGCCCAGGCTGGAGTGCAGTGGCATGATCTTGGCTCACTGCAACTTCCACCTCCCAGGTTCAAGCGATTCTCCTGCCTCAGCTTCCCGAGTAGCTGGGATTACAGGCACCCGGCACCACATCCGGCTAATTGTTGTATTTTTAGTAGAGATGGCGTTTCACCACGTTGGCCAGGCTGGTCTTGAACTCCTGACCTCAGGTGATCCACCTGCCTCGGTCTCCCAAAGTGCTGAGACTACAGGCGTGAGCCACCACACCTGGCCACAGCCAGTTTTGTTTCATTTATATTCCCACTTCATTTATATACATTCCTTCTTCCTCTGAATTATTTTGAAGTAAAACCTATACATCCTATCATTTTTAATTACCTTATATGTATCTGTAGAAGACAAGGAATTCTTAAAAATAAATATATTCACAATGCCATTAAATATCAAAAAATTAATATTCTGAAAATAGCCACAAATCCAGAGTTGACATTTTGTTGACTTTCTCATAGGTGATTTTTTTTCTAGTTTATCTATTTCAATCAGATAACTGTTTGCTCATATTTACATTCCTTACTGAACAATGTCTAAACTTAAACTGACATAAAATGGAGATGATCTTCTAACCAGATGCTTAGTGTAAGAAAAAACTTCAAACTGCAAGAGGAGTCCCTCCAAATACAGAAAGGACCAGTATTTTAAGAGGTATGTTAACTAAAATGTGGCAATGTAAGGAGCAAAGCAGGAAGAACCTTTAAGTCCTAAACTTACAAGTCAATTTCATAGTCAGTTTCCCTGGTCCTTCCACAACAACCTCCCCCATCTGTTTTCTCTACAATGGAGGTAACAATAGTAGCTATTCCAGAGCAGGAAAAGGCTTAGAGCAGTGCTAGAAGAGGGTCGTGGCTATATAAAGTTTAGCTATTTGTATATTGTAACAAACTAACTTTTTTTGGTCAATAATAGATTTCTGTTGGAAAAGTAGCAGCCTCCTGTCTGGGGACACCTGCAGTTCCACTAAGTGAACATTGGTGTCTGCTAACCTTTGCCTCTATTTCTCTCAATATACTGTGAAGCTGTTCCTGGATTTAGCAATTTTATATACTTCTTTTTATTATTCTTTTTTTCCTTTCCCTTTTCCTGAGACACAGTCCTGCTCTGTCACCCAGTCTGGACTGCAGCAGCGCCATCATGGCTCACTGCCACCTCCACCCCGGGCTCAAGCAATCCTCCTGCATCAGCCTTCAGAGTAGCTGGGACTACCCAGGGGGGCCCACCAGGTCTGGCTAATCTTTGTGGTTTTTGTTTTGTTTTTCCGTTAAGGGACTGGGTTTCCGGCCAGGCACAGTGACTCACGCCTGCAATCGCACCACCCCTGGAGGCCGAGGCCGGCGGATCTCCCCAGGTAAGGAGCAGGAGACCAGCCCGACCAACATGGAGAAACCCCATCTCAACCTAAATAAATAAATAAATAAATAAATAAATAAATAAATAAATAAAAGTAGCCAGGCTTGGTGGCTCACGCCCTTGATCCCAGCCACTCAGGAGGCTGAAGCAGGAGAATCACCCAAACCCGGGAGGCGGAGGCCCGGCGAGCCGAGACCGCGCCACTGCACTCCAGCCTGGGCAACAAGAGGGAAACTCCGTCTCAAAAAAAAAAAACAGGTTTCACCATGTTGCCCAAGCGGGTCTGGATCTCCTAGGCTCAAGCGATTTGCCACACTCAGCCGTCCAAAATCCTAGGATCACAAGCGTGAGCCATGACGCCAGGCCGATCTATTCCTGTCTGATTAAAAATTGGGCCGGTTGCGGTGGTTCACGCCTGCGATCCCAGCACCCCGGGAGGCTGAGGCGGGCGGATAACCTGAGGTCAGATTGAGGCCAGCCTGAGTAACATGGAGAAACCCCATCTCTACCAAAAAAAAAAAAAAAAAATTAGCAGGGCATGGTGGCTCACGCTTGCAATCCCAGCCACTCGGGAGGCTGAGCCAGGAGAACCACCCAAACCCGGGAGGCTGAGGCTGCGGGGAGCTGAGACCCTGCCACTGCACTCCAGCCTGGGCAACAAGAGTGAAACTCCCTCTCAAAAAAAAAAAAAGAGAGAGAGAGAGAGACTGAGTTTCACCATGTTGCCCAGGCCGGCGTGTAACTCCTAGGCTCAAGGGATCCGCCGCGCTCGGCCATCGGAAGTCCTGGGATCACAAGCATGAGCCGCCACGCCAGGCCCATCTGTTCCTTTCTGATTAATAAATTGCGCCCGGCGCGGTGGCTCCCTCCTGCAACCCCACCACCCTGGGAGGCCGAGGCGGGCGGATCACCTGAGGTCGGGAGTTTGAGACCAGCCTGACCAACATGGAGAAACCCGTCTCTACCAAAAAAGAAAAAAAAATAAGCTGGGCATGGTGGCTCACGCCTGCAATCCCACCACCCCGGGAGGCCGAAGCAGACGGGTAATCTGAGGTCAGGAGTTTGAGACTACCCTGACGAAGGGAGAAACCCCGTCTATACCAAAAAAAAAAAAAAAATACAAAAAGAGCCAGGCATGTTGGCTCATGCCTGCAATCTCAGCCACTTGGTAAGCTGAGGCAGGAGAACCACCCAAATCCGGGAAGCGGAGGCAGCGGGGAGCTGAGACCGCGCCACTGCACTCCAACCGGGCAACAAGAGTGAAACTGCCGCAAAAAAAAAAAAAAAAAAAGAGAGAGCGGGTTTCACCGTGTTGCCCCGGCCTGTCTGGAATTCCTAGGCTCAAGGGATCCCCGGCCCTATTCCTTTCTGATTTATAGATTAGGCCTTGCGCGCTGGCTCACGCTTGCAATCCCAGCACCTCCGGACGCCGAGGCGGGCGGATAACCTGAGGTGGGAAGTTTGAGACCAGCCTTATGAACATGGAGAAACCCCATCTCCAACAATAAAAACAAAAACAAACAAAAAACAAAATGAGCTGGGCATGGTGGCTCACGCGTGCAATCCCAGCCACTCGGGAGGCTGTGGCAGGAGAACCACCCAAACCCTGGAGGCGGAGGCCCGTTGAGCCAAGACCTCACCACTGCACTCCAGCCTGGGCAACAAGAGCGAATCTCCGCCTCAAAACAAACAAAAAGTGACCAGGTTTCACCATGTTACCCAGGCAGGTCTGGAACTCCTAGGCTCAAGCGATCCGCCGCGCTTGCCGTCCAAATTCCTGGGATCACAAGCGTGAGCCACCATGCCAGGCCGATCTAGTCCTTTATGATTAATAAACTGGACCGGGCGCGCTGGCTCACGCCTGCAATCCCAGCATCCCCAGAGGCCGAGGAGGCGGGCAGATAACCTGAGGTCGGGAGTTTGAGACCAGCCTGATGAATATGGAGAAACCCTGCCTGTACCCCCCCCGCCAAAAAAAAGAGAGACCGGGTTTCACCATGTTGCCCAAGCCGGTGTGGAACTCCTAGGCTCAAGTGATCCCCAGCGCTCGGCCGTCCGACGTCCTGGGATCACAAGCGTGAACCACCACGCCAGGCTGATCTATTCTTTTCTGATTAATCAATTGGGCCTTGCGCGCTGGCTCACGCCTGCAATCCCAGCATCCCCGGAAGCCAAGGCAGGCGGATAACCTGAGGTCCTGAGTTTGAGACCAGCCTGACCAACAGGGAGAAACCCTGTGTGTACCAAAAAAAAAAAAAAAGAAAATTAGCCGGGCATGGTGGCTCACACCTGCAATCTCAGCCACTAGGGAGGCTGAGGCAGGAGAACCACCCAAACCCAAGAGGTGGAGGTGGCAGGGAGCCGAGACTGCACCACTGCACTCCAGCCTGGGCAACAAGAGCAAAACTCTGCCTCCAAAAAAACAAAAAAAAGAGAGAGACCGAGTTCCACCATGTTGCCCAGGCCAGTCTGGATCTCCTAGGCTCAAGTGATCCCCAGTGCTCCATCATCCAAAGTCCCTGGATCACAAGCGTGAGCCACCACGCCAGGCCGATCTATTCCTCTCTGATTAATAAATTAGGCGGGGTGCAGTGGCTCACACCTGCAGTCCTGTAGAGGGATTTTTAAGGAATTAGATAGACTCATGGGGTTTAGGAGGACATTTATTAATTATTTAGGTGCACCGGCCCAGTCGGATTAACATTTAAAGGATTGAGCACTGAACCAAGAGTTACCTTTCAAGCATTATGTGGGGCGAAGGGGGAGATCTGTGCAGGGAGAAGCATATTATAGAAGCGAGAAACAAAGATTGTTATTTAATTGAAACATGCATTATATTATTTTTTACTATTTAAGGAAAAATATGTTTTGTGACTTGAGTTTATTTGTTTAGTGACCTTGTAGTTGCACAGTTAAGGAATTAGTCGGGCATGGTGGCTCACACCGCAATCCCAGCCACTCGGGAGGCTTTGGCAGGAGAACCACCCAAACCCCGGAGACGGAGGTCTGGCAAGCTGAGACCTCGCCACTGCACTCCAGCCTGGACAGCAAGAGCAAATTTCCCCCTAAAAAAAAATATATATATATGACTGGGTTTCACCATGTTGTCCAGGCCGGTCTGGAACTCCTAGGCTCAAGCAATCTGGCTCTGGATGTCTTTAACTTGTGATTGAAAGCGTATTAAGATGTTGGGTGTATCAACAGTCCGGAGGACAAGAAGGAAAATCCTGGCATGTGAAATATTCTGCAACAAGAAAAGCAATCGGAGAGGTGACTACATTCACTGCAGCTGTTTTGCCCTCTTCTTCCCCACCCGCCCCCCCCGTCTCTTTCCTGGAAGTTCCCTAGTAAGAAGTAAAAGAGATAATGGCTTTCGAGTGCATGTTTTTCCTGGAATTGGAAGGAATTTTAACAAAGGAGCCCTTCACAATGAAACCCCCCCACACCCCTGCTTTTCACCTGAAGTAGGACAAGATCGTCGCCCCCACCATCATTCTCCACGTGACCCCAGGTGGGGATGGGTAGTGGACACTACTGATAAGCTCTTAGCAATTTCCCTATTTGTGGACTCTGAAGCTCCTTAGCTTGACAACTGATGCATAAGTTTTCTTTTGTGGGATAAGAATAGGAGAATAGGTGACCTTTTCCCCCTGAATTCCCATCCTGGGGCCAGGGAAGAGAGCCCAGGATCCCTTCTCTTGGCCTTCACACTGTGGGAAAGAGTACCTAGAGTTAAAAGCCTGATAAATGCCCTCGAACAGCTTTGAAAATCACAAGGTCAGGAGATCGAGGCCATCCTGCCTAACACGGTCAAACCCGTCTCTACTAAAAAAAAAAAAAAAAAATACAAAAAATTAGCCGGGCATGGTGGTGGGCGCCTGTAGTCCCAGCTACCGGGGAGGCTGAGGCAGGAGAATGGTGTGAACCCGGGAGGGGGACCTTGCAGTGAGCTGAGATCGAACCACTGCACTCCAGCCTGGGCGACAGAGCGAGACTCAGTCTTAAAAACAAACAAACAAAAAAAAAAAAAAAGAAAAGAAAAGAAAAAAGAAAATCACTCGGCGTGAGCGCTTGCCCCCTGAACAAATGTCCAAGTGTATCACTATGGGAATGCCTCTTGGGTCACAGACACAGAGGTAATTCTCTTTGTAAATAGATTCATGTCATTTGTCTCGTTTCTGAACAGTTTCAAAAGAATTATTTGGTGAAGTCAGTTTCCTAGGAGAATCCATCACATTTCCCCAGAGGTATTTCCACCCTTGCAAACCATTAGATAAAGAACAGGTCACGCACAGTGGCTCACACCTGTAATCCCAGCACTTTGAGAGGCCAGGCGGGTGGATCATGAGGTTAGCGGATCGAGACCATCCTGGCTAACAGTGTGAAACCCCGTCTCTACTAAAAATACAAACAATTAGCCAGGTGTGGTGGCAGGTGCCTGTAGTCCTAGTTACTCAGGAGGCTGAGGCAGGAGAATGGCATGAACCTCGGAGACGGAGCTTGCAGTGAGCCAAGATTGCGCTACTGCACTCCAGCCTGGGCGACAGAGTGAGACTTTGTCTAAAAAAATAAAAAAACAAAAACACGTAAAGAACAAATTAGTCCTCGTGGTAGGCCACCCCCACCCCATCTCCAGTTCACCACTTCAATCATACGACTTTCTCAGTGGACTTGAAGCCAAGCTTTCACATCAGAGCCCTCCAACCAAGAGCCTGACTGTATAACTCCTAAGAACAATCAAGTAAGAATGTTTTTCTTTCCATTCCTCACATCTGGTATCTGTTGCCTTGTGAATAGGGTGCCCATCAGCAGGAAGGGTTAGAACTAGGGTAAGTGTGTAGGGAGCAAGGCTTGAAAAGAAACAGATGAGGAAAGAGTAGCAAAATCAAGACTGTCCCAGGAAGTGAGTGTCAGTCAAAGGTTTTGAAATCCCTCAAATAGTTACTTCTGCTGTCTTGGTTTTGTCCACCTCCCTTCTTTTTTCACATACCTGCCACCCTAAAAAGTAATACCTATGCCTAACATAGAGCTAACCAGTTAAAGAACTGCTAGTAACTTTAGAAAAGAGTCCCTTTCCCATCAGAATCAGAACAAAATCTTTTTAAAAAAATTATTTTTGGCCAGGCATGGTTGTTCACACCTGTAATCCCGGCACTTTGGGGGGCTGAGGTGGGCGGATCACTTGAGGTCAGGAGTTCAAGACCAGCCTAACCAACATGGTGAAACCATGTCTCTGCTAAAAATACAAAAATCAGCCGGGTGTAGTGGCATATGCCTGTAATCCCAGCTACTCGGGAGGCTGAGGCATGAGAATCACTTGAACCTGGAGGCAGAGGGTGCAGTGAGCCAATATCGTGCCACTGCACTCCAGCCTGGGTGACACAGCGAGACTCTGTCTCAAAAAAAAAACAAAAACATATATATATATATATATATATAAATATATATATATATAAATATATATACATATAATTTTTTCAGGCAGGGGCAATGGCTTATGCCTGCAATTTTAACACTTTGGGAGGCAGAGGTGGGAGGATCATTTTACCTAGGAGTTTGAGACCAGCCTGGGCAACATAGTGAGATCTTGTCTCTACAAAAACAGTTTTAGTCAGGCGTGGTGGTGCATACCTGTAGCCCCAGCTACTTAGGAGGCTGGGGCAGGAGAATCCTGCTGCTGCATTTTGTGCTACTTTTAAAAATATTTGGTAAAATTCAGGAGTAAAGCCGTCGGGTCTTGGGCTTTTCTTTCCCGGGAAACTTTTTTTTATTTTTTGAGAGGGCGTCTCGCTCTGTCGCCCAGGCTGGAGTGCAGTGGCCTGATCTCGACTCACTTGCAGGCTCCGCCCCTCAGGTTCACGCCATTCTCCTACCTCAGCCTCCTGAGTAGCTGGGACTAGAGGCACCCGCCACCATGCCCAGCTAATTTTTTTTTTTTTTGTATTTTTTTTAGTAGAGACGGGGTTTGACCGTGTTAGCCAGGATGGTCTCCATCTCCTGACCTCGTGATCCGCCCGCCTCGGCTTCCCAAAGTGCTGGGATTACACGCGTGAGCCACTGCACCCGGCTTTTCCTGGGAAAATTGTTTCCGTCTCACTACTTATTGGTCTTTTCAGGTTTTGGATTTCTTTGTGGTTCATTCTTGCTAGGTTGTATGTATCTAGGAAAGTATCCATTTATTCTAGATTTTCTAATTTATTGGTCTATAGTTGCTCATACTAGCCTCTAATGATCCTTAGAATTTCTACAGTATCAATGAAAATGTCCCCATTTTCATCTTGATTTTATTTATTTAGGGTTTTTTGTTTTTTTTTAGTGTGGCTAAAGGTTACTGGTTTGGTTTATCTTTTTTAAAAAACGAACTTTTCGTTTTGTTCATATTTTGTATTTTTTCATTTCAATTTCATTAATTTTTGCTCTTATCTTTATTCTTTCCTTTCTTCTATACTTATTTTGGGTCTGGTTTATTCTTGCTTTTCTAGTTCTTTTAAGATGTATCGGCGCCACGGGCCCCGCAGAGCCAGGGCGGCTCCCGCCGGTAGCCTGTGTGTGGGCCCCGGCCAGCCGCGCCCCCAGTCCATATCGCCCTTCACTGCCCCGAGGCTGGCGCGGCTATGGGGCGCGGGGCCGGCGCTGCTCTGGGGCGTTGGAGCCGCGCGCCGCTGGAGGAGCTGCTGCCGGGGCGGGGGTCTGGGCGGCTCGGGGGGCCACGCGGGCCTCGGACGGCTCCCGGGGCTGTGGGCTTGGGCCCGGCAGCTGCAGGTGCGGGGCTCTTGCCGGCCGGGCGCTCCTCGGCTCCCGCGCGCCGGGTTCCCGGGCGGTCCCACCGCCACTGCCTGGGCAGGGGAGGAGGCCTGGCGGCGCGGGCGGGCGGCGCCTTCCCGGGACGACCAGCGGCTACGACCCATGGCGCCCGGACTCTCGGAGGCCGGGAAGCTCCTGGGGCTGGAGTACCCTGAGCGCCAGAGGCTGGCAGCTGCGGTTGGATTTCTCCGATGTCCGGTGTTATCTCCATGTCTGCCCCTTTCTTCCTGGGGAAGATCATCGATGCCATCTATACCAACCCCACTGTGGACTACAGCGACAACCTGACCCGCCTCTGCCTTGGCCTCAGTGGCGTGTTTCTGTGTGGTGCTGCCGCCAATGCCATTCGTGTCTACCTCATGCAAACTTCAGGTCAGCGCGTTGTGAAGAGGCTGAGAACTTCGTTATTCTCCATTCTGAAGCAGGAGGTTGCTTTCTTTGACAAGGCTGGCACAGGGGAATTGATTAACCGCCTCTCATCGGACACTGCACTCCTGGGGCGCTCAGTGACTGAAAACCTCTCAGATGGGCTCAGGGCCGGGGCCCGGGCTTCTATAGGCATCAGGATGATGTTTTGTGTCTCACCTAATCGGGCCACCTTTGTTGTGAGCGTGGTGCCTCTAGTGTCAATCATTGATGTAATTTATGGACGATATCTACGGAAACTGACCAAAGTCACCCAGGATTCGCTGGCACAAGCCACTCAGGAGGAACGTATTGGAAATGTTAAGAACTGTTCGAGCTTTTGGGAAAGAAATGACTGAAATAGAAAAATAGGCCAGCAAAGTGGACCATGTGATGTAGTCAGCAAGGAAAGAGGCATTCGCTCAGGCTGGCTTCTTTGGAGAACTAGGCTGTCCGGAAACCTGATTGTGCTTTCTGAACCTGTACAAAGGGGGGCTGCTGATGGGCAGTGCCCACATGACCATGGGTGAACTCTCTCCCTTCCTATGTATGCTTTCGGGGTTGGAATAAGCATTGGAGGTCTGAGCTCTTTCTACTCGGAGCTGATGAAAGGACTGGGTGCCGGGGGGCGCCTCTGGGAGCTCCTGGAGAGAGAGCCCAATCTGCCTTTTAAGGAGGGGGAAGGGTTATCTTAAATGAGAAAAGCTTCCAGGGTGCTTTGGAGTTTAAGAACGTGCATTTTGCCGATCCCGCTTGCCCAGAGGCGCCCATATTTCAGGATTTCAGCCTTTCCATTCCGTCAGGATCTGTCACGGCACTGGTTGGCCCAGGTGGTTCTGGCAAATCAACAGTGCTTTCGCTCCTGCTGAGGTTGTTCGACCCTGCTTCTGGAACTATCAGTCTTGATGGCCATGACATCCGTCAGCTAAACCCAGTGTGGCTGAGATCCAAGATTGGGACAGTGAGACAGGAACCCATTTTGTTTTCTTGCTCTATCACTGAGAACATTGCTTATGGTGCTGATGGCCTTCCTCTGTGACCGCTGAGCAAGTCCAGAGAGTGGCTGAAGTGGCCAATGCAGTGGTCTTGATCCGGAATTTCCCCCAAGGGTTCAACACTGTGGTTGGAGAAAAGGGTGTTCTCCTCTCAGGTGGGCAGAAACAGCGGATTGCAATTGCCCGTGCTCTGCTGAAGAATCCCAAAGTTCTTCTCCTAGTGAAGCAACCAGTGCGCTGGATGCTGAAAATGAGTACCTTGTTCAAGAAGCTCTAGATCCACTGATGGATGGAAGAACAGCGTTAGTTATTGCCCATCATCTCTCCACCATTAAGAATGCTAATATGGTTGCTGTTCTTGACCAAGGAAAAATTACTGAATATGGAAAACATGAAGAGCTGCTTTCAAAACCAAATGGGATATACAGAAAACTAATGAACAAGCAAAGTTTTATTTCAGCCTAAGGAAACAATTACTGGTAAACAACATGAGAGACTTTAATGCAAAACAGTATTGTAGAAAAAAAAAACACCTCAGAGACTGCATGAAATATGTAAACCATATATCAAGTTATTTGAAAAATAGCTATTTTTTCCAAAGCGTGTAAAATATTGCTTTGAAATGTACCTGTTCTCAAGATCTTTTTATTCAGAGTTTTAACCATTGTAACTTTTTAAATGTCTGTAGCACTGAAGTTATTTTCAGGTTTTGTATTTTCTTTCATTGTGGAATATTTTAATTAATATAGCATGGCACCTCATTTTCTTTTGCCTGCTGTTAAAGATGGAAGCTGTTGTCAAATGACAACTTTAAAAAGGGAAGTATAAATAAAAAGCCTGATTATTTTAGGCCAGTTTGCCAATCACTGTGTAATTCCTCTGGTAGTATTCTACCTACTTTAAGTCTAATTTTACTAGATAGAGTAATGGAAAATGAAAATCTAACCCTTTATTCCGATAATCTCATGAAGCAAACCTAACTATTTAACATCAGCTGGAAAGAAGGGAACATTTATATTGCCCGTCTCCTGTGTCTTCAAAGGTGTGAGAGTTGAGGAATATGTGTTCCTACGGGAACTATGTTTGAATATGTGCAGTTTTCAACATTTTGGCAAATGAAAGCCTGACAAGTTTTTAAAAGGGCAGAAGCTTTATTTTTTGAACAGAAAAATCTATTTTTTAAATTCACATGTTTGTATGAGTACTTCTGGGAAGCAAGGGATGAACTGCTAGGTATTATTAAGAACGAATGATTTTTGCATTTAAGTTGTTTGAAGGCATGTATTTTGAAAAATATCTGTTACAAATTTATAATTTCAAGACATACTAAATCTTATAATACTTTTGGAATTTCATTAATAAGGCTAAAATCTGAGGAATGTAACTAATTTTCAGCCTTAAGACACTTAAGTTTGGAAGTCCTTGCTATTCAACAGAATAACAAGAAACCTTCAGAATGTATCACTCTCCCAAAAAGAAGATATTAATAAGCCCTTTTCTTTTATTCATGGTTATAGTTTTTTTATAGTCTCAAAATTCCTAAAGCAATGCTGACAGCCATTGAATTTGCCATATTTTGTATTCAGTGCTGTTAATGTGCTGTTGCCTCAAGAAAAAGTGCTTTTTCTCCATTGATGAGGCTAGACCCTAAGAGGTAATTAAGTCAATGTAAATCAAATGGAAGTTTTGCCATGAACTAAGCATTTATTAGTTCCCTGATTAGACTGGAAGAAGAAACCGCTATTTCATGACAAGCATGGAATATTATATTTTCTTCTTCATAATTAATGAATAAAATTGATATGAGCGAATGAATGTAGTATTTTTTGAATTAGTAAACAGTACATCTGTGACAATCATTTTAACAAGCTCTACTTGTGTTCTTTATAAAGTGTGATTTTCAGAAAGCAAACAAAACACAATTAAAAGGTTGAATCTGAGGAAAATAATGCTTGTACCATAGAAGTATTTACAAAATTGCATTTCATTGTTATGTTTTATTTTCTGATACCTGATGTTCAATTATATCTGTAGGTAATATTTTATATCATAGATTAAAATTTATAGTGACCTTAAAAAAAGATGTATCATCAGGTTATTTATTTGAGGTTTTTCACTTTTTTGATCTTGGAAATTATAGGTATACATTTCCCTCTTACTACTGCTTTTTGCTGTATCCCATAGGTTTTGGTATGTTGTGTTGCCGTTTTTATCTGCTTCAATAAATTTTTCAATTTCTTCTGAATTTCTTTGTTGAAATTGTAAGGATCATTAGAGGCTACTGTGAGCAACCATAGGCCAGAAATTAGAAAACCTAGACTATATGGATACATATAGATACAGAAAAATTCACATTATGAATTTGTTCTCAAATAAGCTTTGGTAATTTGTCTCTTTAAAGAACTTTAAGCTGCCAAATTCTTGAGTATGGAATTGTTCATAATAGTTATTATCATTTAAATATAGAGGTTCTGTAATGATATTTCTTCTTTTATCAGTCCTTTTTTCTTAGTCTTACTAGTATGTAACAACTTTACTGATTTTTTCAAAGGAACTTTTCACTTTGTGAATTTATTTACTTTCAATTTCATTTATTTCTTTCATTACCTGTTATTTTATTTTTTCAAATTACGTTTTATTTGTTTATTTTTTCATTGACTTTTAAACCTACGTATTTTTCTAATACAAGAATTTCAAATAATAAATTACCCTCTCAATTTAACTCTACACCACAAATATGAAGCTTTTATTATCATAATTTTGTTTTATTTTATTTTTTTAATTGGCACATAATAATTGTGCATATTTATGGGTACATAGTGATGTTTCAATACTCATAGTGTATATATTTAATTACCCTGATGAGGTGATGGTAATTAGCATATCCATCATTGCAAACATTTATCATTTCTTTGTTTTGGGAACATTCAATATCCTTTGCTAACTATTTGAAGCTATATGTTATTGTTAACTATTGTCATACCATAATGGTATAGAGCATTAGAACTTATTCCTCCTATCTAGCTTTAATTTTGAATCTTTTAACAAATCTCTCCCTATCCCTCCCTTCCTCTTATACTTTCCAGCCTCTAGCATCCTCTGTTTTAACTTCTATAAGATCAAAATATTTTAGCTTCCACATATGAGTGAGAAGCTGTAATGTTTAACTTTCTCTTCTTGGCTCATTTCACTCACATAATACACTCCATTTCTATGCACGTTGCTTTTATGGCCGAATAGTACTTCATTGTGTATCTATTCCTTTTCCCCTCCTGTCCCCTCCCTTCCCCTCCTCTCCCCTCCCCTCTCCTTCCTTTCCCTTCTTGAGATGGAGTCTTGCTCTGGAGTGCAATGGTGTGATCTTGGCTCACTGTAACCTCTGCCTCTCGGATTCAAGTGATCTTCCACCTCAGCCTCCCGAGTAGCTGGGGACGTGCCACCATGCCCAGCTAATTTTTATATTTGTAGTAGAGATGGGGTTTCACCATGTTGGCCAGGCTAGTCTCGAACTCCTGACCTCCAGTGATCCACCCATCTTGGCCTTCCAAAGTGCTGGGATTGCAGGCGTGAGCCACCGTGCCCGGCCTATATACCACATTTTCTTTAACCATCATCTGTTGCTGGACCCTTAGGTTGATTCCATATCTTGCCTATTGTGAATAGTGCTGCAATAAACATCTAGGTGCAGATGTTTATTTAATACACTGTTTTCCTTATTTCATATTTTTTCTAAATTATCTTTTGATTTCTTTTATGAACTATGAGTTAAATAGTGTTTCATGTTATTTACAACTATTTGGGGGTTTCCTAGGAATCTCTTATGTCATCAATTTCAAATTAAATTTTATTGTGATCAGAGAATATATTCTATAAAATCTAAAGCTTAAATTCATTTAAACTTACTTTTTGATTCAGCATTTGGCCTATGTTGGTGGTGCTTTCAATACACAAGAAAACAATGTATATTCAGCATTTGAAATGTAGTTTTTATAAATGTCAATAAGATCAAGGTGATTTATAATGAAGTTGAAATGTTCTATAGCCATACGAATGGTTTGTCTTACTGTTCAATCAGTGATGAACAGAGGGATGTTAAAATCTTTAATTATTATTGTCATTTATCCATTTCTCCCTTCAATTCTGCTTTTTCCTTCATGAATTATGAGGCTTTGTTATTAAGTTGGTGTCCCTTTCATAATTATGAAATGGGGGCATTTCATAATTATGGACATCTATGTCATATTAGGACAATAATGTAATAACCAATTCATCAGAGGACAATAATATAAGCAATATTATTGTCCTCTGATGAATTGGTTATTTCATAATTATGAAATGCCCCCATTTTCTCTTATAATGCACCCTCTTTTCCAGTCTACATTGCATTTTGCTAATATAGCCACACAAGCTTCCTAATGCTTGCTGTGTATATGGTTTATCTTTTCTTGTAGGTTTACTTTTCATCTATCTGTGTCTTTATGTTTAATATATGCTTCTGGTAGACAACATTAGTTGGGTCTCATTCTTTTGTCTAATATGACAGTCTCTACCTTGTAATTGAATAATTTAGTTCATAAATATGTTAAATGAAATGTGTTGCCACTTTTAAAAACTGTACAATCTCTTGTTTCTCTTCTCGTATTTTTGTTTAATTGTATTTTAAGTATTCATTTTAAATTGCATAGATGAGTTAGTTGCAACGCTTTTTTGTATTGAGTTATTTGTATTACAATAATCATCAATTTATACTTAACTAATCTAAATTTTACTTAGAGGTAATTTTTGACAACTTCATATATAATGTAAAAAACTGATGACATCTGTTCTATTTTTACATTCTCTCCAGTGATTGATAGTGTTGCCTACTTTGTCAAATCAAAACAAGGCAACATTTTCCTAAAAAGTGATCTGTGCTCCACCTATCCTATTCATATGCACAGAAGACTTTCAGGGCAGAAAACTATTCTGCATGATACTACACTGGTATATGAATTTGCCTAAACTCATAGAATGTATGACAGCAAGCGTGGACCCTAATATAACTATGGACCTTGGTGATAAGGATGTGCCAGTGCAGGTTCATCAGCGGTAAGTAATGTGCCACTCCAGAGGAGAATGACAGCAAGGGGTCAGGCTGTGCCTGTGTGGACACAATGATGTATGAGAAATCTTTGTATCTTTCTTTCAATTTTGCTGTGAACTTACAACTGCCCTAAAAATAAAGTCTATTAAAAAAACCCAAAACAACAACAACAAAAACTGATGATGGTAACATTTCCTTTACTCCCCCTCTGTCTTTTGTGATTTTTTTTAGTATAAGTTTTTCTATCCACATCATAAAGCCCACAATAAAATGATATCTTTTTAAATTTAAATAGTCAGTTTCCCTTCAACAAAATCGACAGATTAAAAAAAAGTATTTCCTGTTACTCATATACTTACCATTTCTATGCTTTTCATTTCCTCTAATCTGGAGTTTAGATTCGATGTTATTTCCCTTCAGGCCAGAAAACTTCTGCTAGCATGTTTTGTAGTACAGATTTGCTGGTGACAAATTGGCCCATTTAATTTTTCCGAAAATGTCTTAATTTTACCTTCAACTTTGAAAGATACTTTAATAATATATAGAAACGAACCTGATGCTCTGTCATCTCCAAATACTTTAGTAGACTGATTCTCAACCAGGGGGAGTTTTGCCCTCCAGGAAACATCTGATAATATCTCAAGATATTTTTAGTTGTTAGCCTGGGCAAAGGTGTGAGGAGGATGCTACTGTCATTTAGTTATTAAAGGCAAACCAAGTCGCTAAACATCCTGCAATTCACAGGAAATGCCCCCAACAAAGAATTATGTGGCCCAAATGTCAGAAGCGATAGTGCCAAAGTTGAAAAACCTTGCTTTCATATATATTTTCTACAAACACAATTGTGTCTATATATGTATATACATATATATAATTCTATATGTTACAAATCTATTACAGTAATATATGTGCCCCCCCAAATGCAATACACGCACAGTACAACGAACAAAACCAGAAAATTAATATTAATATATTGCTACATCTAATTATCAAGTCCGCATTAAAATTTCACCAATAGTCAGCCGGGCACGGTGGCTCACGCCTGTAATCCCAGCACTTTGGGAGGCCGAGGCGGATGGGTCACGAGGTCAGGCGATCAAGACCATCCTGGCTAACAGGGTGAAACCCCGTCTCTACTAAAAATACAAAAAAAAAAAGGAAAAAATTAGCCGGGTGTGGTGGTGGGTGCCTGTAGTCCCAGCTACTCGGGAGGCTGAGGCAGGAGAATGGCGTGAACCTAGGAGGCGAGGCTTGCAGTGAGCCCAGACTGCGCCACTGCACTCCAGGCTGGGCGACAGACCGAGACCCCGTCTCAAAAAAAAAAAAAAATTTTTCACCAATAGTCCCAATAATGTTTCATAGCAAAAGGATCAAGTTCAGAATCATGCATTGCCTTTCATTGTCATGTCTTTTTAATGTCCTTGTATCAAGAATAGATCTTTAGACCTAACTTAACCAAGATTTCTGGCCCATATTTTCTTCTTTTTTTCCTTTGCTTTGCTTCTCCTTCCTTTTCTCCTTTCCTTTCTCCTTCGCTTTCCCCTTCCTTTTTCTCTTCCCTCTCCCCTTCCCTTCCCCCTCCCCTTCCTTCTCCTTTTCTCTTTCCCTTACTTTTTCCTTTTCCCTTCCTTCTTTTTTGAATGGCTCCCTTTAGGTTTTCTGAGGTTTCCTTGTGACTAGAGTCAGGCAATGCATTTTGGCAAGAATATCACAGAATTGATGCTGCGTTTTTTTCATTGCATCCTATCAGGTGGTACATGATTCCAGTTTGTCTCACTACTGACAATGTTTATTTTGACAGGTTGATAATGGTGGTATATAGTAGGCTTCTATCTTGTTATTCTCTATTTCTAGATTCTGTTACTTTATTTTATGTTGTTTTTCCTAAAGGGTAATAGGAATTCTCTCTGTTTCTTTGTTTTTGTTTATTTCCCTATTTTTATTCCTTACTATACTTTTAGTACATAGTACCTAGTGCAAAATACTAATATATGTTGAACACCAACAGTTGTTGAACAAATGTCTGAAACTGACTCTGTCCTGCTACCACAAAAACATATATATATATATTTTTTTCCTATAGGGATACCATCAACTCTACATAGTTGTCTAAGCCAAGACCTCCTGCTAGGACTGATTAAAGCCCGTGCATCCTCATTATCCAGAGCCTGTGTTGCTCCTCTAGAGCTATAGCCAGGCTAACCATTCCTTCTGGTTAATATCTGAAAGGAAGAATCATGCAGCAAGAAGAGAACTGTGAGGGAATAAAAATGGCACAAACCCAGCCTGGATTTCTCTCTCCCCTTTTAATGATGAATGAATGAAAAAAATTCATCATTAGCTGTAGTTAGTTTCTATTACATAAAAAGGAAGCTGATGAAACATATAACTGAGTTATATACCCACATCCAATTGGTTCTGTTTCTCTGGAGAACTCTATTAAAGAAGTTATTGAGTATTGTTTACATGTACACTGACAAATATGTCTAAAGGTTATGTCTGAACACCTATAAATTTATATCAATGATTCTATATAGTTCATTCTTATTACACTTGATTCTAATTCTTATGAAGTTGATGTTTGGTAGAATGAATGATAAAAGGAGATTCTGTCCCCTATTGAAGTGTTTGTGTAGTTACACGCCAGAGTTTTGGAGATTGAGGAAAAGGTTGAGCTTAAATAATTTTATGGGCAAACTCAATGCTTGAATGTAAGATAGTACTTTGAAAGATTTGGAGGATTTCATAATGACTTTTACTTTTGCTAATTATTGATACAGTCACTTGTAAATAAGTTTACTTAGGTAAGCTCAAGGAAATCATGCTTTTTCTCAGGCTTATTTTAAATCTGAATATTTTTACTGTCTTTGCTTTTACAAGAAAATATTCATCATTGTATTTTTTGTCTTAATTTTCAAAGTCAAATGTTAATTGTTTTTGTGGGATTACTTTGGCAAATATGGGAGATCCCCAAACAAATTTTAAAAAGTTTTTTCGGCCGGGCGCTGTGGCTCACGCCTGCAATCCCAGCACTTTGGGAGGCTGAGGCGGGCGGATCACGAGGTCAGGAGGTCAAGACCATCCTGGCTAACACAGTGAAACCACGTCTCTACTAAAAATACAAAAAAATTAGCCGGACGTGGTGGCGGGCGCCTGTAGTCCCAGCTACTCGGGAGGCTGAGGCAGGAGAACGGCGTGAACCCGGGAGGCAGAGCTTGCAGTGAGCTGAGATCGTGCCACTGCACTCCAGCCTGGGCGACAGAGCGAGATTCTGTCTCAAAAAAAAAAAAAAAAAAAAAAAAGTTGTTTCTGTTCTCCTTTGTTTTCTACTTTCTCTTAAATAGAAATATATTTCTTGTACAAATAAATGCCATGAATTAAAAAAATAATAAATTATGATTTTCCTTCGTGAGGATCAGTTCTCCTAGACATTGGTTTAGCTAATGCCAGCTATTTGGTATAAAAATCTGTATCAGTGGAGAGGTAAAAAAGAGCTAAAGGAAGCATAAGAAAGACAACCGCATCTTTAAGAAGTTCCTCTTTTTCTTTTCTTTTTTTTTTTTTTTTTTGAGACGGAGTCTTGCTTTGTTCCCCATTGTTCCCCAGGCTGGAGTGCAGCGGCGCGATTTCTGCTCAGTGCAAACTCCGCCTCCCGGGTTCACGCCATTCTCCTGCCTCAGCCTCCCGTGCAGCTGGGACTACAAGTGCCCGCTGCGGCGCCCAGCTAATTTTTTGTATCTTTAGTAGAGACGGGGTTTCACTGTGTTAACCAGGATGGTCTCGATCTCCTGACCTCGTGATCCACCCGCCTCGGCCTCCCAAAGTGCTGGGATTACAGGCGTGAGCCACAGCACCCGGCCAAGAAGGTTCTCTTAAAAGGAATCACTTCTTGTTTTCTTACAAGTTATAACCTCACTACCCTAGAGTCACATTTTTTAATAACTTATGAATTTTCTGAAACTTCAAATACCCTATGGCCCCATGGTAAAACATCAGATGACATTTGCCTCTCATTTAAACCATTTTTCTTTTCCTCTTTCTTCTTTATTTTTCTTATACTCTCTCCTCATTTCTTTTTCTCTCTTCCTATTTCTCTTTTTCTCTCTGCTTCTTCCTACCTCCCCTCGTGACTTTGTCTCCTCATCCCATCACCGTGCTACTTAGATGCCACATCAATTTGACTAGCCTCAAATTTACAATGAATACTTTTTAAATTCATGCTTCTGAAACTTTTAAAGGATGAAGAGGTATAAATGTCTCACATAATAATTTGTTTGATGGCTGAAATGAATGGCATTTCTCAAAAAGGCCAAGGGACTGAATACAGAAATTTAAACAATAACTTTCCGTTAGTGATACGGTTTGGATGTTTTGTCCCCTCCAAATCTCATGTTGAAATGCGACCTCCAGTGTTGGAGGTGGGCCTAGTAATAGGTGTTTGTTTCCCAAGGGTGGATCCCCATGAATGGTTTTGTGCTGTCCTCCTGGTAATGAGTGAGTTCTTGCTCTATGAATTCACGAGAGATCTTGTTGTTTAAAAGAGCCTGGCATCTCCCTTGCTCCCTCTCTCCCCATGTAATATGCCAGCTCCCCCTTTGCCTTAAGCCATGATTGTCAGCTTCCCGGGCCTCAGCAGAAGCTGAGCAGATACTGGTGGCCTGTTTGTACAGCCTGCAGACCATCAGCCAAATACTCCTCTTTTCTTTATAAATTACCCAGTCTCAGGTATTCCTTTATAGCATTGAGATGGACTAACATAGTCAGTTTTGACAACATGAACCTTTCATATTAAAATTTAATTTCTAAATTCACTCATTTACTGTGATTGGTTTATAGCTTTTCTGTAATAATGAATCTTACGTGTGACTTTCAATGTGCTTTAAAACTTGATTCACTTTTTAGCTCTATTTTTGGAAACTACCAGCTTCCACTGTTGAGGCAAAAGTGTCATCATTGAGGCTCTCCTGCTGAGGTAGCTGTTGTCTGATTTCCCTTCAGTTCTACTGCTGTCCCAGTGGAAAAAGGGAATCTTCACCACTTACATGACATGTTTGCCTGAACTCTAATCTTCCACACTTGCTGTAGAAAAGAGTAAAGTGGCAGTTCAGGGCAGTTTACCAATTTAGAAATGGTGTCCGCTCAGTATTTTCCTCTGTGTCACTTACTAAAACATATAAAAGAAACCATGGACATTAAAAGAAAGAGAGAGGTTTAATGTGATATTTTAATTCTAACAAGGATTTATGGGCACATGAATGCTCAAAATCACATACCCCCTTAGTGTTTTTCATCTCACACATATCACATCAGATACATATCACACATTTCAGGCACATATCACACAGAACTTACCGTAATTAAATTATCAGTTTTTGAAAAATATTATCATTTGCTCTCTTTTTTTCTATATAAATAAATTTTTTTAAAATATGATTTTCAGTTCTGGGATACATGCACGGAACATGCAGGTTTGTTATATAGGTATACATGTGCCATATAGGTGGTTTCTTATTTGTGTTTTCATCTTATGGCTTTGGCTAGAACTAGATAATAAAAGTATGCATCAATTTAAGAGTTATTTTTAATCATGGTAAGGACATATCTATAACTACTTTGTTAAATTTCATCAGTCATGCATGTTAAATATCATTAAATAAATATCAAAAATGGGCTGCTGTACCAGAATACCATAGACTTGGTGGCTTATAAACAACAGAAAGGAATTTCTCACAGTTCTGGGGTCTGGGAAATCTAAGACCAAGGTACTAGCCAATCTGGTGTCTGGGAAAAACTTTTGTTCTAGTTCAAAGAAGGCTGCCCTTTCTCTATAACCTCAGTTGGGGAAGGAGCAAGGGAGTTCAGGGGGCTGCTTTAGAAGGGTGCTAAACCCATTAATGAGGGCTGCTCTCTCATGACTTAATTAGTTCCCAAAAGCCCCACCTTCAAAAACCCTCACATTGGCGGTTAGCATTTCAACATATGAATTTGAGAGGGATGTAAACATTTAGTCTGTAGCAGTAAATGTACAATATAAAGTAAATAGCTTTATTGTTGTGTTGCATTATATTAATATATATTTTCTAGTATTAAATCTTTGTATGCCAAATCACTGGGGTGGGTGATTTCTTAGTAAGTGTAGAATTCAGTTCCTTTTTCTTTCAGTTAAGAATATTTTAACTATGTTTATAAGGGATACTGTTTAGTAATTTTATTCTTTTTGTATTCACTTCATCAAGAGTTAGTAATAGTTATATTTGCTTTGTAAAATGAACTGAAAGGAAGCCACTTTTTATAACTTTATCCATATTTCCTAGTTTGGGGTCCATTTTACAAGATGTTTTAAACAGATGCTTATTAAAAACACCGGTTATAGGGACTTTAATAAAAATTTTTAAAATAATGTTTTACATTTCTTGCAAAAATTGATGCCTGCAACCTATTTACTGTTTTTAAAATTAAATTAAGATTCATTTAAGCAGTACATGCTTATTTTAGTGAAACACGTATTTAATTTTCTAAGATAGTATTTTTTGTCTTTAAAACAATTTCTGCATGTTTTGTTTTTTTTTCACTTTAAATTTTATGTTTTCTCAGTTTTTGTTTTATCACATTTGCTATATTTTTCTGTATCATGGGTTATTTGTTAAAGAATGAACTTGTGTATGTTTATAAATTGTTACTGTTTTTGTTTATAATTTATTGCCTTCTAACTTAATATGTAATTAGCATTCCTTTTAATTTTGCTTGTATGCTTTGCTGTACCATTTTGAAATTCTTGAGTTAAATGCTTAACTATTTTTTATCAAGTTTAAATATTAAATTAAATATGTCCCATCAGTTTAGTCATTTTAATATTCTCACTCATCAGACATTTTTTGGGAACACCATATGCCTTTTCATGCAGTCAGTTTCAAGAAAATGAAAATTACTTTTTATATGTTTATACTCAAAGCTTGGCTAGAGATAAGTCTCCCCTTCCTTAAGTTGGGGAGAGAGTGATTTCTTCCAGGCTATAATCAAAAGAGATACAATTATAGTAACTTTTTGTGTTTGTTTGGGTTGTTTCTGTTTGTTTGTTTGTTTGTTTGTTTGAGACGGAGGTTGGATCTTGTTGCCCAGGCTGGAGTGTAGTGGCATAATCTCAGCTCACTGCAACCTCCGCCTCCTGGGTTCAAGCAATTCTAAACATATTTTAGCACAAAACTATTTAAGATTTCAATTTATATCTTTTTATTATCTTCCATATACTCTTTTGATACATTACCCATTATGTTGATTATTAACGTACACTCAAGTCAAGATCTTTTATTATGTGAGGTCATCAGTCAATGATAACAGATATTGATGAATTAGTCTCCTCATCAGAAATTGAGCAACATTTTCATTCAAGACGACACATGGGCCTTTAAAGCATATTCAATAATACTGAGTCTCAGTGTTCTCCTGCTATTTTCTGAATGTGCATTTAGACCTTTATACATCTATCTATCTACTGACCCATTTATTAAATTTTCAGCATTTACTTTGTACTCCAAGGACCAGAACCATGTTTGTCTTGTTCACTGGTGTACTCCTATTGCAAGGACCTAGAACATAGTAGGAGCTCATTAAACTCTGAGGTTTCAAAATAAGTGAATAGAGGTTGTAGCAGGAAGAAGTCTAAGATAGCCCCTATGACCTTCATTTCCTCATGTTACCCTGTTGATACCTCACACGGCAAAGGAGTCTTGCACATGTCACTAAGGCTAATAATCCGTCAGCCTTAAGACGGGGGGAGTATCTGGGTAAACCTAACCTAATCACACCAAAACTTCACAATCAGGGAGTTTTCTACAACTGAGAGTAGAATGGGAAGTCAGAGAGTTTCAGAGTCCAAGAAGCATTTATAGCACCCTTATTGACTTTGAAGATGCTTTGCTTCTTCTTTTGAGTTCAGTTTGAGATTATCTTTCTAATAATTGATTAGATTTTATTCTTGTAAAAAAAGAGATAATTTAAAGGAATCTATTTTTAAATACTCTGAGGAGGGTGATACTAGGGGTGCTGGTTGTCCTGTTTTAACTTTGTCTTAATTTCTAATGTAATTAAATTTTGAGTAGGTAATGTGACCTGTGTGGTTTTTATTTTAAAAAATATATTGAGGTTTTATATAATCTATTTTTAAAATATTCAATGGAAACTTGAAAACATACTGTTTCACATATTCTCGTATATATATATTAAAAATCTTTTTTTATTTATTTTTTATTTTTATTTTTTTTTGAGACGGAGTCTCGCTCTGTCGCCCAGGCTGGAGTGCAGTGGCGCCATCTGGGCTCACTGCAAGCTCCGCCTCCTGGGTTCACGCCATTCTCCTGCCTCAGCCTCCCGAATAGCTGGGACTGCAGGCACCCACCACCACGCCCAGCTACTTTTTTGTATTTTTAGTGGAGACAGAGTTTCACCGTGTTAGCCAGGATGGTCTCGATTTCCTGACCTCGTGATCCGCCCGCCTCAGCCTCCCAAAGTGCTGGGATTACAGGCGTGAGCCACTTAGCCCGGCCTAATTATTTGTTTTTTAAAAGACGGTACATAGGAAGAAGTAAATCAGGAAAAGTGGATAGTGATTGGTGGCAGTAGAAGTGAGTCAGTGTTACAGTTACTATTGCTGCTTAAGAAACTAACCCAAATGGCCTGGGCGCCGTGGCTCACGCCTGTAATCCCAGCAGTTTGGGAGGCTGAGACGGGCGGATCATGAGTTCAGGAGATCGAGACCATCCTGCCTAATACGGTGAAACTCTGTCTCTACTAAAAATACAAAAGTTAGCCTGGCCTGGTGGTGGTGGGCGCCTTAAGTCCCAGCTACTCGGGAGGCTGAGGCAGGAGAATGGCGTGAACCCGGGAGGCGGAGCTTGCTGTGAGCCGAGATCGCGCCACTGCAGTCCAGCTTGGGCCACAGAGGGAGACTCCGTCTCAAAAAAAAAAAATTTAAAAAAAGAAAAAGAAAAAAGAAACTACCCTAAATTTAATAAGGTAAAACAACGACCACTTCATTATATCTCATGGATCCTATAGGTGAGAAATTCCAGCAGGATTCATCTGAGTGATTCTTCCTCTCTCACATCATTAACTAGGGTGACTCAGTGCTAGTCGGCTGGCAAACAAGTCAGTCTGGAAGGTGCAAGGTGCTTTTTTTCTGTCTTATAAATTGGTGGAGTTGTCTGGAAGGCAAGGCTCAGATGGGAAGGACTCTTAGTTATAGTGCCTGCACAGGGTAAACTTTTTTTTTTTCTTTTTTTTTTGAGACGGAGTCTCACTGTCCCCCAGGCTGGAGTGGTGTGGCCCGATCTCGGCTAACTGCAAGCTCCGCCTCCCGGGTTCACGCCATTCTCCTGCCTCAGCCTCCCGAGTAGCTGGGACTACAGGCGCCCACCACCAGGCCCAGCTATTTTTTTGTATTTTTAGTAGAGACGGGGTTTCACCGTGTTAGCCAGGATGGTCTCGATCTCCTGACCTCGTGATCCACCCGCCTCGGCCTCCCAAAGTGCTGGGATTACAGGCGTGAGCCACAGCTCCCGGCCAAGAAGGCTCTCTTAAAAGGAATCACTTCTTGTTTTCTTACAAGTTATAACCTCACTACCCTAGAGTCACATTTTTTAATAACTTACGAATTTTCTGAATCTTCAAATACCCTATGGCCCCATGGTAAAACATCAGATGACATTTGCCTC
This sequence comes from Homo sapiens, assembly GCF_000001405.40. Classification (NCBI taxonomy): domain Eukaryota; kingdom Metazoa; phylum Chordata; class Mammalia; order Primates; family Hominidae; genus Homo; species Homo sapiens. The sequence goes on from NW_011332701.1 coordinate 552,670, forward strand.
TCATTTAAACCATTTTTCTTTTCCTCTTTCTTCTTTATTTTTCTTATACTCTCTCCTCATTTCTTTTTCTCTCTTCCTATTTCTCTTTTTCTCTCTGCTTCTTCCTACCTCCCCTCGTGACTTTGTCTCCTCATCCCATCACCGTGCTACTTAGATGCCACATCAATTTGACTAGCCTCAAATTTACAATGAATACTTTTTAAATTCATGCTTCTGAAACTTTTAAAGGATGAAGAGGTATAAATGTCTCAAATAATAATTTGCTTGATGGCTGAAATGAATGGCATTTCTCAAAAAGGCCAAGGGACTGAATACAGAAATTTAAACAATAATTTTCCGTTAGTGATACGGTTTGGATGTTTTGTCCCCTCCAAATCTCATGTTGAAATGCGACCTCCAGTGTTGGAGGTGGGCCTAGTAATAGGTGTTTGTTTCCCAAGGGTGGATCCCCATGAATGGTTTTGTGCTGTCCTCCTGGTAATGAGTGAGTTCTTGCTCTATGAATTCACGAGAGATCTTGTTGTTTAAAAGAGCCTGGCATCTCCCTTGCTCCCTCTCTCCCCATGTAATATGCCAGCTCCCCCTTTGCCTTAAGCCATGATTGTCAGCTTCCCGGGCCTCAGCAGAAGCTGAGCAGATACTGGTGGCCTGTTTGTACAGCCTGCAAACCATCAGCCCAAATACTCCTCTTTTCTTTATAAATTACCCAGTCTCAGGTATTCCTTTATAGCATTGAGATGGACTAACATAGTCAGTTTTGACAACATGAACCTTTCATATTAAAATTTAATTTCTAAATTCACTCATTTACTGTGATTGGTTTATAGCTTTTCTGTAATAATGAATTTTACGTGTGACTTTCAATGTGCTTTAAAACTTGATTCACTTTTTAGCTCTATTTTTGGAAACTACCAGCTTCCACTGTTGAGGCAAAAGTGTCATCATTGAGGCTCTCCTGCTGAGGTAGCTGTTGTCTGATTTCCCTTCAGTTCTACTGCTGTCCCAGTGGAAAAAGGGAATCTTCACCACTTACATGACATGTTTGCCTGAACTCTAATCTTCCACACTTGCTGTAGAAAAGAGTAAAGTGGCAGTTCAGGGCAGTTTACCAATTTAGAAACGGTGTCCGCTCAGTATTTTCCTCTGTGTCACTTACTAAAACATATAAAGAAACCATGGACATTAAAAGAAAGAGAGAGGTTTAATGTGATATTTTAATTCTAACAAGGATTTATGGGCACGTGAATGCTCAAAATCACATACTCCCTTAGTGTTTTTCATCTCACACATATCACATCAGACACATATCACACACATCAGGCACATATCACACAGAACTTGCCATAATTAAATTATCAGTTTTTGAAAAATATTATCATTTGCTCTCTTTTTTTCTATATAAATAAATTTTTTTAAAATATGATTTTCAGTTCTGGGATACATGCAAGGAACATGCAGGTTTGTTATATAGGTATACATGTGCCATATAGGTGGTTTCTTATTTGTGCTTTCATCTTATGGCTTTGGCTAGAACTAGATAATAAAAGTATGCATCAATTTAAGAGTTATTTTTAATCATGGTAAGGACATATCTATAACTACTTTGTTAAATTTCATCAGTCATGCATGTTAAATATCATTAAATAAATATCAAAAATGGGCTGCTGTACCAGAATACCATAGACTTGGTGGCTTATAAACAACAGAAAGGAATTTCTCACAGTTCTGGGGTCTGGGAAATCTAAGACCAAGGTACTAGCCAATCTGGTGTCTGGGAAAAACTTTTGTTCTAGTTCAAAGAAGGCTGCCCTTTCTCTATAACCTCAGTTGGGGAAGGAGCAAGGGAGTTCAGGGGGCTGCTTTAGAAGGGTGCTAAACCCATTAATGAGGGCTGCTCTCTCATGACTTAATTAGTTCCCAAAAGCCCCACCTTCAAAAACCCTCACATTGGCGGTTAGCATTTCAACATATGAATTTGAGAGGGATGTAAACATTTAGTCTGTAGCAGTAAATGTACAATATAAAGTAAATAGCTTTATTGTTGTGTTGCATTATATTAATATATATTTTCTAGTATTAAATCTTTGTATGCCAAATCACTGGGGTGGGTGATTTCTTAGTAAGTGTAGAATTCAGTTCCTTTTTCTTTCAGTTAAGAATATTTTAACTATGTTTATAAGGGATACTGTTTAGTAATTTTATTCTTTTTGTATTCACTTCATCAAGAGTTAGTAATAGTTATATTTGCTTTGTAAAATGAACTGAAAGGAAGCCACTTTTTATAACTTTATCCATATTTCCTAGTTTGGGGTCCATTTTACAAGATGTTTTAAACAGATGCTTATTAAAAACACCGGTTATAGGGACTTTAATAAAAATTTTTAAAATAATGTTTTACATTTCTTGCAAAAATTGATGCCTGCAACCTATTTACTGTTTTTAAAATTAAATTAAGATTCATTTAAGCAGTACATGTTTATTTTAGTGAAACACGTATTTAATTTTCTAAGATAGTATTTTTTGTCTTTAAAACAATTTCTGCATGTTTTGTTTTTTTTTCACTTTAAATTTTATGTTTTCTCAGTTTTTGTTTTATCACATTTGCTATATTTTTCTGTATCATGGGTTATTTGTTAAAGAATGAACTTGTGTATGTTTATAAATTGTTACTGTTTTTGTTTATAATTTATTGCCTTCTAACTTAATATGTAATTAGCATTCCTTTTAATTTTGCTTGTATGCTTTGCTGTACCATTTTGAAATTCTTGAGTTAAATGCTTAACTATTTTTTATCAAGTTTAAATATTAAATTAAATATGTCCCATCAGTTTAGTCATTTTAATATTCTCACTCATCAGACATTTTTTGGGAACACCATATGCCTTTTCATGCAGTCAGTTTCAAGAAAATGAAAATTACTTTTTATATGTTTATACTCAAAGCTTGGCTAGAGATAAGTCTCCCCTTCCTTAAGTTGGGGAGAGAGTGATTTCTTCCAGGCTATAATCAAAAGAGATACAATTATAGTAACTTTTTGTGTTTGTTTGGGTTGTTTCTGTTTGTTTGTTTGTTTGTTTGTTTGAGACGGAGGTTGGATCTTGTTGCCCAGGCTGGAGTGTAGTGGCATAATCTCAGCTCACTGCAACCTCCGCCTCCTGGGTTCAAGCAATTCTAAACATATTTTAGCACAAAACTATTTAAGATTTCAATTTATATCTTTTTATTATCTTCCATATACTCTTTTGATACATTACCCATTATGTTGATTATTAACGTACACTCAAGTCAAGATCTTTTATTATGTGAGGTCATCAGTCAATGATAACAGATATTGATGAATTAGTCTCCTCATCAGAAATTGAGCAACATTTTCATTCAAGACGACACATGGGCCTTTAAAGCATATTCAATAATACTGAGTCTCAGTGTTCTCCTGCTATTTTCTGAATGTGCATTTAGACCTTTATACATCTATCTATCTACTGACCCATTTATTAAATTTTCAGCATTTACTTTGTACTCCAAGGACCAGAACCATGTTTGTCTTGTTCACTGCTGTACTCCTATTGCAAGGACCTAGAACATAGTAGGAGCTCATTAAACTCTGAGGTTTCAAAATAAGTGAATAGAGGTTGTAGCAGGAAGAAGTCTAAGATAGCCCCTATGACCTTCATTTCCTCATGTTACCCTGTTGATACCTCACACGGCAAAGGAGTCTTGCACATGTCACTAAGGCTAATAATCCGTCAGCCTTAAGACGGGGGGAGTATCTGGGTAAACCTAACCTAATCACACCAAAACTTCACAATCAGGGAGTTTTCTACAACTGAGAGTAGAATGGGAAGTCAGAGAGTTTCAGAGTCCAAGAAGCATTTATAGCACCCTTATTGACTTTGAAGATGCTTTGCTTCTTCTTTTGAGTTCAGTTTGAGATTATCTTTCTAATAATTGATTAGATTTTATTCTTGTAAAAAAAGAGATAATTTAAAGGAATCTATTTTTAAATACTCTGAGGAGGGTGATACTAGGGGTGCTGGTTGTCCTGTTTTAACTTTGTCTTAATTTCTAATGTAATTAAATTTTGAGTAGGTAATGTGACCTGTGTGGTTTTTATTTTAAAAAATATATTGAGGTTTTATATAATCTATTTTTAAAATATTCAATGGAAACTTGAAAACATACTGTTTCACATATTCTCGTATATATATATTAAAAATCTTTTTTTATTTATTTTTTATTTTTATTTTTTTTTGAGACGGAGTCTCGCTCTGTCGCCCAGGCTGGAGTGCAGTGGCGCCATCTGGGCTCACTGCAAGCTCCGCCTCCTGGGTTCACGCCATTCTCCTGCCTCAGCCTCCCGAGTAGCTGGGACTGCAGGCACCCACCACCACGCCCAGCTAATTTTTTGTATTTTTAGTGGAGACAGAGTTTCACCGTGTTAGCCAGGATGGTCTCGATTTCCTGACCTCGTGATCCGCCCGCCTCAGCCTCCCAAAGTGCTGGGATTACAGGCGTGAGCCACTTAGCCCGGCCTAATTATTTGTTTTTTAAAAGACGGTACATAGGAAGAAGTAAATCAGGAAAAGTGGATAGTGATTGGTGGCAGTAGAAGTGAGTCAGTGTTACAGTTACTATTGCTGCTTAAGAAACTAACCCAAATGGCCTGGGCGCCGTGGCTCACGCCTGTAATCCCAGCAGTTTGGGAGGCTGAGACGGGCGGATCATGAGTTCAGGAGATCGAGACCATCCTGCCTAATACGGTGAAACTCTGTCTCTACTAAAAATACAAAAGTTAGCCTGGCCTGGTGGTGGTGGGCGCCTTAAGTCCCAGCTACTCGGGAGGCTGAGGCAGGAGAATGGCGTGAACCCGGGAGGCGGAGCTTGCTGTGAGCCGAGATCGCGCCACTGCAGTCCAGCTTGGGCCACAGAGGGAGACTCCGTCTCAAAAAAAAAAAATTTAAAAAAAGAAAAAGAAAAAAGAAACTACCCTAAATTTAATAAGGTAAAACAACGACCACTTCATTATATCTCATGGATCCTATAGGTGAGAAATTCCAGCAGGATTCATCTGAGTGATTCTTCCTCTCTCACATCATTAACTAGGGTGACTCAGTGCTAGTCGGCTGGCAAACAAGTCAGTCTGGAAGGTGCAAGGTGCTTTTTTTCTGTCTTATAAATTGGTGGAGTTGTCTGGAAGGCAAGGCTCAGATGGGAAGGACTCTTAGTTATAGTGCCTGCACAGGGTAAACTTTTTTTTTTTCTTTTTTTTTTGAGACGGAGTCTCACTGTCCCCCAGGCTGGAGTGGTGTGGCCCGATCTCGGCTAACTGCAAGCTCCGCCTCCCGGGTTCACGCCATTCTCCTGCCTCAGCCTCCCGAGTAGCTGGGACTACAGGCGCCCACCACCAGGCCCAGCTATTTTTTTGTATTTTTAGTAGAGACGGGGTTTCACCGTGTTAGCCAGGATGGTCTCGATCTCCTGACCTCGTGATCCACCCGCCTCGGCCTCCCAAAGTGCTGGGATTACAGGCGTGAGCCACAGCTCCCGGCCAAGAAGGCTCTCTTAAAAGGAATCACTTCTTGTTTTCTTACAAGTTATAACCTCACTACCCTAGAGTCACATTTTTTAATAACTTACGAATTTTCTGAATCTTCAAATACCCTATGGCCCCATGGTAAAACATCAGATGACATTTGCCTCTCATTTAAACCATTTTTCTTTTCCTCTTTCTTCTTTATTTTTCTTATACTCTCTCCTCATTTCTTTTTCTCTCTTCCTATTTCTCTTTTTCTCTCTGCTTCTTCCTACCTTCCCTCGTGACTTTGTCTCCTCATCCCATCACCGTGCTACTTAGATGCCACATCAATTTGACTAGCCTCAAATTTACAATGAATACTTTTTAAATTCATGCTTCTGAAACTTTTAAAGGATGAAGAGGTATAAATGTCTCAAATAATAATTTGCTTGATGGCTGAAATGAATGGCATTTCTCAAAAAGGCCAAGGGACTGAATACAGAAATTTAAACAATAATTTTCCGTTAGTGATACGGTTTGGATGTTTTGTCCCCTCCAAATCTCATGTTGAAATGCGACCTCCAGTGTTGGAGGTGGGCCTAGTAATAGGTGTTTGTTTCCCAAGGGTGGATCCCCATGAATGGTTTTGTGCTGTCCTCCTGGTAATGAGTGAGTTCTTGCTCTATGAATTCACGAGAGATCTTGTTGTTTAAAAGAGCCTGGCATCTCCCTTGCTCCCTCTCTCCCCATGTAATATGCCAGCTCCCCCTTTGCCTTAAGCCATGATTGTCAGCTTCCCGGGCCTCAGCAGAAGCTGAGCAGATACTGGTGGCCTGTTTGTACAGCCTGCAAACCATCAGCCCAAATACTCCTCTTTTCTTTATAAATTACCCAGTCTCAGGTATTCCTTTATAGCATTGAGATGGACTAACATAGTCAGTTTTGACAACATGAACCTTTCATATTAAAATTTAATTTCTAAATTCACTCATTTACTGTGATTGGTTTATAGCTTTTCTGTAATAATGAATTTTACGTGTGACTTTCAATGTGCTTTAAAACTTGATTCACTTTTTAGCTCTATTTTTGGAAACTACCAGCTTCCACTGTTGAGGCAAAAGTGTCATCATTGAGGCTCTCCTGCTGAGGTAGCTGTTGTCTGATTTCCCTTCAGTTCTACTGCTGTCCCAGTGGAAAAAGGGAATCTTCACCACTTACATGACATGTTTGCCTGAACTCTAATCTTCCACACTTGCTGTAGAAAAGAGTAAAGTGGCAGTTCAGGGCAGTTTACCAATTTAGAAACGGTGTCCGCTCAGTATTTTCCTCTGTGTCACTTACTAAAACATATAAAGAAACCATGGACATTAAAAGAAAGAGAGAGGTTTAATGTGATATTTTAATTCTAACAAGGATTTATGGGCACGTGAATGCTCAAAATCACATACTCCCTTAGTGTTTTTCATCTCACACATATCACATCAGACACATATCACACACATCAGGCACATATCACACAGAACTTGCCATAATTAAATTATCAGTTTTTGAAAAATATTATCATTTGCTCTCTTTTTTTCTATATAAATAAATTTTTTTAAAATATGATTTTCAGTTCTGGGATACATGCAAGGAACATGCAGGTTTGTTATATAGGTATACATGTGCCATATAGGTGGTTTCTTATTTGTGCTTTCATCTTATGGCTTTGGCTAGAACTAGATAATAAAAGTATGCATCAATTTAAGAGTTATTTTTAATCATGGTAAGGACATATCTATAACTACTTTGTTAAATTTCATCAGTCATGCATGTTAAATATCATTAAATAAATATCAAAAATGGGCTGCTGTACCAGAATACCATAGACTTGGTGGCTTATAAACAACAGAAAGGAATTTCTCACAGTTCTGGGGTCTGGGAAATCTAAGACCAAGGTACTAGCCAATCTGGTGTCTGGGAAAAACTTTTGTTCTAGTTCAAAGAAGGCTGCCCTTTCTCTATAACCTCAGTTGGGGAAGGAGCAAGGGAGTTCAGGGGGCTGCTTTAGAAGGGTGCTAAACCCATTAATGAGGGCTGCTCTCTCATGACTTAATTAGTTCCCAAAAGCCCCACCTTCAAAAACCCTCACATTGGCGGTTAGCATTTCAACATATGAATTTGAGAGGGATGTAAACATTTAGTCTGTAGCAGTAAATGTACAATATAAAGTAAATAGCTTTATTGTTGTGTTGCATTATATTAATATATATTTTCTAGTATTAAATCTTTGTATGCCAAATCACTGGGGTGGGTGATTTCTTAGTAAGTGTAGAATTCAGTTCCTTTTTCTTTCAGTTAAGAATATTTTAACTATGTTTATAAGGGATACTGTTTAGTAATTTTATTCTTTTTGTATTCACTTCATCAAGAGTTAGTAATAGTTATATTTGCTTTGTAAAATGAACTGAAAGGAAGCCACTTTTTATAACTTTATCCATATTTCCTAGTTTGGGGTCCATTTTACAAGATGTTTTAAACAGATGCTTATTAAAAACACCGGTTATAGGGACTTTAATAAAAATTTTTAAAATAATGTTTTACATTTCTTGCAAAAATTGATGCCTGCAACCTATTTACTGTTTTTAAAATTAAATTAAGATTCATTTAAGCAGTACATGTTTATTTTAGTGAAACACGTATTTAATTTTCTAAGATAGTATTTTTTGTCTTTAAAACAATTTCTGCATGTTTTGTTTTTTTTTCACTTTAAATTTTATGTTTTCTCAGTTTTTGTTTTATCACATTTGCTATATTTTTCTGTATCATGGGTTATTTGTTAAAGAATGAACTTGTGTATGTTTATAAATTGTTACTGTTTTTGTTTATAATTTATTGCCTTCTAACTTAATATGTAATTAGCATTCCTTTTAATTTTGCTTGTATGCTTTGCTGTACCATTTTGAAATTCTTGAGTTAAATGCTTAACTATTTTTTATCAAGTTTAAATATTAAATTAAATATGTCCCATCAGTTTAGTCATTTTAATATTCTCACTCATCAGACATTTTTTGGGAACACCATATGCCTTTTCATGCAGTCAGTTTCAAGAAAATGAAAATTACTTTTTATATGTTTATACTCAAAGCTTGGCTAGAGATAAGTCTCCCCTTCCTTAAGTTGGGGAGAGAGTGATTTCTTCCAGGCTATAATCAAAAGAGATACAATTATAGTAACTTTTTGTGTTTGTTTGGGTTGTTTCTGTTTGTTTGTTTGTTTGTTTGTTTGAGACGGAGGTTGGATCTTGTTGCCCAGGCTGGAGTGTAGTGGCATAATCTCAGCTCACTGCAACCTCCGCCTCCTGGGTTCAAGCAATTCTAAACATATTTTAGCACAAAACTATTTAAGATTTCAATTTATATCTTTTTATTATCTTCCATATACTCTTTTGATACATTACCCATTATGTTGATTATTAACGTACACTCAAGTCAAGATCTTTTATTATGTGAGGTCATCAGTCAATGATAACAGATATTGATGAATTAGTCTCCTCATCAGAAATTGAGCAACATTTTCATTCAAGACGACACATGGGCCTTTAAAGCATATTCAATAATACTGAGTCTCAGTGTTCTCCTGCTATTTTCTGAATGTGCATTTAGACCTTTATACATCTATCTATCTACTGACCCATTTATTAAATTTTCAGCATTTACTTTGTACTCCAAGGACCAGAACCATGTTTGTCTTGTTCACTGGTGTACTCCTATTGCAAGGACCTAGAACATAGTAGGAGCTCATTAAACTCTGAGGTTTCAAAATAAGTGAATAGAGGTTGTAGCAGGAAGAAGTCTAAGATAGCCCCTATGACCTTCATTTCCTCATGTTACCCTGTTGATACCTCACACGGCAAAGGAGTCTTGCACATGTCACTAAGGCTAATAATCCGTCAGCCTTAAGACGGGGGGAGTATCTGGGTAAACCTAACCTAATCACACCAAAACTTCACAATCAGGGAGTTTTCTACAACTGAGAGTAGAATGGGAAGTCAGAGAGTTTCAGAGTCCAAGAAGCATTTATAGCACCCTTATTGACTTTGAAGATGCTTTGCTTCTTCTTTTGAGTTCAGTTTGAGATTATCTTTCTAATAATTGATTAGATTTTATTCTTGTAAAAAAAGAGATAATTTAAAGGAATCTATTTTTAAATACTCTGAGGAGGGTGATACTAGGGGTGCTGGTTGTCCTGTTTTAACTTTGTCTTAATTTCTAATGTAATTAAATTTTGAGTAGGTAATGTGACCTGTGTGGTTTTTATTTTAAAAAATATATTGAGGTTTTATATAATCTATTTTTAAAATATTCAATGGAAACTTGAAAACATACTGTTTCACATATTCTCGTATATATATATTAAAAATCTTTTTTTATTTATTTTTTATTTTTATTTTTTTTTGAGACGGAGTCTCGCTCTGTCGCCCAGGCTGGAGTGCAGTGGCGCCATCTGGGCTCACTGCAAGCTCCGCCTCCTGGGTTCACGCCATTCTCCTGCCTCAGCCTCCCGAATAGCTGGGACTGCAGGCACCCACCACCACGCCCAGCTACTTTTTTGTATTTTTAGTGGAGACAGAGTTTCACCGTGTTAGCCAGGATGGTCTCGATTTCCTGACCTCGTGATCCGCCCGCCTCAGCCTCCCAAAGTGCTGGGATTACAGGCGTGAGCCACTTAGCCCGGCCTAATTATTTGTTTTTTAAAAGACGGTACATAGGAAGAAGTAAATCAGGAAAAGTGGATAGTGATTGGTGGCAGTAGAAGTGAGTCAGTGTTACAGTTACTATTGCTGCTTAAGAAACTAACCCAAATGGCCTGGGCGCCGTGGCTCACGCCTGTAATCCCAGCAGTTTGGGAGGCTGAGACGGGCGGATCATGAGTTCAGGAGATCGAGACCATCCTGCCTAATACGGTGAAACTCTGTCTCTACTAAAAATACAAAAGTTAGCCTGGCCTGGTGGTGGTGGGCGCCTTAAGTCCCAGCTACTCGGGAGGCTGAGGCAGGAGAATGGCGTGAACCCGGGAGGCGGAGCTTGCTGTGAGCCGAGATCGCGCCACTGCAGTCCAGCTTGGGCCACAGAGGGAGACTCCGTCTCAAAAAAAAAAAATTTAAAAAAAGAAAAAGAAAAAAGAAACTACCCTAAATTTAATAAGGTAAAACAACGACCACTTCATTATATCTCATGGATCCTATAGGTGAGAAATTCCAGCAGGATTCATCTGAGTGATTCTTCCTCTCTCACATCATTAACTAGGGTGACTCAGTGCTAGTCGGCTGGCAAACAAGTCAGTCTGGAAGGTGCAAGGTGCTTTTTTTCTGTCTTATAAATTGGTGGAGTTGTCTGGAAGGCAAGGCTCAGATGGGAAGGACTCTTAGTTATAGTGCCTGCACAGGGTAAACTTTTTTTTTTTCTTTTTTTTTTGAGACGGAGTCTCACTGTCCCCCAGGCTGGAGTGGTGTGGCCCGATCTCGGCTAACTGCAAGCTCCGCCTCCCGGGTTCACGCCATTCTCCTGCCTCAGCCTCCCGAGTAGCTGGGACTACAGGCGCCCACCACCAGGCCCGGCTATTTTTTTGTATTTTTAGTAGAGACGGGGTTTCACCGTGTTAGCCAGGATGGTCTCGATCTCCTGACCTCGTGATCCACCCGCCTCGGCCTCCCAAAGTGCTGGGATTACAGGCGTGAGCCACAGCTCCCGGCCAAGAAGGCTCTCTTAAAAGGAATCACTTCTTGTTTTCTTACAAGTTATAACCTCACTACCCTAGAGTCACATTTTTTAATAACTTACGAATTTTCTGAATCTTCAAATACCCTATGGCCCCATGGTAAAACATCAGATGACATTTGCCTCTCATTTAAACCATTTTTCTTTTCCTCTTTCTTCTTTATTTTTCTTATACTCTCTCCTCATTTCTTTTTCTCTCTTCCTATTTCTCTTTTTCTCTCTGCTTCTTCCTACCTTCCCTCGTGACTTTGTCTCCTCATCCCATCACCGTGCTACTTAGATGCCACATCAATTTGACTAGCCTCAAATTTACAATGAATACTTTTTAAATTCATGCTTCTGAAACTTTTAAAGGATGAAGAGGTATAAATGTCTCAAATAATAATTTGCTTGATGGCTGAAATGAATGGCATTTCTCAAAAAGGCCAAGGGACTGAATACAGAAATTTAAACAATAATTTTCCGTTAGTGATACGGTTTGGATGTTTTGTCCCCTCCAAATCTCATGTTGAAATGCGACCTCCAGTGTTGGAGGTGGGCCTAGTAATAGGTGTTTGTTTCCCAAGGGTGGATCCCCATGAATGGTTTTGTGCTGTCCTCCTGGTAATGAGTGAGTTCTTGCTCTATGAATTCACGAGAGATCTTGTTGTTTAAAAGAGCCTGGCATCTCCCTTGCTCCCTCTCTCCCCATGTAATATGCCAGCTCCCCCTTTGCCTTAAGCCATGATTGTCAGCTTCCCGGGCCTCAGCAGAAGCTGAGCAGATACTGGTGGCCTGTTTGTACAGCCTGCAAACCATCAGCCCAAATACTCCTCTTTTCTTTATAAATTACCCAGTCTCAGGTATTCCTTTATAGCATTGAGATGGACTAACATAGTCAGTTTTGACAACATGAACCTTTCATATTAAAATTTAATTTCTAAATTCACTCATTTACTGTGATTGGTTTATAGCTTTTCTGTAATAATGAATTTTACGTGTGACTTTCAATGTGCTTTAAAACTTGATTCACTTTTTAGCTCTATTTTTGGAAACTACCAGCTTCCACTGTTGAGGCAAAAGTGTCATCATTGAGGCTCTCCTGCTGAGGTAGCTGTTGTCTGATTTCCCTTCAGTTCTACTGCTGTCCCAGTGGAAAAAGGGAATCTTCACCACTTACATGACATGTTTGCCTGAACTCTAATCTTCCACACTTGCTGTAGAAAAGAGTAAAGTGGCAGTTCAGGGCAGTTTACCAATTTAGAAACGGTGTCCGCTCAGTATTTTCCTCTGTGTCACTTACTAAAACATATAAAGAAACCATGGACATTAAAAGAAAGAGAGAGGTTTAATGTGATATTTTAATTCTAACAAGGATTTATGGGCACGTGAATGCTCAAAATCACATACTCCCTTAGTGTTTTTCATCTCACACATATCACATCAGACACATATCACACACATCAGGCACATATCACACAGAACTTGCCATAATTAAATTATCAGTTTTTGAAAAATATTATCATTTGCTCTCTTTTTTTCTATATAAATAAATTTTTTTAAAATATGATTTTCAGTTCTGGGATACATGCAAGGAACATGCAGGTTTGTTATATAGGTATACATGTGCCATATAGGTGGTTTCTTATTTGTGCTTTCATCTTATGGCTTTGGCTAGAACTAGATAATAAAAGTATGCATCAATTTAAGAGTTATTTTTAATCATGGTAAGGACATATCTATAACTACTTTGTTAAATTTCATCAGTCATGCATGTTAAATATCATTAAATAAATATCAAAAATGGGCTGCTGTACCAGAATACCATAGACTTGGTGGCTTATAAACAACAGAAAGGAATTTCTCACAGTTCTGGGGTCTGGGAAATCTAAGACCAAGGTACTAGCCAATCTGGTGTCTGGGAAAAACTTTTGTTCTAGTTCAAAGAAGGCTGCCCTTTCTCTATAACCTCAGTTGGGGAAGGAGCAAGGGAGTTCAGGGGGCTGCTTTAGAAGGGTGCTAAACCCATTAATGAGGGCTGCTCTCTCATGACTTAATTAGTTCCCAAAAGCCCCACCTTCAAAAACCCTCACATTGGCGGTTAGCATTTCAACATATGAATTTGAGAGGGATGTAAACATTTAGTCTGTAGCAGTAAATGTACAATATAAAGTAAATAGCTTTATTGTTGTGTTGCATTATATTAATATATATTTTCTAGTATTAAATCTTTGTATGCCAAATCACTGGGGTGGGTGATTTCTTAGTAAGTGTAGAATTCAGTTCCTTTTTCTTTCAGTTAAGAATATTTTAACTATGTTTATAAGGGATACTGTTTAGTAATTTTATTCTTTTTGTATTCACTTCATCAAGAGTTAGTAATAGTTATATTTGCTTTGTAAAATGAACTGAAAGGAAGCCACTTTTTATAACTTTATCCATATTTCCTAGTTTGGGGTCCATTTTACAAGATGTTTTAAACAGATGCTTATTAAAAACACCGGTTATAGGGACTTTAATAAAAATTTTTAAAATAATGTTTTACATTTCTTGCAAAAATTGATGCCTGCAACCTATTTACTGTTTTTAAAATTAAATTAAGATTCATTTAAGCAGTACATGTTTATTTTAGTGAAACACGTATTTAATTTTCTAAGATAGTATTTTTTGTCTTTAAAACAATTTCTGCATGTTTTGTTTTTTTTTCACTTTAAATTTTATGTTTTCTCAGTTTTTGTTTTATCACATTTGCTATATTTTTCTGTATCATGGGTTATTTGTTAAAGAATGAACTTGTGTATGTTTATAAATTGTTACTGTTTTTGTTTATAATTTATTGCCTTCTAACTTAATATGTAATTAGCATTCCTTTTAATTTTGCTTGTATGCTTTGCTGTACCATTTTGAAATTCTTGAGTTAAATGCTTAACTATTTTTTATCAAGTTTAAATATTAAATTAAATATGTCCCATCAGTTTAGTCATTTTAATATTCTCACTCATCAGACATTTTTTGGGAACACCATATGCCTTTTCATGCAGTCAGTTTCAAGAAAATGAAAATTACTTTTTATATGTTTATACTCAAAGCTTGGCTAGAGATAAGTCTCCCCTTCCTTAAGTTGGGGAGAGAGTGATTTCTTCCAGGCTATAATCAAAAGAGATACAATTATAGTAACTTTTTGTGTTTGTTTGGGTTGTTTCTGTTTGTTTGTTTGTTTGTTTGTTTGAGACGGAGGTTGGATCTTGTTGCCCAGGCTGGAGTGTAGTGGCATAATCTCAGCTCACTGCAACCTCCGCCTCCTGGGTTCAAGCAATTCTAAACATATTTTAGCACAAAACTATTTAAGATTTCAATTTATATCTTTTTATTATCTTCCATATACTCTTTTGATACATTACCCATTATGTTGATTATTAACGTACACTCAAGTCAAGATCTTTTATTATGTGAGGTCATCAGTCAATGATAACAGATATTGATGAATTAGTCTCCTCATCAGAAATTGAGCAACATTTTCATTCAAGACGACACATGGGCCTTTAAAGCATATTCAATAATACTGAGTCTCAGTGTTCTCCTGCTATTTTCTGAATGTGCATTTAGACCTTTATACATCTATCTATCTACTGACCCATTTATTAAATTTTCAGCATTTACTTTGTACTCCAAGGACCAGAACCATGTTTGTCTTGTTCACTGCTGTACTCCTATTGCAAGGACCTAGAACATAGTAGGAGCTCATTAAACTCTGAGGTTTCAAAATAAGTGAATAGAGGTTGTAGCAGGAAGAAGTCTAAGATAGCCCCTATGACCTTCATTTCCTCATGTTACCCTGTTGATACCTCACACGGCAAAGGAGTCTTGCACATGTCACTAAGGCTAATAATCCGTCAGCCTTAAGACGGGGGGAGTATCTGGGTAAACCTAACCTAATCACACCAAAACTTCACAATCAGGGAGTTTTCTACAACTGAGAGTAGAATGGGAAGTCAGAGAGTTTCAGAGTCCAAGAAGCATTTATAGCACCCTTATTGACTTTGAAGATGCTTTGCTTCTTCTTTTGAGTTCAGTTTGAGATTATCTTTCTAATAATTGATTAGATTTTATTCTTGTAAAAAAAGAGATAATTTAAAGGAATCTATTTTTAAATACTCTGAGGAGGGTGATACTAGGGGTGCTGGTTGTCCTGTTTTAACTTTGTCTTAATTTCTAATGTAATTAAATTTTGAGTAGGTAATGTGACCTGTGTGGTTTTTATTTTAAAAAATATATTGAGGTTTTATATAATCTATTTTTAAAATATTCAATGGAAACTTGAAAACATACTGTTTCACATATTCTCGTATATATATATTAAAAATCTTTTTTTATTTATTTTTTATTTTTATTTTTTTTTGAGACGGAGTCTCGCTCTGTCGCCCAGGCTGGAGTGCAGTGGCGCCATCTGGGCTCACTGCAAGCTCCGCCTCCTGGGTTCACGCCATTCTCCTGCCTCAGCCTCCCGAATAGCTGGGACTGCAGGCACCCACCACCACGCCCAGCTACTTTTTTGTATTTTTAGTGGAGACAGAGTTTCACCGTGTTAGCCAGGATGGTCTCGATTTCCTGACCTCGTGATCCGCCCGCCTCAGCCTCCCAAAGTGCTGGGATTACAGGCGTGAGCCACTTAGCCCGGCCTAATTATTTGTTTTTTAAAAGACGGTACATAGGAAGAAGTAAATCAGGAAAAGTGGATAGTGATTGGTGGCAGTAGAAGTGAGTCAGTGTTACAGTTACTATTGCTGCTTAAGAAACTAACCCAAATGGCCTGGGCGCCGTGGCTCACGCCTGTAATCCCAGCAGTTTGGGAGGCTGAGACGGGCGGATCATGAGTTCAGGAGATCGAGACCATCCTGCCTAATACGGTGAAACTCTGTCTCTACTAAAAATACAAAAGTTAGCCTGGCCTGGTGGTGGTGGGCGCCTTAAGTCCCAGCTACTCGGGAGGCTGAGGCAGGAGAATGGCGTGAACCCGGGAGGCGGAGCTTGCTGTGAGCCGAGATCGCGCCACTGCAGTCCAGCTTGGGCCACAGAGGGAGACTCCGTCTCAAAAAAAAAAAATTTAAAAAAAGAAAAAGAAAAAAGAAACTACCCTAAATTTAATAAGGTAAAACAACGACCACTTCATTATATCTCATGGATCCTATAGGTGAGAAATTCCAGCAGGATTCATCTGAGTGATTCTTCCTCTCTCACATCATTAACTAGGGTGACTCAGTGCTAGTCGGCTGGCAAACAAGTCAGTCTGGAAGGTGCAAGGTGCTTTTTTTCTGTCTTATAAATTGGTGGAGTTGTCTGGAAGGCAAGGCTCAGATGGGAAGGACTCTTAGTTATAGTGCCTGCACAGGGTAAACTTTTTTTTTTTCTTTTTTTTTTGAGACGGAGTCTCACTGTCCCCCAGGCTGGAGTGGTGTGGCCCGATCTCGGCTAACTGCAAGCTCCGCCTCCCGGGTTCACGCCATTCTCCTGCCTCAGCCTCCCGAGTAGCTGGGACTACAGGCGCCCACCACCAGGCCCGGCTATTTTTTTGTATTTTTAGTAGAGACGGGGTTTCACCGTGTTAGCCAGGATGGTCTCGATCTCCTGACCTCGTGATCCACCCGCCTCGGCCTCCCAAAGTGCTGGGATTACAGGCGTGAGCCACAGCTCCCGGCCAAGAAGGCTCTCTTAAAAGGAATCACTTCTTGTTTTCTTACAAGTTATAACCTCACTACCCTAGAGTCACATTTTTTAATAACTTACGAATTTTCTGAATCTTCAAATACCCTATGGCCCCATGGTAAAACATCAGATGACATTTGCCTCTCATTTAAACCATTTTTCTTTTCCTCTTTCTTCTTTATTTTTCTTATACTCTCTCCTCATTTCTTTTTCTCTCTTCCTATTTCTCTTTTTCTCTCTGCTTCTTCCTACCTTCCCTCGTGACTTTGTCTCCTCATCCCATCACCGTGCTACTTAGATGCCACATCAATTTGACTAGCCTCAAATTTACAATGAATACTTTTTAAATTCATGCTTCTGAAACTTTTAAAGGATGAAGAGGTATAAATGTCTCAAATAATAATTTGCTTGATGGCTGAAATGAATGGCATTTCTCAAAAAGGCCAAGGGACTGAATACAGAAATTTAAACAATAATTTTCCGTTAGTGATACGGTTTGGATGTTTTGTCCCCTCCAAATCTCATGTTGAAATGCGACCTCCAGTGTTGGAGGTGGGCCTAGTAATAGGTGTTTGTTTCCCAAGGGTGGATCCCCATGAATGGTTTTGTGCTGTCCTCCTGGTAATGAGTGAGTTCTTGCTCTATGAATTCACGAGAGATCTTGTTGTTTAAAAGAGCCTGGCATCTCCCTTGCTCCCTCTCTCCCCATGTAATATGCCAGCTCCCCCTTTGCCTTAAGCCATGATTGTCAGCTTCCCGGGCCTCAGCAGAAGCTGAGCAGATACTGGTGGCCTGTTTGTACAGCCTGCAAACCATCAGCCCAAATACTCCTCTTTTCTTTATAAATTACCCAGTCTCAGGTATTCCTTTATAGCATTGAGATGGACTAACATAGTCAGTTTTGACAACATGAACCTTTCATATTAAAATTTAATTTCTAAATTCACTCATTTACTGTGATTGGTTTATAGCTTTTCTGTAATAATGAATTTTACGTGTGACTTTCAATGTGCTTTAAAACTTGATTCACTTTTTAGCTCTATTTTTGGAAACTACCAGCTTCCACTGTTGAGGCAAAAGTGTCATCATTGAGGCTCTCCTGCTGAGGTAGCTGTTGTCTGATTTCCCTTCAGTTCTACTGCTGTCCCAGTGGAAAAAGGGAATCTTCACCACTTACATGACATGTTTGCCTGAACTCTAATCTTCCACACTTGCTGTAGAAAAGAGTAAAGTGGCAGTTCAGGGCAGTTTACCAATTTAGAAACGGTGTCCGCTCAGTATTTTCCTCTGTGTCACTTACTAAAACATATAAAGAAACCATGGACATTAAAAGAAAGAGAGAGGTTTAATGTGATATTTTAATTCTAACAAGGATTTATGGGCACGTGAATGCTCAAAATCACATACTCCCTTAGTGTTTTTCATCTCACACATATCACATCAGACACATATCACACACATCAGGCACATATCACACAGAACTTGCCATAATTAAATTATCAGTTTTTGAAAAATATTATCATTTGCTCTCTTTTTTTCTATATAAATAAATTTTTTTAAAATATGATTTTCAGTTCTGGGATACATGCAAGGAACATGCAGGTTTGTTATATAGGTATACATGTGCCATATAGGTGGTTTCTTATTTGTGCTTTCATCTTATGGCTTTGGCTAGAACTAGATAATAAAAGTATGCATCAATTTAAGAGTTATTTTTAATCATGGTAAGGACATATCTATAACTACTTTGTTAAATTTCATCAGTCATGCATGTTAAATATCATTAAATAAATATCAAAAATGGGCTGCTGTACCAGAATACCATAGACTTGGTGGCTTATAAACAACAGAAAGGAATTTCTCACAGTTCTGGGGTCTGGGAAATCTAAGACCAAGGTACTAGCCAATCTGGTGTCTGGGAAAAACTTTTGTTCTAGTTCAAAGAAGGCTGCCCTTTCTCTATAACCTCAGTTGGGGAAGGAGCAAGGGAGTTCAGGGGGCTGCTTTAGAAGGGTGCTAAACCCATTAATGAGGGCTGCTCTCTCATGACTTAATTAGTTCCCAAAAGCCCCACCTTCAAAAACCCTCACATTGGCGGTTAGCATTTCAACATATGAATTTGAGAGGGATGTAAACATTTAGTCTGTAGCAGTAAATGTACAATATAAAGTAAATAGCTTTATTGTTGTGTTGCATTATATTAATATATATTTTCTAGTATTAAATCTTTGTATGCCAAATCACTGGGGTGGGTGATTTCTTAGTAAGTGTAGAATTCAGTTCCTTTTTCTTTCAGTTAAGAATATTTTAACTATGTTTATAAGGGATACTGTTTAGTAATTTTATTCTTTTTGTATTCACTTCATCAAGAGTTAGTAATAGTTATATTTGCTTTGTAAAATGAACTGAAAGGAAGCCACTTTTTATAACTTTATCCATATTTCCTAGTTTGGGGTCCATTTTACAAGATGTTTTAAACAGATGCTTATTAAAAACACCGGTTATAGGGACTTTAATAAAAATTTTTAAAATAATGTTTTACATTTCTTGCAAAAATTGATGCCTGCAACCTATTTACTGTTTTTAAAATTAAATTAAGATTCATTTAAGCAGTACATGTTTATTTTAGTGAAACACGTATTTAATTTTCTAAGATAGTATTTTTTGTCTTTAAAACAATTTCTGCATGTTTTGTTTTTTTTTCACTTTAAATTTTATGTTTTCTCAGTTTTTGTTTTATCACATTTGCTATATTTTTCTGTATCATGGGTTATTTGTTAAAGAATGAACTTGTGTATGTTTATAAATTGTTACTGTTTTTGTTTATAATTTATTGCCTTCTAACTTAATATGTAATTAGCATTCCTTTTAATTTTGCTTGTATGCTTTGCTGTACCATTTTGAAATTCTTGAGTTAAATGCTTAACTATTTTTTATCAAGTTTAAATATTAAATTAAATATGTCCCATCAGTTTAGTCATTTTAATATTCTCACTCATCAGACATTTTTTGGGAACACCATATGCCTTTTCATGCAGTCAGTTTCAAGAAAATGAAAATTACTTTTTATATGTTTATACTCAAAGCTTGGCTAGAGATAAGTCTCCCCTTCCTTAAGTTGGGGAGAGAGTGATTTCTTCCAGGCTATAATCAAAAGAGATACAATTATAGTAACTTTTTGTGTTTGTTTGGGTTGTTTCTGTTTGTTTGTTTGTTTGTTTGTTTGAGACGGAGGTTGGATCTTGTTGCCCAGGCTGGAGTGTAGTGGCATAATCTCAGCTCACTGCAACCTCCGCCTCCTGGGTTCAAGCAATTCTAAACATATTTTAGCACAAAACTATTTAAGATTTCAATTTATATCTTTTTATTATCTTCCATATACTCTTTTGATACATTACCCATTATGTTGATTATTAACGTACACTCAAGTCAAGATCTTTTATTATGTGAGGTCATCAGTCAATGATAACAGATATTGATGAATTAGTCTCCTCATCAGAAATTGAGCAACATTTTCATTCAAGACGACACATGGGCCTTTAAAGCATATTCAATAATACTGAGTCTCAGTGTTCTCCTGCTATTTTCTGAATGTGCATTTAGACCTTTATACATCTATCTATCTACTGACCCATTTATTAAATTTTCAGCATTTACTTTGTACTCCAAGGACCAGAACCATGTTTGTCTTGTTCACTGGTGTACTCCTATTGCAAGGACCTAGAACATAGTAGGAGCTCATTAAACTCTGAGGTTTCAAAATAAGTGAATAGAGGTTGTAGCAGGAAGAAGTCTAAGATAGCCCCTATGACCTTCATTTCCTCATGTTACCCTGTTGATACCTCACACGGCAAAGGAGTCTTGCACATGTCACTAAGGCTAATAATCCGTCAGCCTTAAGACGGGGGGAGTATCTGGGTAAACCTAACCTAATCACACCAAAACTTCACAATCAGGGAGTTTTCTACAACTGAGAGTAGAATGGGAAGTCAGAGAGTTTCAGAGTCCAAGAAGCATTTATAGCACCCTTATTGACTTTGAAGATGCTTTGCTTCTTCTTTTGAGTTCAGTTTGAGATTATCTTTCTAATAATTGATTAGATTTTATTCTTGTAAAAAAAGAGATAATTTAAAGGAATCTATTTTTAAATACTCTGAGGAGGGTGATACTAGGGGTGCTGGTTGTCCTGTTTTAACTTTGTCTTAATTTCTAATGTAATTAAATTTTGAGTAGGTAATGTGACCTGTGTGGTTTTTATTTTAAAAAATATATTGAGGTTTTATATAATCTATTTTTAAAATATTCAATGGAAACTTGAAAACATACTGTTTCACATATTCTCGTATATATATATTAAAAATCTTTTTTTATTTATTTTTTATTTTTATTTTTTTTTGAGACGGAGTCTCGCTCTGTCGCCCAGGCTGGAGTGCAGTGGCGCCATCTGGGCTCACTGCAAGCTCCGCCTCCTGGGTTCACGCCATTCTCCTGCCTCAGCCTCCCGAATAGCTGGGACTGCAGGCACCCACCACCACGCCCAGCTACTTTTTTGTATTTTTAGTGGAGACAGAGTTTCACCGTGTTAGCCAGGATGGTCTCGATTTCCTGACCTCGTGATCCGCCCGCCTCAGCCTCCCAAAGTGCTGGGATTACAGGCGTGAGCCACTTAGCCCGGCCTAATTATTTGTTTTTTAAAAGACGGTACATAGGAAGAAGTAAATCAGGAAAAGTGGATAGTGATTGGTGGCAGTAGAAGTGAGTCAGTGTTACAGTTACTATTGCTGCTTAAGAAACTAACCCAAATGGCCTGGGCGCCGTGGCTATCATGTAAGCAAAGCAGTTTGGGAGTGAGACGGGCGGATCATGAGTTCAGGAGATCGAGACCATCCTGCCTAATACGGTGAAGCTCTGTCTCTACTAAAAATACAAAAGTTAGCCTGGCCTGTTGGTGGTGGGTGCCTTAAGTCCCAGCTACTCGGGAGGCTGAGACAGGAGAATGGCGTGAACCCGGGAGGCGGAGCTTGCTGTGATCCGAGATCGCGCCACTGCAGTCCAGCTTGGGCCACAGAGGGAGACTCCGTCTCAAAAAAAAAAAATTTAAAAAAAGAAAAAGAAAAAAGAAACTACCCTAAATTTAATAAGGTAAAACAACGACCACTTCATTATATCTCATGGATCCTATAGGTGAGAAATTCCAGCAGGATTCATCTGAGTGATTCTTCCTCTCTCACATCATTAACTAGGGTGACTCAGTGCTAGTCGGCTGGCAAACAAGTCAGTCTGGAAGGTGCAAGGTGCTTTTTTTCTGTCTTATAAATTGGTGGAGTTGTCTGGAAGGCAAGGCTCAGATGGGAAGGACTCTTAGTTATAGTGCCTGCACAGGGTAAACTTTTTTTTTTTCTTTTTTTTTTGAGACGGAGTCTCACTGTCCCCCAGGCTGGAGTGGTGTGGCCCGATCTCGGCTAACTGCAAGCTCCGCCTCCCGGGTTCACGCCATTCTCCTGCCTCAGCCTCCCGAGTAGCTGGGACTACAGGCGCCCACCACCAGGCCCAGCTATTTTTTTGTATTTTTAGTAGAGACGGGGTTTCACCGTGTTAGCCAGGATGGTCTCGATCTCCTGACCTCGTGATCCACCCGCCTCGGCCTCCCAAAGTGCTGGGATTACAGGCGTGAGCCACAGCTCCCGGCCAAGAAGGCTCTCTTAAAAGGAATCACTTCTTGTTTTCTTACAAGTTATAACCTCACTACCCTAGAGTCACATTTTTTAATAACTTACGAATTTTCTGAATCTTCAAATACCCTATGGCCCCATGGTAAAACATCAGATGACATTTGCCTCTCATTTAAACCATTTTTCTTTTCCTCTTTCTTCTTTATTTTTCTTATACTCTCTCCTCATTTCTTTTTCTCTCTTCCTATTTCTCTTTTTCTCTCTGCTTCTTCCTACCTTCCCTCGTGACTTTGTCTCCTCATCCCATCACCGTGCTACTTAGATGCCACATCAATTTGACTAGCCTCAAATTTACAATGAATACTTTTTAAATTCATGCTTCTGAAACTTTTAAAGGATGAAGAGGTATAAATGTCTCAAATAATAATTTGCTTGATGGCTGAAATGAATGGCATTTCTCAAAAAGGCCAAGGGACTGAATACAGAAATTTAAACAATAATTTTCCGTTAGTGATACGGTTTGGATGTTTTGTCCCCTCCAAATCTCATGTTGAAATGCGACCTCCAGTGTTGGAGGTGGGCCTAGTAATAGGTGTTTGTTTCCCAAGGGTGGATCCCCATGAATGGTTTTGTGCTGTCCTCCTGGTAATGAGTGAGTTCTTGCTCTATGAATTCACGAGAGATCTTGTTGTTTAAAAGAGCCTGGCATCTCCCTTGCTCCCTCTCTCCCCATGTAATATGCCAGCTCCCCCTTTGCCTTAAGCCATGATTGTCAGCTTCCCGGGCCTCAGCAGAAGCTGAGCAGATACTGGTGGCCTGTTTGTACAGCCTGCAAACCATCAGCCCAAATACTCCTCTTTTCTTTATAAATTACCCAGTCTCAGGTATTCCTTTATAGCATTGAGATGGACTAACATAGTCAGTTTTGACAACATGAACCTTTCATATTAAAATTTAATTTCTAAATTCACTCATTTACTGTGATTGGTTTATAGCTTTTCTGTAATAATGAATTTTACGTGTGACTTTCAATGTGCTTTAAAACTTGATTCACTTTTTAGCTCTATTTTTGGAAACTACCAGCTTCCACTGTTGAGGCAAAAGTGTCATCATTGAGGCTCTCCTGCTGAGGTAGCTGTTGTCTGATTTCCCTTCAGTTCTACTGCTGTCCCAGTGGAAAAAGGGAATCTTCACCACTTACATGACATGTTTGCCTGAACTCTAATCTTCCACACTTGCTGTAGAAAAGAGTAAAGTGGCAGTTCAGGGCAGTTTACCAATTTAGAAACGGTGTCCGCTCAGTATTTTCCTCTGTGTCACTTACTAAAACATATAAAGAAACCATGGACATTAAAAGAAAGAGAGAGGTTTAATGTGATATTTTAATTCTAACAAGGATTTATGGGCACGTGAATGCTCAAAATCACATACTCCCTTAGTGTTTTTCATCTCACACATATCACATCAGACACATATCACACACATCAGGCACATATCACACAGAACTTGCCATAATTAAATTATCAGTTTTTGAAAAATATTATCATTTGCTCTCTTTTTTTCTATATAAATAAATTTTTTTAAAATATGATTTTCAGTTCTGGGATACATGCAAGGAACATGCAGGTTTGTTATATAGGTATACATGTGCCATATAGGTGGTTTCTTATTTGTGCTTTCATCTTATGGCTTTGGCTAGAACTAGATAATAAAAGTATGCATCAATTTAAGAGTTATTTTTAATCATGGTAAGGACATATCTATAACTACTTTGTTAAATTTCATCAGTCATGCATGTTAAATATCATTAAATAAATATCAAAAATGGGCTGCTGTACCAGAATACCATAGACTTGGTGGCTTATAAACAACAGAAAGGAATTTCTCACAGTTCTGGGGTCTGGGAAATCTAAGACCAAGGTACTAGCCAATCTGGTGTCTGGGAAAAACTTTTGTTCTAGTTCAAAGAAGGCTGCCCTTTCTCTATAACCTCAGTTGGGGAAGGAGCAAGGGAGTTCAGGGGGCTGCTTTAGAAGGGTGCTAAACCCATTAATGAGGGCTGCTCTCTCATGACTTAATTAGTTCCCAAAAGCCCCACCTTCAAAAACCCTCACATTGGCGGTTAGCATTTCAACATATGAATTTGAGAGGGATGTAAACATTTAGTCTGTAGCAGTAAATGTACAATATAAAGTAAATAGCTTTATTGTTGTGTTGCATTATATTAATATATATTTTCTAGTATTAAATCTTTGTATGCCAAATCACTGGGGTGGGTGATTTCTTAGTAAGTGTAGAATTCAGTTCCTTTTTCTTTCAGTTAAGAATATTTTAACTATGTTTATAAGGGATACTGTTTAGTAATTTTATTCTTTTTGTATTCACTTCATCAAGAGTTAGTAATAGTTATATTTGCTTTGTAAAATGAACTGAAAGGAAGCCACTTTTTATAACTTTATCCATATTTCCTAGTTTGGGGTCCATTTTACAAGATGTTTTAAACAGATGCTTATTAAAAACACCGGTTATAGGGACTTTAATAAAAATTTTTAAAATAATGTTTTACATTTCTTGCAAAAATTGATGCCTGCAACCTATTTACTGTTTTTAAAATTAAATTAAGATTCATTTAAGCAGTACATGTTTATTTTAGTGAAACACGTATTTAATTTTCTAAGATAGTATTTTTTGTCTTTAAAACAATTTCTGCATGTTTTGTTTTTTTTTCACTTTAAATTTTATGTTTTCTCAGTTTTTGTTTTATCACATTTGCTATATTTTTCTGTATCATGGGTTATTTGTTAAAGAATGAACTTGTGTATGTTTATAAATTGTTACTGTTTTTGTTTATAATTTATTGCCTTCTAACTTAATATGTAATTAGCATTCCTTTTAATTTTGCTTGTATGCTTTGCTGTACCATTTTGAAATTCTTGAGTTAAATGCTTAACTATTTTTTATCAAGTTTAAATATTAAATTAAATATGTCCCATCAGTTTAGTCATTTTAATATTCTCACTCATCAGACATTTTTTGGGAACACCATATGCCTTTTCATGCAGTCAGTTTCAAGAAAATGAAAATTACTTTTTATATGTTTATACTCAAAGCTTGGCTAGAGATAAGTCTCCCCTTCCTTAAGTTGGGGAGAGAGTGATTTCTTCCAGGCTATAATCAAAAGAGATACAATTATAGTAACTTTTTGTGTTTGTTTGGGTTGTTTCTGTTTGTTTGTTTGTTTGTTTGTTTGAGACGGAGGTTGGATCTTGTTGCCCAGGCTGGAGTGTAGTGGCATAATCTCAGCTCACTGCAACCTCCGCCTCCTGGGTTCAAGCAATTCTAAACATATTTTAGCACAAAACTATTTAAGATTTCAATTTATATCTTTTTATTATCTTCCATATACTCTTTTGATACATTACCCATTATGTTGATTATTAACGTACACTCAAGTCAAGATCTTTTATTATGTGAGGTCATCAGTCAATGATAACAGATATTGATGAATTAGTCTCCTCATCAGAAATTGAGCAACATTTTCATTCAAGACGACACATGGGCCTTTAAAGCATATTCAATAATACTGAGTCTCAGTGTTCTCCTGCTATTTTCTGAATGTGCATTTAGACCTTTATACATCTATCTATCTACTGACCCATTTATTAAATTTTCAGCATTTACTTTGTACTCCAAGGACCAGAACCATGTTTGTCTTGTTCACTGCTGTACTCCTATTGCAAGGACCTAGAACATAGTAGGAGCTCATTAAACTCTGAGGTTTCAAAATAAGTGAATAGAGGTTGTAGCAGGAAGAAGTCTAAGATAGCCCCTATGACCTTCATTTCCTCATGTTACCCTGTTGATACCTCACACGGCAAAGGAGTCTTGCACATGTCACTAAGGCTAATAATCCGTCAGCCTTAAGACGGGGGGAGTATCTGGGTAAACCTAACCTAATCACACCAAAACTTCACAATCAGGGAGTTTTCTACAACTGAGAGTAGAATGGGAAGTCAGAGAGTTTCAGAGTCCAAGAAGCATTTATAGCACCCTTATTGACTTTGAAGATGCTTTGCTTCTTCTTTTGAGTTCAGTTTGAGATTATCTTTCTAATAATTGATTAGATTTTATTCTTGTAAAAAAAGAGATAATTTAAAGGAATCTATTTTTAAATACTCTGAGGAGGGTGATACTAGGGGTGCTGGTTGTCCTGTTTTAACTTTGTCTTAATTTCTAATGTAATTAAATTTTGAGTAGGTAATGTGACCTGTGTGGTTTTTATTTTAAAAAATATATTGAGGTTTTATATAATCTATTTTTAAAATATTCAATGGAAACTTGAAAACATACTGTTTCACATATTCTCGTATATATATATTAAAAATCTTTTTTTATTTATTTTTTATTTTTATTTTTTTTTGAGACGGAGTCTCGCTCTGTCGCCCAGGCTGGAGTGCAGTGGCGCCATCTGGGCTCACTGCAAGCTCCGCCTCCTGGGTTCACGCCATTCTCCTGCCTCAGCCTCCCGAGTAGCTGGGACTGCAGGCACCCACCACCACGCCCAGCTAATTTTTTGTATTTTTAGTGGAGACAGAGTTTCACCGTGTTAGCCAGGATGGTCTCGATTTCCTGACCTCGTGATCCGCCCGCCTCAGCCTCCCAAAGTGCTGGGATTACAGGCGTGAGCCACTTAGCCCGGCCTAATTATTTGTTTTTTAAAAGACGGTACATAGGAAGAAGTAAATCAGGAAAAGTGGATAGTGATTGGTGGCAGTAGAAGTGAGTCAGTGTTACAGTTACTATTGCTGCTTAAGAAACTAACCCAAATGGCCTGGGCGCCGTGGCTCACGCCTGTAATCCCAGCAGTTTGGGAGGCTGAGACGGGCGGATCATGAGTTCAGGAGATCGAGACCATCCTGCCTAATACGGTGAAACTCTGTCTCTACTAAAAATACAAAAGTTAGCCTGGCCTGGTGGTGGTGGGCGCCTTAAGTCCCAGCTACTCGGGAGGCTGAGGCAGGAGAATGGCGTGAACCCGGGAGGCGGAGCTTGCTGTGAGCCGAGATCGCGCCACTGCAGTCCAGCTTGGGCCACAGAGGGAGACTCCGTCTCAAAAAAAAAAAATTTAAAAAAAGAAAAAGAAAAAAGAAACTACCCTAAATTTAATAAGGTAAAACAACGACCACTTCATTATATCTCATGGATCCTATAGGTGAGAAATTCCAGCAGGATTCATCTGAGTGATTCTTCCTCTCTCACATCATTAACTAGGGTGACTCAGTGCTAGTCGGCTGGCAAACAAGTCAGTCTGGAAGGTGCAAGGTGCTTTTTTTCTGTCTTATAAATTGGTGGAGTTGTCTGGAAGGCAAGGCTCAGATGGGAAGGACTCTTAGTTATAGTGCCTGCACAGGGTAAACTTTTTTTTTTTCTTTTTTTTTTGAGACGGAGTCTCACTGTCCCCCAGGCTGGAGTGGTGTGGCCCGATCTCGGCTAACTGCAAGCTCCGCCTCCCGGGTTCACGCCATTCTCCTGCCTCAGCCTCCCGAGTAGCTGGGACTACAGGCGCCCACCACCAGGCCCAGCTATTTTTTTGTATTTTTAGTAGAGACGGGGTTTCACCGTGTTAGCCAGGATGGTCTCGATCTCCTGACCTCGTGATCCACCCGCCTCGGCCTCCCAAAGTGCTGGGATTACAGGCGTGAGCCACAGCTCCCGGCCAAGAAGGCTCTCTTAAAAGGAATCACTTCTTGTTTTCTTACAAGTTATAACCTCACTACCCTAGAGTCACATTTTTTAATAACTTACGAATTTTCTGAATCTTCAAATACCCTATGGCCCCATGGTAAAACATCAGATGACATTTGCCTCTCATTTAAACCATTTTTCTTTTCCTCTTTCTTCTTTATTTTTCTTATACTCTCTCCTCATTTCTTTTTCTCTCTTCCTATTTCTCTTTTTCTCTCTGCTTCTTCCTACCTTCCCTCGTGACTTTGTCTCCTCATCCCATCACCGTGCTACTTAGATGCCACATCAATTTGACTAGCCTCAAATTTACAATGAATACTTTTTAAATTCATGCTTCTGAAACTTTTAAAGGATGAAGAGGTATAAATGTCTCAAATAATAATTTGCTTGATGGCTGAAATGAATGGCATTTCTCAAAAAGGCCAAGGGACTGAATACAGAAATTTAAACAATAATTTTCCGTTAGTGATACGGTTTGGATGTTTTGTCCCCTCCAAATCTCATGTTGAAATGCGACCTCCAGTGTTGGAGGTGGGCCTAGTAATAGGTGTTTGTTTCCCAAGGGTGGATCCCCATGAATGGTTTTGTGCTGTCCTCCTGGTAATGAGTGAGTTCTTGCTCTATGAATTCACGAGAGATCTTGTTGTTTAAAAGAGCCTGGCATCTCCCTTGCTCCCTCTCTCCCCATGTAATATGCCAGCTCCCCCTTTGCCTTAAGCCATGATTGTCAGCTTCCCGGGCCTCAGCAGAAGCTGAGCAGATACTGGTGGCCTGTTTGTACAGCCTGCAAACCATCAGCCCAAATACTCCTCTTTTCTTTATAAATTACCCAGTCTCAGGTATTCCTTTATAGCATTGAGATGGACTAACATAGTCAGTTTTGACAACATGAACCTTTCATATTAAAATTTAATTTCTAAATTCACTCATTTACTGTGATTGGTTTATAGCTTTTCTGTAATAATGAATTTTACGTGTGACTTTCAATGTGCTTTAAAACTTGATTCACTTTTTAGCTCTATTTTTGGAAACTACCAGCTTCCACTGTTGAGGCAAAAGTGTCATCATTGAGGCTCTCCTGCTGAGGTAGCTGTTGTCTGATTTCCCTTCAGTTCTACTGCTGTCCCAGTGGAAAAAGGGAATCTTCACCACTTACATGACATGTTTGCCTGAACTCTAATCTTCCACACTTGCTGTAGAAAAGAGTAAAGTGGCAGTTCAGGGCAGTTTACCAATTTAGAAACGGTGTCCGCTCAGTATTTTCCTCTGTGTCACTTACTAAAACATATAAAGAAACCATGGACATTAAAAGAAAGAGAGAGGTTTAATGTGATATTTTAATTCTAACAAGGATTTATGGGCACGTGAATGCTCAAAATCACATACTCCCTTAGTGTTTTTCATCTCACACATATCACATCAGACACATATCACACACATCAGGCACATATCACACAGAACTTGCCATAATTAAATTATCAGTTTTTGAAAAATATTATCATTTGCTCTCTTTTTTTCTATATAAATAAATTTTTTTAAAATATGATTTTCAGTTCTGGGATACATGCAAGGAACATGCAGGTTTGTTATATAGGTATACATGTGCCATATAGGTGGTTTCTTATTTGTGCTTTCATCTTATGGCTTTGGCTAGAACTAGATAATAAAAGTATGCATCAATTTAAGAGTTATTTTTAATCATGGTAAGGACATATCTATAACTACTTTGTTAAATTTCATCAGTCATGCATGTTAAATATCATTAAATAAATATCAAAAATGGGCTGCTGTACCAGAATACCATAGACTTGGTGGCTTATAAACAACAGAAAGGAATTTCTCACAGTTCTGGGGTCTGGGAAATCTAAGACCAAGGTACTAGCCAATCTGGTGTCTGGGAAAAACTTTTGTTCTAGTTCAAAGAAGGCTGCCCTTTCTCTATAACCTCAGTTGGGGAAGGAGCAAGGGAGTTCAGGGGGCTGCTTTAGAAGGGTGCTAAACCCATTAATGAGGGCTGCTCTCTCATGACTTAATTAGTTCCCAAAAGCCCCACCTTCAAAAACCCTCACATTGGCGGTTAGCATTTCAACATATGAATTTGAGAGGGATGTAAACATTTAGTCTGTAGCAGTAAATGTACAATATAAAGTAAATAGCTTTATTGTTGTGTTGCATTATATTAATATATATTTTCTAGTATTAAATCTTTGTATGCCAAATCACTGGGGTGGGTGATTTCTTAGTAAGTGTAGAATTCAGTTCCTTTTTCTTTCAGTTAAGAATATTTTAACTATGTTTATAAGGGATACTGTTTAGTAATTTTATTCTTTTTGTATTCACTTCATCAAGAGTTAGTAATAGTTATATTTGCTTTGTAAAATGAACTGAAAGGAAGCCACTTTTTATAACTTTATCCATATTTCCTAGTTTGGGGTCCATTTTACAAGATGTTTTAAACAGATGCTTATTAAAAACACTGGTTATAGGGACTTTAATAAAAATTTTTAAAATAATGTTTTACATTTCTTGCAAAAATTGATGCCTGCAACCTATTTACTGTTTTTAAAATTAAATTAAGATTCATTTAAGCAGTACATGTTTATTTTAGTGAAACACGTATTTAATTTTCTAAGATAGTATTTTTTGTCTTTAAAACAATTTCTGCATGTTTTGTTTTTTTTTCACTTTAAATTTTATGTTTTCTCAGTTTTTGTTTTATCACATTTGCTATATTTTTCTGTATCATGGGTTATTTGTTAAAGAATGAACTTGTGTATGTTTATAAATTGTTACTGTTTTTGTTTATAATTTATTGCCTTCTAACTTAATATGTAATTAGCATTCCTTTTAATTTTGCTTGTATGCTTTGCTGTACCATTTTGAAATTCTTGAGTTAAATGCTTAACTAGTTTTTATCAAGTTTAAATATTAAATTAAATATGTCCCATCAGTTTAGTCATTTTAATATTCTCACTCATCAGACATTTTTTGGGAACACCATATGCCTTTTCATGCAGTCAGTTTCAAGAAAATGAAAATTACTTTTTATATGTTTATACTCAAAGCTTGGCTAGAGATAAGTCTCCCCTTCCTTAAGTTGGGGAGAAAGTGATTTCTTCCAGGCTATAGTCAAAAGAGATACAATTATAGTAACTTTTTGTGTTTGTTTGGGTTGTTTCTGTTTGTTTGTTTGTTTGTTTGTTTGAGACGGAGGTTGGATCTTGTTGCCCAGGCTGGAGTGTAGTGGCATAATCTCAGCTCACTGCAACCTCCGCCTCCTGGGTTCAAGCAATTCTAAACATATTTTAGCACAAAACTGTTTAAGATTTCAATTTATATCTTTTTATTATGTTCCATATACTCTTTTGATACATTACCCATTATGTTGATTATTAACGTACACTCAAGTCAAGATCTTTTATTATGTGAGGTCATCAGTCAATGATAACAGATATTGATGAATTAGTCTCCTCATCAGAAATTGAGCAACATTTTCATTCAAGACGACACATGGGCCTTTAAAGCATATTCAATAATACTGAGTCTCAGTCTTCTCCTGCTATTTTCTGAATGTGCATTTAGACCTTTATACATCTATCTATCTACTGACCCATTTATTAAATTTTCAGCATTTACTTTGTACTCCAAGGACCAGAACCATGTTTGTCTTGTTCACTGCTGTACTCCTATTGCAAGGACCTAGAACATAGTAGGAGCTCATTAAACCCTGAGGATTCAAAATAAGTGAATAGAGGTTGTAGCAGGAAGAAGTCTAAGATAGCCCCTATGACCTTCATTACCTCATGTTACCCTGTTGATACCTCACACGGCAAAGGAGTCTTGCACATGTCACTAAGGCTAATAATCCGTCAGTCTTAAGACGGGGGGAGTATCTGGGTAAACCTAACCTAATCACACCAAAACTTCACAATCAGGGAGTTTTCTACAACTGAGAGTAGAATGGGAAGTCAGAGAGTTTCAGAGTCCAAGAAGCATTTATAGCACCCTTATTGACTTTGAAGATGCTTTGCTTCTTCTTTTGAGTTCAGTTTGAGATTATCTTTCTAATAATTGATTAGATTTTATTCTTGTAAAAAAAGAGATAATTTAAAGGAATCTATTTTTAAATACTCTGAGGAGGGTGATACTAGGGGTGCTGGTTGTCCTGTTTTAACTTTGTCTTAATTTCTAATGTAATTAAATTTTGAGTAGGTAATGTGACCTGTGTGGTTTTTATTTTAAAAAATATATTGAGGTTTTATATAATCTATTTTTAAAATTTTCAATGGAAACTTGAAAAAATACTGTTTCACATATTCTCGTATATATATATTAAAAATCTTTTTTTATTTATTTTTTATTTTTATTTTTTTTTGAGACGGAGTCTCGCTCTGTCGCCCAGGCTGGAGTGCAGTGGCGCCATCTGGGCTCACTGCAAGCTCCGCCTCCTGGGTTCACGCCATTCTCCTGCCTCAGCCTCCCGAGTAGCTGGGACTGCAGGCACCCACCACCACGCCCAGCTACTTTTTTGTATTTTTAGTGGAGACAGAGTTTCACCGTGTTAGCCAGGATGGTCTCGATTTCCTGACCTCGTGATCCGCCCGCCTCAGCCTCCCAAAGTGCTGGGATTACAGGCGTGAGCCACTTAGCCCGGCCTAATTATTTGTTTTTTAAAAGACGGTACATAGGAAGAAGTAAATCAGGAAAAGTGGATAGTGATTGGTGGCAGTAGAAGTGAGTCAGTGTTACAGTTACTATTGCTGCTTAAGAAACTTCCCCAAATGGCCTGGGCGCCGTGGCTCACGCCTGTAATCCCAGCAGTTTGGGAGGCTGAGACGGGCGGATCATGAGTTCAGGAGATCGAGACCATCCTGCCTAATACGGTGAAACTCTGTCTCTACTAAAAATACAAAAGTTAGCCTGGCCTGGTGGTGGTGGGCGCCTTAAGTCCCAGCTACTCGGGAGGCTGAGGCAGGAGAATGGCGTGAACCCGGGAGGCGGAGCTTGCTGTGAGCCGAGATCGCGCCACTGCAGTCCAGCCTGGGCGACAGAGGGAGACTCCGTCTCAAAAAAAAAAAAATTTAAAAAAAGAAAAAGAAAAAAGAAACTACCCTAAATTTAATAAGGTAAAACAACGACCACTTCATTATATCTCATGGATCCTATAGGTGAGAAATTCCAGCAGGATTCATCTGAGTGATTCTTCCTCTCTCACATCATTAACTAGGGTGACTCAGTGCTAGTCGGCTGGCAAACAAGTCAGTCTGGAAGGTGCAAGGTGCTTTTTTTCTGTCTTATAAATTGATGGAGTTGTCTGGAAGGCAAGGCTCAGATGGGAAGGACTCTTAGTTATAGTGCCTGCACAGGGTAAACTTTTTTTTTTTTCTTTTTTTTTTGAGACGGAGTCTCACTGTCCCCCAGGCTGGAGTGGTGTGACCCGATCTCGGCTAACTGCAAACTCCGCCTCCCGGGTTCACGCCATTCTCCTGCCTCAGCCTCCCGAGTAGCTGGGACTACAGGCGCCCACCACCAGGCCCGGCTAATTTTTTGTATTTTTAGTAGAGACGGGGTTTCACCGTGTTAGCCAGGATGGTCTCGATCTCCTGACCTCGTGATCCACCCGCCTTGGCCTCCCAAAGTGCTGGGATTACAGGCCTGAGCCACCGCGCCCGGCCTGCACAGGGTAAACTTCTTATATGGCTGCTGGCTTTCCGCAGATCAAACACTCCAAGGGAACCAGGTGGAAAATGCCTGGTCTCTTTTTATCTCACTTTAAAGGTCAGGTAGAATTATTTGTCATACTCTATTGATTGTAGCAGTCACAAGCACGTCCAGATTTAGGGAAGGGAGACATAGACCTATTTTTTGATGAGAAGAATATCAACCTGTTTTTGGACTATGTTTAAAACTGCCACACATGACAATTACACACCAGGTAGAAGGCATTTGGGGACAGACTTGAAGGAAATGAGGAGGAATCGTGCTCTGCTGAAACAAGAGCATTCCAAAGAGAGACCACAGCTTGGGCAAAAGCCCTGAGTCGGAATCATGTGGACTTATTCTTAGAACAGCATCGAGGAAGCCATTATAGCTGGAGTAGAATGAGAAGGGGGAAGAGTATTAGTAGATGGTGGCAGAGAAATAAACATGAGAAGACGGATGATGGAACGAGCACCTTGTACGTCATTTTAAGGACTTTGGCTGTTCCTCAAACTGACATGGGACCATTGAAAGATTTTTTTATTTTTTATTTTTTAAATTTAACTTTTAAGTTCAGTGGTACACGTGCAGGTTTGTTATGTAGGTAAACTTGTGTCATGGGGGTTTGTTGTACGGATTATTCTGTTACCCACATGGTAAACCTGCTACCCACTAGTTGTTTTTCCTGATCCTCTCCCTCCTCCCAGCTTTCACCCTCCTTTTCAAAATAAGACATACGTGCAGCCAACAAACGTAGAAAAAAAGCTCAGCATCACTGATCATTAAAGAAATGCACATCAGAAGTACAATGAGATACTATCTCACACCATTCAGAATGGTTATTATTAAAAAGCTAAAAAATAACATGCTGGCAATATTGTGGAGAAAAGGCAACATTTCTACACTGTTGGTGGGAGTGTAAATTAGTTCAGCCATTGTGGAAGACAGTGTGGTGATTCCTCAAACACCTAAAAGAACTACCATTCGACCCGGCAATCCTATTACTGGGTATACACCCAAAGGAATATAAATTGTTCTGTCATAAAGACACATGCATGCATATGTTTATTGCAGCGCTATTCACAGTAGCAAAGGCATGGAATCAACATAAATGCCCATCAATGG
This sequence comes from Homo sapiens, assembly GCF_000001405.40. Classification (NCBI taxonomy): domain Eukaryota; kingdom Metazoa; phylum Chordata; class Mammalia; order Primates; family Hominidae; genus Homo; species Homo sapiens. Next base: position 587,868 of record NW_011332701.1, read on the forward strand.
TAGACTGGATAAAGAAAATGTGGTATATATACACCATGGCATATTATGCCACCATAAAAGATGAGATCACACCCTTTGTAGGAACATGGATGGAGCTGGAAGCCATTATCCTTAGCCAACTAATGCAGGAACAGAAAACCAAATGTTCCCACTTAGAAGCGAGAGTCAAAGGGGAGAATACATGAACACGTAGAGGGGAACAACATTGAAAGATATAAGCAAAGAAGTGATATCATCTGAATTGCATTTCTGAGATTTCTCTGGCACTTGTGTAAAAAATAGCTGAAAGGAATCAACGGCAGAAGCTGGGAGACCAGTTAGGGAGCTTTTGCAATAACCATAAGAGGAAATATGTGTGGCTTAGACTAGGAATCGTCAGGTTGGGAGTGCTCATATTCAAATGTGGTCAGAATCCGGACATTTTGAGTGAGCCTACAGAAAGCTTTAATACTGTCTCAAACTAAAGGATATAGAAGGTTTTCCCTTTCTCTTGCCCTGAAACCTTCTGTATCCTTTATTTTGAGATAGTATTAGAATTCTTACTATCTTACTGACAATTCTCACTATCTTGTTTTATAACTTGGAACATGATTATAATTATAGTATTGTTAAATATTTTATTTTTATTTTATAATTATACTTTAAAAATATTATTTTGGTAAATAATCATAAAATATGAAAAATAAATCTTTCCATTAACTGAATCAATTGTCCCCTTGCAGGATTTTGGCTTCACAACTTCCTAATCCTTGAAATATTAATTTTGATTATTTTTCTAATATGTACCCATATGTCTTTGAGTAAATTTTTATTGGAAGGACAAATCAGTGCTGGATATACAGATGCCATTGCTTCGTACTCAGGTAAAGACAACCTGATATTTATGATCCTCTTGATCATATTTTTATTCTCTTAAAATCTTTATGTCTTCTAATAATGTTAACAGAGAAGAAAAAAAGTCTTATCTAAGCCTGACTTTTTATTTTTAAGGAAGTTTTTTTCTTTATTTGTAAAATTCAGGAGTTTGGCTAGTTGTTATTTAAATATGGAGAACTCTTCCTTGTTTCTTCCCCCTCCCTGCCTAGAAACTGGTTGGTGCTTTTATTATTCGTACTTCAGTGATAGCTTTGATTATTGTTTCAGATCTCCTTGCCCTTGTGTCTTTCCCCAGTACACAAACTATTCTCGAGGTGGAACCTGTGGTCTCTGGCATACCCATCCGCCTTCTTCTCTGTCATTAGTTCATCTCTTCCTTTGCCCTCCAGAGCTCTGATTCAATTGCTGCTTGAACTTTTCAGTGTGTCAGTTTCTTTCTCCACGGATTTCCCTGTGGATGGAAAATCTGCCCTTGCACTTTAGTTTTCATAGAAGCCTCATCTCAGCTATCTCCCATTTTGTGATATGAGCCTCTTTTGTTATTGTAGCCTTCATCTCCTATTTCCTAAATTCCATGTGTTTCTACATACTGTTCATAGACAAATAGTTTAAAGCAATGTTCTATAGTTTCTTGTGGTTTGAAAGTCATATATTTTTAAATACGTTTTCTCCCCCTGAGAATTCAGCATACAGTTTCATTTTTCTTGTACGCAGGATGATTTTTAGGATTTTTTTTCTGTTATATTTTTTCCATTCTGGTTACCTAGAAGGTAGTGATTATTACCCCAAACCAGGGTTTGATACTGTGTTAGTCCACTTTCATACTGCTATGAAGAAATACCTGAGACTGGGTAATTTATAAAGAAAAAAAGGTTTAATGGACTCAGTTCCACGTGGCTGGGGAAGCCTCACAATCATGGCAGAAGGCAAAGGAGGAGCAAAGACATGTCTTACATGGTGGCAGGCAAGAGAGAGAGCATGTGCAGGGGAACTCCCCTTTATAAAACCATCAGATCTTGTGAGACTTATTCGGTTTCACAAGAACAACACAGGGAGAAACCCATCCCCATGATTCAATTACCTCCCACTGGGTCCCTTTCATGACATATGGGGATTATGGGAGCTATAATTCAAGATGAGATTTGGGTAGGGACATAGCCAAACCATATCATTCTTCCCCTGGCGCCTCCTGAATCTCATGTTCTCACATTTCAAAATCAATCATGCCTTCCCAACAGTCCCCCAAAGTTTTAACTCGTTTCAACATTAACTGAAAAGTCCACAGTCCAAGGTCTCATCTGAGACAAGTCCCTTCCACCTATGAGCCTGTAAAACTAAAAGCAAGTTAGTTACTTCCTACATACAATGGGGGTACAGGCATTGGGTACCCCCCAATGTATTTACACCTGTTCCAAATGGGAGACATTGGTCAAAACAAAGGGGCTACAGGCTCCATGCAAGTCTGAAATCCAATAGGGCAGTCATTAAACGTTAAAGTTCCAAAATGATCTCCTTTGACTCCGTGTCTCACATGCAGGTCACACTGACGCAAGTGGTGGTCTCCCATGGCCTTGGGCAGCTCTGCCTCTGTGGCTTTGCAGGGTACAGCCTCCCTCCTGGCTGCTTTCACTGGCTGGCATTGTCTGTGGCTTTTCCAGGTACACAGTGTAAACTGTTTGTGGATCTACCAATTGGGGGTTTGGAGGGCAGCGGCCCTCTTCTCATAGCTCCACTAGGCATTGCCCCAGTAGGGACTCTGTATGGGAGACAGAGCCCACATTTCAATTCTCTACTACCCTGGAAGAGGTTCTTCATGAGCCCCTGCTCCTGCCCCCGCACCCCACCAGAGCAAACTTCTGCCTGAACATCCAAGTGTTTCCATACATTCTCTGAAATCTAGGTGGAGGGTCCCAAACCTCAATTCTTGACTTCTGTGCGCCTGCAGGCTCAACATCTTGTGGAAGCTGCCAAGGCTTGGGGCTGCAACCTCCGAAGACGTGGCCTGAGCTGTAGCCTGGTGTCTCCCACCCCAGCCATGGCTGGAGTGGCTGGAATGCCGGGCACCAAGTCTCTAGGCTGCACACAGCAGGGGGACCTGGACCTGCTCCAGGAAATCATTTTTCCATACTAGGCTTTTGAGCCTGTGATGGAAAGAGCTGCCGTGAAGGTGTTAAGGTCTTTAATGTTCTGGAGACATTTTCCCCATTGTCTTGGTGATTACATTTGGCTCCTTGTTACTTATGCAAATTTCTGCAGGAGGCTTTAATGAAAGTCGGTTTTTCTTTTCTTTTCTTTTTTTTTTTTTTTTTGGATTGGGAGTCTCACTCTCTTGCCCAGGCTGGAGTGCAGTGCCGCAATCTGGGCTCACTGCAAGCTCCGCCTCCCAGGTTCACGCCATTCCTCAGCCTCCCAAGTAGCTGGGACTACAGGTGCCCGCCACCACGCCTGGCTAATTTTTTTGTATTTTTTTAGTAGAGACACGGTTTCACCGTGTTAGCCAGGATGGTCTGGATTTGCTGACCTCGTGATCCGCCCGCCTCAGCCTCTCAACATGCTGGGACTACAGGCGTGAGCCCCCGCGCCCGGCCAAAAAATCTTATACATTATAATGCTCAAATTTTATCCTTTAATAAGTCATAACGGAGAAACATGCTAATGATTTCACAATTAAATGTGACGTTCATTTAGTGTTTTGCTTTGTAATATTAAATATTTTATTGTTTTCCATGTGATACCTTTTCCTTTAAAATTCTACTTAATCTACTTAAATCTACTTAAATCGATGATGTTATAAATAGTCTTTGATTTTTACTTTATTAATCTTTGTACATTTTAATATCGTTAAACTTACAGGAACAGTTTGTACACTTCATGGAAATAGAGTAGAGTAATAGAGTTTGATTATTTGTTTTGTTTTCAGCTGAGGGTTTTTTTTTTTTGGTAATTTCAGTCTTAGAGTCTTTCTTTTCAGCAGTTAGTGGTATAATTCATATTTGTTTCTCATAGCTGATTTTTTGTTTTAACTTTTGTGAACTTGCTTATAGTTTCTTTACAACTATTAGGCTGGTGCAAAAGTTATTGAAGTTTTCACTAATTATTATTATTATTATTATTTTGAGGCGGACTCTCCCTCTGTCGCCCAGGCTGGAGTGCAGTGGCGCGATCTCAGCTCACTGCAAGCTCCGCCTCCCGGGTTCACGCCATTTTCTTGCCTCAGCCTCCCGAGTAGCTGGGACTGCAGGCCCCGGTCACCACGCCTGGCTAATTTTTTGTATTTTTAGCGGAGATGGGGTTTCACCATATTAGCTAGGATGGTCTCGATCTCCTGACCTCGTGATCCGCCCACCTCAGCCTCCCAAAGTGCTGGGATTACAGGCGTGAGCCACTGCACCCGGCCTAATTATTTGTTTTTTAAAAGATGGTACATACGAGGAAGTAAATCAGGAAAGGAGGATAGTGATTGGTGGCAGTAGAAGTGAGTCAGTGTTACAGTTACTATTGCTGCTTAAGAAACTACCCCAAATGGCCCGGGCGCCGTGGCTCACGCCTGTAATCCCAGCAGTCTGGGAGGATGAGACGGGCGGATCACGAGTTCAGGAGATCGAGACCATCCTGCCTAACACGGTGAAACCCCGTCTCTACTAAAAATACAAAAGTTAGCCTGGCGTGGTGGTGGGTGACTGTAGTCCCAGCTACTCGGGAGGCTGAGGCAGGAGAATGGTGTGAACCCGGGAGGCGGAGCTTGCGGTGAGCCGAGATTGCGCCACTGCACTCCAGCTTGGGCCACAGAGCGAGACTCCGTCTCAAAAAAAAAAAAGAAAAAAGAAAAGAAAAAAGAAACTACCCCAAATTTAATAAGGTAAAACAACGACCACTTCATTGTATCTCATGGATCCTATAGGTGAGAAATTCCAGCAGGATTCGTCTGAGTGATTCTTCCTCTCTCATATCATTAACTAGGGTGACTCAGTGCTATGCGGCTGGCAAACAAGTCAGTCTGGAAGGTGCAAGGTGCTTTTTTTCTGTCTTATGTATTGGTGGGGTTGTCTGGAAGGCAAGGCTCAGATGGGAGGGACTCGTAGTTATAGTGCCTGCATAGGGTGAACTTCTTTTTTTTTTTTTTTTAGACGGAGTCTCACTGTCCCCCAGGCTGGAGTGGTGTGGCCCGATCTCGGCTCACTGCAAGCTCCGCCTCCCGGGTTCACGCCATTCTCCTGCCTCAGCCTCCCAAGTAGCTGGGACTATAGGCGCCCACCACCAGGCCCGGCTAATTTTTTGTATTTTTAGTAGAGACGGGGTTTCACCGTGTTAGCCAGGATGGTCTCGATCTCCTGACCTTGTGATCCGCCCTCCTCGGCCTCCCAAAGTGCTGGGATTACAGGCCTGAGCCACCGCGCCCGGCCTGTGCTCACCCATATTTCTGTTTGCTGTGTGGTGCAGTGCGACCACACGGTTCTTCAGACACAACCTCTGCTTTCTCATTTACCTCAACACTTTAACCCTTAGATTCTTTTTTACTATACTTCAGTGTATTTCCCAGGCATATATTGTCTATGAGGGATAAAATAAAATATCAATTAAAAACAAAAAAATTCAGAGAAATATTAACCATTCACTCTTCTAAGTTCTCAAAGGTTACATTCTTCACCAAATCATATAACCAGGTCCCAATAAAATACCATCATGCAGGGAATTTAACATCATGTAGTTTAAAATACCATCATGCGGGCAGCTTTCAACTAAGCATCCTGTAAGAAAAGATCATTTGTTCTTACATCTTTAAAAGTTTGGAAATTGCTATGGAAGATTATTTTTATTATATTGTCCATTGTCTGTTGCTTGAAGACATATATTTTGCTTGAGTTTAGAGTTACCAAAAAATAGTTGCTGATATATCCAGATACTATTTTATTAACTAACAATACCTATTTGAATTCTGGTTTTCCTTTTGGCCTTTAAGAACAAGGGGCTTAGGACTAAATTTTAGGCTGAAGGGTAGTGTTTCCTTCCCTAGGTTGTCCCATGTAATTGTCACCTCTTTCTCTTCATTATTCTGTCATTTTGCCCTTGTTTTATAGTGTCTGTGCCTTTCATTCTAAGCTGTCTCAGGGGCTTTTCTGGAAATACACAGTGTATAAGTACAAAATGATGAAATAAACATGCTTCTTTTTTTTTTTTTTTTTAAGACGGAGTCTCACTCTATTGCCCAGACTGGAGTGCAGTGGCACGATCTCGGCTCACTGCAAGCTCTGCCTCCTGGGTTCACTCCATTCTCTGGCCTCAGCCTCGCGAGTAGCTGGGACTACAGGCACCTGCCACCATGTCCGGCTAATTTTTTGTATTTTTAGTAGAGACGGGGTTTCACCATGTTAGGCAGGATGGTCTCGATCTCCTGACCTTGTGATCTGCCCGCCTTGGCCTCCCAAAGTGCTGGGATTACAGGCGTGAGCCACTGCATCAGGCCAACACACTTCTTTATTTTGTTTTCAAAGATGCTTGGGTGGGACTAGATGACCTCTAAGGTCCTTTCCAGCTCTAAATTTACGTTACTTTCACCAAAGACAGACAAAAAAAAAAATCTGTTAGGTTATAGGTCTAGAGATGAGTGCCAAGTACTATATTCCTGCTCTAGGTGCATTTCTTGTTGAAGGCAGTGCTAGATTCAGTGACCTGTTACGGCCGTTTACAGTCTTATGGTGATAAAACAAGAGAACTGATTGCTAAAAAAAAAAAAAAAATTCAGTTGAAATATCTTTTTACTCTTAAGCATCAACAAAAAATAAATAGAAAACAGAAGAGTTGAATTATTTAGTTTGAGCTATTTGTAATAAATTTGGACAACTAAGCTAAGCCCGAGTGTAGTTAATTCAATGAAATTAGTCATATTTGAATATTGTCACAACCTTACTACCACATTAGCATTAAGTGTGATTAAAATTTATTCTTTGTTTCTGTGTGAGTCTCCACAGAATCAGCTATCAACACCTTCATAATAAACTAGCCCTTCATTGCTTTCAGGAAACTTTTAGATTCAGAGCAGGTGGTTGGGCTTCTGCTTTAAAAGAGAACACATCATTTTTAAAGTCCCTTTCCTGTTTGTGTGTGTGAATTTAGAACACAGAAATTATCCATTGCATTGTTTATTTTTGCTAGGAGGTAGAAGTTCTTAAAAATATAGGAAATACTAGATATCATGTACTGATAATTTCCAAAGCTAATTATTTTTCTTAAGTCCAAGCTATAATTTAAGAGGTGTACTTGTGAAATATGAATATTGTTTTAGATTAATAAAATGTTTCTCATGGAAAAATAGAATATGATTTTGTCGAAGTTCAAGGGAATATCCATTTTCATTCAGGTAGCTTCCAGATTTTTGTCTTTACATGTTCTGTGCAGTGATTTAAATACCGTACCTCCAAAATTTATGTCCATTAGGAACTTTAGAATGTGATTTTATTTGGAAGTAGGGTCTTTGCAGATATAATTAACCCAGTGATTGAGATGAGGTCATCCTGGGTGAAGGTGGGCCCTAAATCCAGTGTAAATGTCCTTATAACATACAGGAAAAGACACACACAAGGTCATGTGAAGATGGAGACAGAAATTGGAGTTATGCAGTCATAAATCAAAGAAAGCCAAGGATTGCCAGGAGCCACTGGAAACCAGGAAGAAGCGAGGGAGAATTCTTCCCTAGGGTCTTCAGGGGGAGTGTGGCCCCGCCAACATCTTGATTTCAGAGGTCCAGGCTTCAGAACTATGAGAGAATATATTTCTGTCCTCTTAACCCACCAAGTGTGTGATAATTAGGTATGATGGCCCTAGGCAACTACTACACTCTAATTCAGAAGTTCTTCTGGATTTTATTGTATCATGTGTTGGTAGGAAGTACCTGGCTGTTTCATTTGCATGATATGTGGGTAATCTTAGAATTATCATATCTTGCAAGTAATTTTAAAGTATGTTGTAATGTAGTCAGAAGCTTTTTAAATATGAAATTTAATTCATGCTGGTGTCAATTACATTTGAAAAAATACAAAAAAGCTATATAAGATTCTAGGATCTTTCAGAATTTTATAATGTTTATAATGGACAGTTGGTTAAATAAAAATTGTACCCTAAACAATTTTGTTGTTGGCTTAAAATAGCGTTTAATTTATTAGTGCTCAGATAATAGTTATCCCCTAAATAGCATTTTTACTTTCATATGTTGATATCAAACAGTGAAGTGAGACAGCAAATCAGTACAACGTGGTGATTATCAAACATCATAAATCCATGAAGGATAGCCTTGATCTTACTGAGAAGAGTTTAATTTTAAAATGCATACCTGGAAAAGGCAACTTAGATTAACATTTCAAACTCACATAGCATTATTTGTGATTGATTATAGTTATAATTGATCATTTTACTTTTGGACCGTCACTTTGAATCAAATTGGGATAAATATAAATTAAAGATTGATTATTTGCTTTGAATTTTAGATTAAAAAATTCAAAAACCATAAAAACAGAGCTTTGACTATAATAAAGGTATTTATCCTTTCTTGGTAAGAATTGGGGAGGGGTTTAAGAAAAGGCTAAGCAATGTTCTATTTTTTACATAGGGAAAAGTTTATTTGTGCTACTTTTTAATTAGGTAGTTTGTTGTTTTTTAAATGACAGCTTCCTAAACACTACTGATTTTACATGTGCAGTCATTAGCTTTTCATGTGGAAATAGTATCTTTCAAATTCACGCAGCTGCTTATTTTATGAAATGCAATGGGACTACTTACTTGCCACCTGTCTAAACTGGAATGCATAGATTCATGCCTTGCCAAATGAGGAGTTAGGGTGAAAAGTGATTAACATCCATTCTTTAATGAGTTTCTAAGTCTTTCTGAACATGTTTTTATTCTATTTATTGCAGTGGTATAGTAACATTTTCGTGTTGGTTGCTGTACAAAGCATGATAATACCTTTATTAAAGCAATGTTAATGACATCCATAAGATATCATAAAATATTATATTCTTAATAGGAAATTTGTTATATATAAATAACAATAAAGATCGTAATAAGCTCTCCTTAATTCTGTTTATTTTGACTTCATTATTAAGTTTGGAAACATAGGTGTCAAATTTAGACATTATTTATATGTAATTATAAAGCCAAATAAATGTTAGAGATTAACTTAAAAAGAGTTTTGTGGCTTAACAATTGAAGTGAGATAGTGAGATCACAAGGGGCTTAATCATTCTGAATTGATTCTACAGATGTCTCCTTTCTCTAGATGCCCTGTAAGCTTCCTATCTTCCATGAAAGTTTATTCCCATAATCCTGGCACATAAAATTAGTCATATAACTCTTTTCCATTCTGAGATTTCAAGGATTAGGACTTTCAACATAGAGAAAACGTGCTGTGTAGAAGCTGAATGTACAAAAGGCAACACTTGGCAACGGAATCCAGTATTTCCCAAGTATTTGAGGAAACTTACAAAACCCAAATCTCTAGTACTTGCTTTCACATTTGCTATCAGAACCAGGAAGGGAGGCCTAGAAATGGTTTGAATGGAAAATTTGTTGTTGTAGAAGGGGTTCCCATTCACTGGTGAATAGACACAACGTATTTCCCAACCTTCTTTTAATCCAAGATAGCAACATTTTTACTGGAGCCAAAGATAAAACCAGTATTTAATCTCCTAGAAATTAGGAGATGTATGACTCTGGAAATGGAAAGAATTTTCATATCCAGCCACATAACCAAGTCCTGCAAGAACATAATAAACAAACCAATCAAACAACAAGAATAACAACCACAACATGGTCCCCATTCTGTCTTTAACCTCTGATAGAAAGAGCAGTAATGGTAAGACGAGAAAGCTCTCGTCAAGTGTTTTCCTCATCTACTGTTAATGATTTATTCTTACATCCTGTCCCAGTCCAATTATGAAAAAATTCTAAGAGAGATCCCTTTAGCTGACTTGTAATGAATTCCAGGGTCACATTCCAGATATTGTTTTCCCCTGAAATCGTGTAAGTGCACATCAAAATACTATACTTTTGGTGTGAATCTGAGCCAAATTCTATTGTATTCTAAATAAAGTGAAACTCCTATCAGCCAATAGGGCACGGTATCAGTTTCAAATAAGACAAGTTGGTAAAGTCAGGAGAAATGACTTCCTCCTTCCTCCTGATGTGCTGTATATAGATGTATTAGCACTGCCTTTTAATATTTTATGTGTTCAACAGAGAGGGAACTAACATCTTGTTAATCCTCATTTGAAAACAATTTTGCGAATGTAAATGTAGCAGGGCTTTTGCCTTTTTTCCTTCTTCATGAAAAACAAGTAGTGCTTGGGGAGCAAGTGTTCCTGTTCAACTGCTGTCACTCATTCCCAGCTCTGTTTAGAAGAAATAAGCACAGATGGTTGGTCTACTACTTCCCCAACGAAAAATTTGCCTGTTGGCCGGGCGCAGTGGCTCAAGCCTGTAATCCCAGCACTTTGGGAGACGGAGGCGGGCAGATCACAAGGTCAGGAGATGGAGACCATCCTGGCTAACACGGTGAAACCCCGTCTCCACTAAAAATACAAAAAATTAGCTGGGCACGGTGGCGGACGCCTGTAGTCCCAGCTACTTCGAAGGCTGAGGCAGGAGAATGACGGGAACCCGGGAGGCGGAGCTTGCAGTGAGCAGAGATCGCGCCACTGCACTCCAGCCTGGGCGACAGAGCAAGACTCCGCCTCAAAAAAAAAAAAAAATTGCTTACCTTTTTTGTGTTTTATTCCATCCTTCTCATTGTCATGTGAACAGTATTTCAAGGGAAGAAACTTCTGTAGGGATCTTTGAAATGTTTATCCACTGCTTGTGCATGAAAGAGAAAAAGAAGAAATTAATGATTTATTAAAATTTCATGAGGGGAACTCAAAAACGCTTTGTTACAAAAAAATTTAATTTAGAAACCGTGTATTTTGCATGCAAAATTAAAGTCTTCAGGGAAGTAAGTTTTTATATCAGACTTGCATCCTAAAGTACTCATTTAATGATGGCAGAACCACTTCATCCATGTTAAAAATACCTGTGTGGGTCTTTTTTATTTATACTGTGGCTTAATGAAAATTTGTCTATTGTAAATATATTAAGAAAAAGAGCATAAAGACTTTTTAACATAATTTTCTAACGCTGAAAATACATACAAACAGTAAAATACCCAAATCTTAACTGTACAGCTCAATACTTCTTTTGTTTTTAAACAAACTTAGCCCTTCTGTGTATCCAGTACTCAAATCAGGAAATTTTATATTATTACTTCTTCTAGACACTATTTCATAGGATAGCTCTTATGGTGATTTGGAACATAACTGATGAGTTTTACAATTTTTAGTGAATTAGATCGTAGAATATGTTCTGTATCTTGCTTCTTTCATTCAATATTTAGTTTATAAGATTTGTTAATCTTTTTGCATATAGTTGTAATTTGTTAGGTTCTCATTGCTATATACTATATCATTATACAAATATAAGTTCAATTTGTGGTTATTTTGAATGGTGCCTCTCTGAGCATTCATGTATTTGTCTTTTGGTAAATATTGCTGGGTATATGCTCAGGGTCATAGAATATGGTCAGATTTAGCATACATGGAAAATGGTGGTGTCCATCAGTTTACATTTCCATCCACAATGGGAGAGAGTTCTAGTTGCTCCGCATCTTTGCCAACACTTGGTATCATTTCTCTCTTTCATTTGAACTGTTCTGATGTGTATGTATCACTATTTCAATTGTGGTTATTTTGAACATTACAAAATTGGCAAAGAATAACTGATTTTATTAAATCATATTTCATTTGAAGTAACGTGGGTCTACTTTGCAGTATTTTTCCCTATTTACATGATTCATAAGAAGAGTGATCATGAGATAGTCAACAATATAACAGCTTGGAATGAGATTTTTGATCAGCTATAATTGTAATGTATTTTATCTAAATATTATTTAACTGTATTAGTAACTGTGATCATTAAGAACAGAAACAAAAGGTAAGCAAGTCCTTAGATTAACATGAAACAACATTCCTGCCTTTTGAAAGAAACTTTTCTGACCTGTAAGTAAATGATGTAAATCAATTAATAGCTTAACTGAAATTAAGAGATGAGTCTCAGCTTTCATTGCCTATATTATATCTGTGTTTCTGGAGAAACAAAAAAACAGTATGACAAACCTACAGTCTGCTAGTTTCTTCTCACCCTGCCAACAACTGTTATATTACTGTTTAGCTGGTTATGTGCAACCATTTGTTCAGGATTGTTTTGTTTTGCTTAGTTTTACTTTTTAAGGCAGAGTCTTGCTCTGTTGCCCAGGCTTGAGGTCTATGAGTTACACTCAGGGTCACATGGTCAACGAGATGTAATCACAGCTCACTGCAGCCTTAACCTCCTGGGCTCACGTGATCCCCCTGCCTCTGCTTCCTCAGTAGCTGGGACTACAGGTGCATGCCACGACACCCGGCTTGTTGAGCAGAGTTTTGATGAAAATCATTCATCCCTTCTTAATCACAAACAGTGAAACCTTAGAAAATGTAATTAGAGAGAAAAATAACATTTTGCACCAAGCTAATTGTATCTTTACCTTTTATTAGTTGGTTTCAGGATTGGTACTTGTTGATGGTTCTGTTTTGGAGTGTGCGTTCCCTGGGTTTAACTCCTTGCAGCACACTTTATATACGTTGTGTGGCCTTACTTGAGTAACTTAAGTTGCTTAACTTCTCCAGATCCCAGATTCTCAACCTGTAGAATGGAAGTAATTATAATACAAACATTATGTGGTGGGTTAGTCCAGGTCCTCCAAGAGGTAGATGTTGAAAACGAGTTAAACACAAGAGGATTTTATTAAGGGAAATCCCTGTGAGAGAAAATGGAGAGGAAGCTGAGTAAGCCTGGAAGAGGTCTCAGCTATGAGGCAAGTCTGACCTAGAATGAAGGAAAGAGGAAAGGAAGGTTGAGTGGAAGCATTGGAGCGTAATGTACAGTCTAAGGAAGGGTGAGAAAAGGCTTCAGGGAATCCTGAGCCAAGACTGGTCCTCAGAGAAGCCCTGTGTCTCCTAAAGAGGGATCTGCATTAGCCACCCTGTGGGCCTCAGTCATTGACTGAGGGGCAGATGCAGAAACAGATTTTAGAGTGAAGCAGCAAGTGGCCGTAGGCAGTTAGGCTTCCCATACTTTGAGGTCTATGAGTTTATTTATTTATTTATTATTTATTTATTTAAATTATACTTTAAGCTCTGGGTTACATGTGCGGAACTTGCAGTTTTGTTTCATAGGTATACACATGCCATGGTGGTTTGCTGCACCCATCAACCCGTCACCTACATTAGGTATTTCTCCTAATGTTATCCCTCCCCTACACCCCCACACCCCACAGGCCCCAGTGTGTGATGATCCCCTCCCTGTGTCCATGTGTTCTCATTGTTCAACTCCTGCTTATGAGTGAGAACATGCGGCGTTTGGTTCTCTGATCTTGTGATAGTTTGCTGAGAATGATGGCTTCCAGCTTCATGCATGTCCCTGCAAAGGACATGAACTCATGTCCTTTTTTATGGCTGCATAGTATTCCATGGTGTATATGTGCCACATTTTCATAATCCAGTCTATCACTGATGGACATTTGGGTTGGTTCCAAGTCTTTGCTATTGTGAATAGTGCCACAATAAACATACGTGTGCATGTGTCTTTATCGTAGAATGATTTATAATCTTTTGAGTATATGCCCAGTAATGGGATTGCTGGGTCAAATGGTATTTCTAGTTCTAGATCCTTGAGGAATTCACACACTGTCTTCCACAATGGTTGAAGTAAATTACACTCCCACCAATAGTGTAAAAGCATTCCTATTTTTCCACAACCTCTCCAGCATCTGTTGTTTCCTGACTTTTTAAGGACTGCCATTCTAACTGGAGTGAGATGGTATCTCATTGTGGTTTAGATTTGCATTTCTCTAATGCAGGTCTATGAGTTTCTTATTCATGGTCACTAAAAGATGTTTATCATGAATTGAAATCTCCAGATAAGAGTAAAGCAATGCCTAATTCATAGTTACGCACTTATCAATTTATTTATTCATATTATTCATTATCATTATGAATATTCAACACATTAATAAAAGAGTCACATGTGCAATCTACTTGGGGTATTGGGAGAGTAAAGAATAACATAGTGGTGCTACAGGTAATTTAAGAGATGGTTTCTCTCTCTCTCTCTCTCTCTCTATGTGTGTGTGTGTGTATATATATATATATATATATATATATATATATATATGAGACAAAGGTATAATTATTTTCCTTCTACTATTTGTTGTTGATGTATACTGCCAAATCCCTAACGGATACTGGAATACTTAACTCTAAGCTCCCCCCACGCCTACAAAAGAAGTGGGTACAAGGTTAGTTTTTAAATCAAAAGATTTATTAATAGTATTTTTATCATGTCCAATTGATATTATCATTATCAAAAAGTTTAATCACTTATTATTACTTGAAGGACCTCGTTAGGAAATATTCGATCCACTTTTTTTGTTTTTTTTTTTTTTTGAGACAGAGTCTCATTCTGTCACCTAGGCTGGAGTGCAGTGAGGTGATCTCGGCTCACTGCAAGCTCTGCCTCCCAGGTTCACGCCATTCTCCTGCCTCAGCCTCCCGAGTAGCTGGGACTACAGGCGCCCGCCACCACGCCCGGCTAATTTTTTGTATTTTTAGTAGAGACGGGGTTTCACCGTGTTAGCCAGGATGGTCTCGATCTCCTGACCTCGTGATCTGCCCGCCTCGGACTCCCAAAGTGCTGGGATTACGGGCGTGAGCCACCGCGCCTGGCCTGTTCCACTTCTTAAAACTGGTCACTGGAAGTACATCGTCTTGGGAAGAACTGGATATTTCTTGAAACCCCTTTCATATAGCCATATTCTCAAACATAGAACCTTCTTTTATTTTTTTCAAAGATTTTTTTCCATTACTGTAGAAAATTCAGAGGGTGTTTATGGATAGTGCAGTACTCCGCTCAAATACAGGGAACGAAAGTTACATTAAAATGATAATATTTTTTGCTGAAAAGTATTATGATATTTAATGTAAGCAAACAAATGACTCAGGTGATAGTGTTTTGTTTTCATTTTTTAAATGCCTTGGCCGGGCGCGGTGGCTCAAGCGTGTAATCCCAGCACTTTGGGAGGCCAAGGCGGGCGGATCATGAGGTCAGGAGATCGAGACCATCCTGGCTAACACAGTGAAACCCCGTCTCTACTAAAAATACAAAAATTAGCCGGGCGTACTGGCGGGAGCCTGTAGTCCCAGCTACTCGGGAGGCTAAGGCAGGAGAATGGCGTGAACCCGGGAGGCGGAGCTTGCAGTGAGCCGAGATTGCGCCACTGCACTCCAGCCTGGGCGACAGAGCCAGACTCCGTCTCAAAAAAATAAATAAATAAACATAAATAAATAAATAAATAAATAAATGTCTTACTTCAATAGCTTTTGGAGCACAAGTGGTTTAGGTAACATGGATAATTTGTATAGTGGTGAAGTCTGAGATTTTATTGCACCTGTCACCTGAGTAGTGTACATTGTACCAAACATGTAGCTTTTTTATTCCACACCCACCTGCCAACTTCCCCCTTATGAATCTCCAGAGCCCATTATATCACTCAGTGGAGAGTCTTCAACATTCAGGGTGGAATCTTCAGGGTGTGGCCCTCTATCCATTGCTTTCCAACGTTTGTACTCTCTGCTTTGTGAATAGAGGCCTGTTCTCCCTGTCTGCCTTGTTCACGTACCTTTGCCGTTTTCCTTGCTGGGATGACATCCTTTGCCCTGAAGTTCTCATTAACCATACCATAGATGTCCTCTTCTTACCTCAATACATCCAAGGCTACCTCAAGTTATAACTTCTCCTTTAGTTTTTCCCTAGTGTCTGAGTTCAAATGGGCTTCTCTATATCCAGAATATCTACCACCTGTCTTATCTTTCCTCACACGTGGCACGTGCAGTTCCTTCCATCTACTTTCATAATGTTGTATTTTAACGGTTCAGTTGTGTTTATATTACACTCTTCTGTCAGGCAAACAAGGGTATTTATATGGCTGAAATCTACGGTATTTTTTAAATGTAGTAAAATGTAATGAATAAGCATACAAATGAATGAGTTAATTAATCTGTTATATTCTTGGTTAAGTAATGAGCATTATGAGGACAAAAATTGAGTCTTACACCTTCTTATAATCCTAAAGACCTAGTACAGGACTTGGAATATAGCATTCACTTAAGACATCTTTGTGACTAATGAATTTAAATATTTTTATTAATTCTAAGTTGACGTATGATTGTAATTTGGGGAAGGTAGTGAAATTTCAAATGGCTTTCACCACCTGTGAAATGACCCTTTTTACCTACCACATGATTTACCAGATCTTTGTTTAGGTGAACCTAGGCGAAAGCAGATTGTTTCCTCTACTTAGGAAATACTTCGCACATTTTCGTTGCTTATAAATTTGATGATTTTAATTTGTACAGTTATAATTTATGATATTGACTTGTACAGTTATATATATTTTACATATAATATATATTATATATTATATATAGTTATACTATATATAATTTTATTTTCTAAAGTAAAGAATATCATTACACATTAACAAAATAGATATAACTGTTTTCTTTCTACTATTTGTTACTGGTGTATACTGCAAATCCCTAATGGATACTGAAATTCTTATCTCTAAGCCCCTCTATGACTATGAAAAGAAATGGGTTCAAGTTTATTTTAAAAATCAAAGAGTGTATTAATAATATTATTGTTATCATGTCCAATTGATACTATCATTATTAAAAAGTTTAATCACTTATTTCTTGAAGGACCTAATTAGGAAATATATATGTGTGTGTATATCTATATTCTATCTATATATATCCTATATCTATATTCCATATATATTCTGTATCTATATTCTATATCTGTATTCTACATATATTCTATATATAGTCTATCTATATTCTATCTATATCCTATATATAGACTATCTATATCCTATATATAGTCTATATATATTCTATCTATATCCTATATATAGTCTATATATATTCTATCTATATCCTATATATAGTCTATATATATTCTATCGATATCCTGTATATAGTCTATATATTTTCTATCTATATCCTATATATAGTCTATATACTCTATATATCTTATATAGTCTATATATATTCTATATATATCCTATATAGTCTATGTATATTCTATATATATCCTATATAGTCTATGTATATTCTATATATATCCTATATAGTCTATGTATATTCTATATATATCCTATATAGTCTATGTATATTCTATATATATCCTATATAGTCTATGTATATTCTATATATATCCTATATAGTCTATGTATATTCTATATATATCCTATATAGTCTATGTATATTCTATATATATCCTATATAGTCTATGTATATTCTATATATATCCTATATAGTCTATGTATATTCTATATATATCCTATATAGTCTATGTATATTCTATATATATCCTATATAGTCTATGTATATTCTATATATATCCTATATAGTCTATGTATATTCTATATATATCCTATATAGTCTATGTATATTCTATATATATCCTATATAGTCTATGTATATTCTATATATATCCTATATAGTCTATGTATATTCTATATATATCCTATATAGTCTATATTCTATATATATCCTATATAGTCTATGTATATTCTATATATATCCTATATAGTCTATGTATATTCTATATATATCCTATATAGTCTATGTATATTCTATATATATCCTATATAGTCTATGTATATTCTATATATATCCTATATAGTCTATGTATATTCTATATATATCCTATATAGTCTATATGTATATTCTATATAGTCTATATATATTCTATATGTGTATCCTATATATATTCTCTATACATATTCTATATATATATACACACACACACACACACATATATAGTAGCCTGATATTTAAAAAATAAGATTGGGACTGCGTAAAATAAGCTCACCCAGACAATAGGGGTACA
This sequence comes from Homo sapiens, assembly GCF_000001405.40. Classification (NCBI taxonomy): domain Eukaryota; kingdom Metazoa; phylum Chordata; class Mammalia; order Primates; family Hominidae; genus Homo; species Homo sapiens. The sequence goes on from NW_011332701.1 coordinate 605,814, forward strand.
GACATATGTATAATTCAGCAAGAACTGGTAACAAAGTGAGATATGTCAACTCTTTGTAGCATATTGTTAAGTAGTATTAAAAAACAAGTAATTTTTGGTTGGGTCCATTGAGAGAATAACATTATTTTTAGAATGATCTAATGGCACAATAAGCATTTTAGCATTTTACCTGCAAAAGCATTATAGCTGTGCCAGTTTCTGTTCCAAGAAAAAAATACATTGGTGTATTCTCTAAAGGAGGAAATTCTGACCTCAACTATGTTCAGATAGCTGTGGCAGATAATACTCTGATCAGGTACTAAGTCATATATCTTTCACATTTCCCTTTGCTAGTTATACTCAGCATGTGGTTGGAAATGGAATCAAAGCCCAGTCTGGAAATCCTGAAGTCAAAGTCAAAGGAACTGATCCTGTGATAAATCAGATTATTGATAAACTGAAGCATGTTATTCAGGTAAGTCCTGATCCTATATTTTTTGGTATAGCCAATAATAAATAATAAGTGGTCACTTTCTGTTATACTTGATAAATTTGTTAACCCTATCAGGTAATCCTGCCTAAAATATTGTAACACATTATTTGTATCAGGACTTTTGGGAATATTTAGTTTAATGATTTTTGTATGCAGTCAATATGCAGTGGTATTTTAATGTTGGACAATCTGTATATGTGAAAAGCAAGCCTCAGCCTCAGCATTTCAATAATGAGAATCTCAGGACATGCATTGTCTTCAGTGAATAAGTTTGAACGTGGGAATCACTGTGACCATTAAAGAAAACACATAGAAGACCATAGAAGATGCCAGAGTTTTCTTTCAGGTAATTCTCTGAATGTTGCTATGAAGGTTTTTGCAGCATTTCAATACAAATTAGGTCATAGATGAATAATATGTACTTCTAATATTTATTTCCTATATCACCTTTTATATGTTATCTTATAATCTACCTAATGGTTGTTTATGAAATACTTCTGTTTTATCTTCAATAATATTTTTCATCAAGTGAGTGTGTATTGCTGTTTTTAATACATGACAAATGAAGCATGAACATATTTATCAAAATAATATTTCATTGAAATAGTCTATTAATTAGAACCAAACATGATGTTGCATGTTGTAAATATTACTCTGCATTCTGCATCTATTGATGTTTGGGGAAAGAAAGGCTATTTTTTTTTTTAGTTAATAGTCATTTTATAAAAATTTATATTTGAATATACTTTCATTTTTCCTAAGCAGAACTTTGCATGGCTAGTTGATGCTTATTTCTAGTATCGTGCATCAGAAACAATACCTAAATAGTACAGAGTTTTTATTGCATACAACATATTCCAGAGTCAGTAGTAGGCTTCTCATAATTGTTCTGCAAAGACAAAGCTTAAGTTTATGCAGAGCCAATTCCTGGGTTTCCATTTTTCACGAGTCCCTATCTCTCAAGGAGAGGATATGTAAGAAGGACTTGGGGGTTGGTGTCCAATACCATAGACTTCTCCCTTCTGTGAGGCAACAATGCTTATTCTACCATTGATACCTATAGAAAACAGCTCTCACCCTGGCTGGCAAAACCAAAAATAAATTCTACTGGAAAAGTCTAAGAGAAAAGTGGTATCATGACTACTGATGAGTTAAACCTTCCAGCCTCTGCTGAGCTGGTCCAGTTGGTACCTCACAGTATCGTCCACTGTAGTATAATATGTACAGCTAGATTATTTGAAAATTCGACCGCATAATTGATAATAAAACCAAAAGAGCTTTAATATTAATGTTCTCTCATTGAGGAGTGAGTACAATCTCACTGTGAGGACACAGTGAAATCTTAGGGGTTTCTTAAGTGGGGTAAGCATTCCACAGAGGATGGAGGAAGAAAAACTAGAACTTAAATATATATTTATTCCATCTCATTCTTTTATATTTCTTTGGTTGTAGTAAGGTATATAAAATATGTAATGTATTAGTGCAATAGCATATACATATAATTTATAAATACATAAATATACATATTAACTGGACATTTGTTCAGATTGTTTTTCTAAGATATATACATGATGAAAGCAGAACAGAAACCCTGTTACAGATAATAAGGATAGAGCTGTTCCATGAGAAGTGCAGTTATAAGAAAACACATTCACAGAGGAACACATAGATACCCAAGATAGAAAGGATTATAAAAACCCTTAGGAGGAGGGCTCATATATTTATTACCCATTCAGCAACCCCCCTCCCCATTTCTTGTTTCGTAGGTTTCAAAGCCTTTTCAAGGTGGCAGAGGGAAGTCATCCTGCCTTTCTTTTTTAGCTTCTGTGTGAACTTGAGTCCCATTCTTTATTCTTTATAGGAGTGTGCAGATCTCCAATTATTCATGCTTAAGTTTCATTCTGGGGTTGCAAGAGAATATCAAATGCAGTGCTACCTTTGAGGTCTATCATTTTAAGATCTGCTAGATTTATATGATAGAAATGTAGATTTTTATAGAGGACAGCAGAAAGTCATATCTTGCACAGGTGTCACTGAAAATTTACCTTTAATATCTAAGAATATGCTCTTTCATGAACTGCTCTCCTGGAGATGAAGAGAAGTGTTTTACTTTGCCAATTTTTTTTTTTTTTTTTTTTTTTTTTTTTTTTTTTTTTGAGACAGAGTTTCCCTCTTGTTGCCCAGGCTGGAGTGCAATGGCGCGATCTCGGCTCGCTGCAACCTCCGCCTCCCGGATTCAAGAGATTCTCCTGCCTCAGCCTCCAGAGCAGCTGGGATTACAGGCACGTGCCACCACAGCCCGGCTAATTTTTTTTGTATTTTTAGTAGAGACAGGGTTTCTCCATGTTGCTCAGGCTGGTCTCGAACTCCCGACCTCAGGTGATCCACCTGCCTCGGCCTCCCAAAGTGCCGATTACAGGCGTGAGCCACGGCGCCCGGCCTACTTTGCCAAACTTTTGACTACTGATGGTGTACGCGTGCCCTGGCAGGGATGGCCATTGTGCTGTCAGTATCAAGGGATGGCTAACAGCACCCACCACAATGTCAGCTATGAAAGGATTCAGAAAATAGCCTTCTGTAAGTCAGAATTTATTAATTAAGGAGTAGGGCCATGGAAGATGTCAACATAGGAATAGGTTTCAGATTCTAAACTGTAGATTTAGATGATCACTTCTTAGTGTTTGTATAAAATTTACTTTATTTTTTATTATAACATGAAGTTCGCTTTCCACCTTTATACTATGAAAAATGCCGTGTCTCACAATAGGGACATACCTGTGTTAAAGTATATGGAAGTAAATCAGCCACAATAGCAAACATTGCCTGCATGGACTCACCCAAAAATGCCTTTCTCGGCCTGCCATTGATCTGAACCTCATTTCTACCTTGCATTGTCTGCAATTAGAGTCACTAAGGAAGTAGATAAAGATTTTTACTTGGAAAATGTCACTTTTTAATGTTTTAATAATTAATTCGTTCAAGATACTCAACAAATGCTCACTGAGTTTCTAGTACGGTCCTGGTTCTGTACAGGCACTGAGGTTAAAGTTGTGAATAAAGCAGACACAACCCTGCTCTCATGGGCTTTCCATTGTAAGAAAAAAGTAAATAAACAAACCAATGAAACCAGTATTGTAGCTGACACATGTTATGCACAAAACCAAACAAGGTGAGGTAAGGAAAGATATTTAAGAAGAGTGTGCTGGTGAAGGCCACTCAGGGGCAGATGTTTGGGTTGATGCTGAATAAGGAGAAGAAAGGAGTCATGGGAAAACCTGTGAGAACTGTGTCTGGGGCAGAAGGCAAAGTAGGTGTAAAGGCCCTGTGGCAGGAATAAGTTTATTTTATTCAGAGAACAGAAGGCCAGGTGGCTAAAACAGAGTGAGTTAAAGGGAGGAGATAAACATACATCATGTTTTGGGGAGTCCAGTAGGCTCTGGTAAAGAGTTTATATTTTCTCCTAAATAGACTAAGAAGTCATTTTAAAACTGTAAGCAGAAACTAGCTGCGCGCAGTGGCTCATGCCTGTAATCTCAGCACTTTGGGAGGCTGAGGTGGGTGGATCACCTTAAGTCAGGAGTTTGAGACCAGCCTGGCCAACATGGTGAAACCCCATCTCTTCTAAAAATACAAAAATTAGCTGAGCACGGTGGAGCGTGCCTGTAATGCCAGCTACTGAGGAGGCTGAGGAAGGAGAATCGCTTGAACCCAGGAGTCGGAGCCTGCAGTGAGCCAAGATCGCGCCACTGCACTCCAGCCTGGATGACAGAGCAAGACTCCTTCTCAAAATAAATAAATAAATAAAAATACATCACAAATTTAATAAATAAATAAATAACTGTAAGCAGAAGCTGATACAATTTAATACATGTTTTATGAGGACTTCACTATGAAAACTGGACCCTGCGTACAAGAATGGAAAAAAGAAAGTAACACAGACAGAAGGCCACATAATTGGAGCTAGAATAATAAGAGTGGATAAGCTGAGAAGTGCATAGATTTAGACAAATATTGGAAGCGGGGTTTTTGGGATTTGTTAATGGATTGGAAATTTGGGAGACGGAAGAAAGATGATAGCGAGGTTTGGTGGGATGATAGTGTCACTAAGTGAGAAAAGGAATTCTGAGAGAGGAGCAGGCCTGGCGGAGGGTCCCTGGGATTGATTAGAAATCAGTGGTTTTGTTAACTGTGAGATGCTTGTTAGATGCCCAAGAGGGATGTGCAGAACTCAGGGAGACCACACAACTGGAGGTGTATGTTTGTAAGCATCAGCACGTGGATAGTATTTAAGCCCTGAGATTGTATAAGGTTGTCACCTTTCCTTTAGAGTATAAATTCACACCAAAACTATTGGTGGAGATGATAGGACAAGGGAATCATACAAAAAAAATTGTACTGCAAAAAGCTATGAATGAATAAAACATTTTATTAAATGTATTTGGCACCTTGTATATACCTAGTTGATCTAGGACAGAGAAGATACTTAGTAACATTCATTTTTTCTTACTGTAAGAATAATGACCCAGGAGGCGGAGGCTGCAGTGAGCTGAGCAGGCCACTGCACTCTAGCTCTAGCAGACAGAGTGAGACTCCGTCTCAAAAAAAAAAAAAAAAAAAAGAATAATGAATGCTCATCAGAGGGAATTGAATTTTATTATTCTAGGAAATCTGATGGAAAAAGTGAAAAATAAATATTGATACCATTTATAAAACAATGAAAAGACTTATAAGAGAAGCCATCTAGGCTTTTCTCTATACTTAATTATACATATAAATACATCAGTACTTTACTTCAAAAAATAAGATCATAGGGTACATTTGATTTTATGATCTGAACTGCTCACCTGACCACACAAAACAAATACTTTACCATGACATTAAATAGTCTGCTCTCTGGTTGTTAGTGCTGGCATACTATTCTATCATATGGAAAAATTACAGTTTTCCTTCACCCAGTCACCGAAAGTTGGATATTTAGGATGCGACCAGTTTTTCATGATAATAAAGACTAATAGGAATAGCAGTAGACATAAGATGTTTTTGGCATCTTTTTTTTCTTGTAATACGTTCTACATATTGAAACTAATAATTGTATTTTGCTACATATTGCCACGTTTTTCTCAAGGAAAATTATAGCTAACAGAAAGTGTCAGCTTTCTCTGTGTGTTAAGGGTGTGGGTGGAAGCTCGGCAGTGACGCTGAGACATATTGGTATGGAACATCATTGGACTCTCTAGAGATCAAGGTAGCAGTCCTGTAGAAATGTTAGCCCGAGCTGTGTGTCACCTGGGAGTACTCCAAGGACGGCCAAAAGAAATATTTTAGTTAGAAGACAATTTATAAGAAAAGTTTAGAGGCTTCCTAGAGAGGTCATAGCATACACAATTTTATTTCATCCTTTAGGGCAAGCCGTATATATATGTTCTGCGCACATCTCCTCCTGCACCCTCCTCAAAAAAAAAAAAAAAAAAAAAAAAAAAAAAAGCTGAGATCTGATGTAAATAGATAGCTGTGAATTATAGCTTGGTCCTTAAGGAATATCTCAGAAACTTCAATGTTCCTTCACCCCCTCCGCAAACCCTTCTGAATTGAGAATGGGAACCTTGGCAACAGAGGGGAGTCATGCACCTCCCTTTTCCATCTGTGACTCTGGCATCTTCCTCCAGGTCAGCCATGGTGCAAACTCTCACAGTTACTTTCTGGCAGTTTCCTGCATTCCAAACCTGTTTCTGAAATGGGCAATATTTGTCCCCTTGAAAATCACCTGTGATAAATGTGGTATAGCCCACGGCCAGTGAAAATTTTCCTACAGGGAGACATATTCCTAAGTGTTAACATTAACTTTTTCAGATGTTTGAGTCAGACTCAATTGCCCTTTCATATTATAGATTGAAAACAACACTTGGTTGATGTTAGTATATCTGATTGAGGAAATATGAGAGCCTTTTTAATTTAGATTTGCTCGCCTAGAAAACTCACTTTGAAACTTCTTGGTCATGTTATGTTTGCTTATGGCAAAGTTATCAGCAAAAAAGTCACTGTTATGCAGCAATTTATCTTTAAACACTAAATGACATCTATCATTTTTCAAAGAAAATAGTGTCAGCAGTTAAAATCCTAACTGCTTGAGCACTGTTAGTTGACAATTATAATGCCCCATTGCTTAGAAATTAATTGACCTACTTTCAATAAGAAACATAAAAAGTAATATCACAGCAATTTTCTGGATCTATTTTATTCCAAAACCAATAAATGTTACAGTGTTGTTAAAAGTAATAGATTTAAAAACATTTTATTTTCTTAAACTTAACAATTCAAATAACATAAAATAATATTACGTTTCTATTAAGTATTCATTTTTATACAGACCAAAAGTTCTTTAGAAAATGTCTTCATGTATAATATAAATTTGATTTTTAGATGTGAGAAAAGCAACAATCATAATCGTTGCCTAAATCCACAAAATAAGTAGATATTCTATAATATGTATTTCAGTAATCACAATGTATTGGATTCAGGCAGAGATGAGAGACACTCTGATTTTAGCAGAAAAAGACTGTGTTAAATTACCTCTTTGCCTTTTCTCACTCTGTTCCTAGGATAGCAATATAATAAATAGTAACTTTAGAACTGGGATACACTGAGAAAATGTCCTAATTTAAATCTCAATAGATGATTACACAGGTAGTGTTTACACACACACACACACACACAATGACAGGAGTTTTTAAAGATATTAGTATCTCGGAATTTTTGAATTCTGAAAACTGTCCAAGCTTTTATCATTAAATCACTTGTTATGAAACCCATTTTAGAAACACGCTTTCCTATTTTTAATAGCCTATGATAGTCATACAGAATGAGTTAATCAAAATTGATTGGTCAATTGCTAATTGCAAATTCTTTGACCGTAGCATGTCAGCTGATTCTATGAACTTCTACAGACTCTTTCCCTTGGTCCGGGAGTTGCCACAACACTCTGACTCCTTTCCCCACAACTCCATTACATGATATTGTCACCTCCCCAGGCTTACGATACTAATATTCCAGAGAGATGAACAGTCCTTGATTTTGAATAGCAATGCAGTAGTGACCAAAACAGATTTAGTTTTGGTTCAGAAGAAAGTGCTGGATATGCCCTCAGTAACTTTCCATGGTCATCTAATTCAGCAATTAGTTTGAGTAAATTCAATGGAAGGCTGCTTTCTGGAATGGGTAGTGTAATGTACTGACTTCCCTATTAGACATTTCATTTAAAAAAATCAATTGTCCGCATAAAACAACCATTTCAATCAGTGTACATTCAACTGGAAAGGAAAGTTAGAGGACTTTTTTTGAAAGTAATGGGATTGGGGTTGGCCGTTGCTAATTTCTTTTTGATTAAAGCGTATGTAATTGTTTTGTGTTGGATAAAAATTTGACTTTTTATTTGCGCGGATGCTGCTGATCTTATATGTTATCATTTCCCATTCAGACTTGAGCTGTTTACCTGCCGGGTTTTCTGTTCATAAAATGTTGAAAGGACGTTAAAATGTAGAACTTTTACATTTTTTATTTAGGTGACTAGGACAAATTCTGGTAATTTGTAGGCTACAACTTAAATGTATTTCTGCTTAAAATATTTTGAAATATGGTTTATTTCACAAATGAGGTTCCAAACTATAACCAGCTCTCACTAAATTCTTATTTATTTATTTATTTATTTATTTATTTTGAGACGGAGTCTTTCTCTGTCACCCAGGCTGGAGGGCAGTGGCCGGATCTCGGCTCACCGCAAGCTCCGCCTCCCGGGTTCACGCCATCCTCCTGCCCCAGCCTCCTGAGTAGCTGGGACTACAGGCGCCCGCCACCACGCCCAGCTCATTTTTTGTATTTTTAGTAGAGATGGGGTTTCCCCGTGTTAGCCAGGATGGTCTGGATCTCCTGACCTCGTGATCCGCCCGCCTCGGCCTCCCAAAGTGCTGGGATTACAGGCGTGAGCCACCGCGCCCAGCCAAAAGATCATTTTTAAATTATGTATCTGGGAATATATTATCAAACCAGGCCTGAAACTTATTAAAAAGATGGTAAAATCTAATTTAACTTCATTTAATACTCCTTTTCTCTTAGTCTTATAAAAGCAAATGAGCTTGTTGGCTTTTCATTATGAAAATATAATTTTAATTTATAAGACATATGTAACAAAGCAAGATAGCTGCTAAATTCACTCTATCCTAGTAACTTCCTATTGCATACATTCATTTTTAATGTAATAAGAAAATCCTTTCAAAATGCTTAAAAGAATCACATTACCCAAGAAGAGGCTCAACATTTCTAGAAAATAAATATGTTCTTAAGACACTTAATAATTCTTGAAATGAAGACCTAATTCTTCAGGGCTTTAAAATATTTGATGTGCACTCTTTACATATATAGAGAGTTTAAATTTAATAATTTCCCTTCTTAAAAAAGAAGTGAAACATACCACAAACATATCAAAGCAAGTTATTCATACTTCTCATTTAAGTAACTGTATTGTCATAGCAAAATTATTTTATATCATCAAACAGCACAAAAGCCTTATTAGAATACTAATTTCAATGTCTGTTTCACAGATTTGCTCAGAATAGATTTTTTCATGCTTCTGCACTAATTCATTGAAGGACAATGTTTTACCGATTCCTGAAAAAATATCATTATCTGCCCCATAGTGGTGGCTCATGCCTGTAATCCTAACACTTTGGGAGGCCGAGGCTGGCAGATTGCTTGAGCCCAGGAGTTCAAGACCAGCCTGGGCAACATGGTGAAAACTCATCTCTACCAAAAAAAAAAAAAAAAAAGTAAAAAGTTAGCCGGGCAAGGTGGCGGGCACCTGTAGTCCTAGCAACTGAGGAGGCTGAGGTAGGAGGATCACCTGGGCCTGGGAGGTTGAGGTTGTGGTGAGCCATGATTATGCCACTGCATTCCAGCAGTGGGTGACATAGTGAGATCTTGTATCAATAATAATAAGATAAAATAGAAAATAAAAATATCATTAACTGACATTTTAAAAAGTATATTTCCCAATGGATAAATATACTTTGTGGATTAACAAGAGAAAAATTTCAAGATACTGTAAATTTAAAACAAATCTTTATGTATAATACCATCGTAATGTCTTTGACCAGGAGCAATCTATCATGTGAGATAAAAAATATTAAATATGCATTTATTGAATAAATGAATGAAAATCATGATTACCTTGATCACTATATTTAAAATTTAAATGAAGCAGGAAAGTAAATCTTCCTAATTATCATATACTTAACATAACTGTTTAAAATCACTCTAATAACAAGTAATATGTTAATTTTGAATTATAATTTTAAAATGCCTGTATTGTTTCATTCACTCATCCTTCCATTAGTTCAGTGAACAAATATTGATTACTTACCCACTATGTGCCAGGTATCATCATAGATTCAGGGAGTACAAAAATGGTTAAACGAAGGGATCAGCTGGAGTGACCGTTTTCTAGAAACAATGCCTATTTCAGTTATGAACTAGTCTGTTTTGAAGAAAGTGGTGAGGGAAAGCTGAAAATCCTATTTTCACTTTATTCAACAAATCTTATTGAGGTCTTATTATGAATCAGGGGCTCTCCTAGGTATGGGCATACAAAATTGATTAAGACTGTGCTTGCTTGCAGAAAACAAACAAAAAAGCATCTCTATAATAAAAAGGAAAAAGAGGAAATTCCCTTTGTAGGTTTCATAGTTTATAGTGATACTGCTGATGTTGTCTCAGAGAATTAGTCACAATTATAGGAACTCAGAAGGCATTCCGTTGAGATGAAATAGAGACTAAAGTAGCAGAGATTACTTAGTGAAATAACAATTCGAACATAGTTATAATTCATTTTAGAAGATATTATGGCTCACACATAGTAGATGTGATGACTGAATAACAGGAATGTGGAACGATGGCACCTTGGTAGCCATTACCCATTGCCAACATGATTCTGCATTAAAAAATCTGTGCAAAACGGCCGGGCACGGTGGCTCACGCCTGTAATCCTAGCACTTTGGGAGGCCGAGGAGGGCGGATCACGAGGTCGGGAGATGGAGACCATCCTGGCTAACACGGTGAAACCCCGTAACTACTAAAAATACAAAAAATTAGCTGGGCATGGTGGCACGCGCCTGTAGTCCCAGCTACTCGGGAGGCTGAGGCAGGAGAATCGCTTGAACCTGGGAGGTGGAGGTTGCAGTAAGCTGAGATCGCGCCACTGCACTCCAGCCTGGGCGACAGAGTGAGACTCCATTTCAAAAAAAAAAAAAAAAAAAGAACACAACTTTGGAGTATATTAATAAACATTGTGTTTTTTAAAAAAAAAATTTTAATCTTTAATTTCCGTTTTCACATATTTCTTCTTGCTTCCAAAAGGAAAGGAGTGGGTAGCTCTGTTGTACACCGTCCACGGCCCCTGGATCCGGGCGGGGTCCCCCGGGCCACCTGGGGGTCCACATGCAGCCCCCGGGAGGCCGGTGCGGGGTGAGGTCCGGGGGCCGCCTTATTGCTGAAGTCCGGCCGGTTGGGGCCCCGGCGGCCGCTAGGCGCTCTGGCTGCGCAGCTCCTGGGAGATGAAGCGGCGCAGGCGCTCCAGGTACTGGCTGTAGAGCTGGATGTCTTTGTGCCCGGCGCCCTCCACCCACAGCGGCTCCACGGCCTTGGGGCAGCGCTCCTAGAGCGCCAGCCCCTGCGAGAAGTCGATCACCTCGTCTTTCGTGCCGTGGATAATGAGCACGGGCGACGTGATCTTGGACACCTTCTGGATTCTGCGGGAGGGGCGTGGGGCGGGTGAGACCTCTCCGGGCCCGGGCCCCGCCCCGCCCCAGTCCCCGACCCAGTCCCCGTCCCCGCCCCTGTCCCTGCCCCAGCCTGCTCACTTGGGGAAGGCGTCGAAGCAGTAGGTCTTCTTGGTGTCGGGAAGGCGACGCTCAGGTCCAAGGTGAGCGGCGAGTGCAGCACCACCGCGGCGGACTCGTAGCGCGAGGCCAGGTCCACGGTGGGCACCGTGCCGATGCTCTGCCGGTACAGGATGATGCTGTCCGGGCTGATGCGGTACCTGGCGGCACCGGAGCAGGGTCAGCCGCGGCCTCCGACTCGCGCGCACCCCTCCCGCCAGCGGGCGTCCCCGGGCCCAGCTCCAGATGCGACTCTCCAGTCTCCCGGCTCAGCCTAGTCAGTGGGTCAGGCCCAGGCTCCACAGCAGTCCCAAGGGCCACCCCCAGTCCCCCAAGACCGCAGCGGTGGGCGGAGCCGGCGGCGTGGTCCTGTTCCCTGGCGCTATGGTTCACTGGCGTTTCCTAGCCAGGATCTGCTGGATCCTGGCTAGGGAGTCCCCCTCGGGCTAGGGTAGGGGAAGCCCTGGCGCCTCTCCTTCTCCTGGTCATCCCTGGGCGCACACTGGGAACTGTGTGCCCCCCCACATCCTGAATGCTTCATGCCTTCCTGCCCAGGTTAGAAAGCCGTTCCTGGTGCACTGGCCGGAACAGGGTACACTCTTCCTCCCTGCAGCCCTTGCCCACCCCCTTGGCCATGAGGAATTCAGGCAGCTGTGTCCCCACATGTCTCCACCCAATTTTGGACTCTCGGAGTCCCATGCTCAATGAGGTGCCAGCCCAACCCAGGTCAACATCGAGGGTGGCGGCTGCGGGGGCAGCACCTCCTCCCACCAGCGCCTTCCCTTGGGAGTGGACAAGTCCTCGGCCACCTCAGCACCACCAGCTCCCACCCAGGGCCACCCCCACCGCCAGGTCACTGGTGTGCGGCCCCTGGCCCAGCTGGTCCAGCACCAGTACCAAGGCCTCCTCGTGCCCAGTCCCAACCACGCGGGACCCACCTGCCACCCTGTCGATGCCGCAACCCCAGAACTCTCCTCCCACACGCTCCAGGCTCTGATCCCAGGCAGATGCCCTCCTGCGAGGCAGGAGCATGGGCAGGTGTGCGTCCCATCTGCCTGGCATTCGGACTCCACCAGCAGGGCTGTACCCCTCCTTGGCCTGGAATCCCAGCCTCCTGGCAGCACTCCACAGCTCACTGTTCACCCATGCCCCAAAGGATGCTGCCTGGCTGGTGCCTGTGGCCCCAGCTCTGCCTCAGCCTCCTTGGCCTGCTCCCTGGCAGCCAAGGCCAGTAGTGTGCTGAGCCAGCCCAGCCCTGTCACCTGCTCCAGGCAGGACCCCCAGCTGCCACCTGGATGTCACCACTCAGACAATCAAACAAGACACATCCTCAGTGGAGGCCCTGAGCGCGATCTGGCCTCCCCCTCATGGCTCTGGGCCGAGGTTCCTGCAGGACAAAGCAGCAGCAGGACAGATGGCCGAGCAGACAGAGCTCAGAGCTGGCCATGGCGGGTGTGACTCTGCCAGTGCCCTGGGCAGTAGAGACAGGAGGGGTCCGAGGAAGCTGCATGAAGTGGTGCTTGGTTTCTGCGCCCACACTGCCAGGAGGCCCCCAGAGCCAGGGTGGTGCCAGGGGACCCAGCTCCCAGGCCCACAGAAGGGACTGCCTGGGATATCGCCAAGGCATCGAGGACCCCACCTCCCCAGGGCCTCTGACTTCTCAGAGCTGCGCCTGGCCCCTGCAGGAGCGGGGCAGACCAGTGGGGGGCAGGGCCAGGACGAGACAGCCCCAGCGGGTGGCAAGCAGGAAAGGCCTCCAGAGGCCCACGCGGGTCTTCTGATCCAGAGCAGCACTGGCCCGGGCGGTGGGCGGTGCTCAAACACCAGTGAAGGGCCCAGGAAAGTGCAGGGCTGGGGACCTGGATGTTTAGGAGGGCTGGATCTGGAATGGAGGCTGGCCCAGACCTCAGGTGTGTGCTGGGGGTCTGCACCTGACCCAGCAGGCCCTGCCCCGGGATGGCCGAGCTCCACAGCCACAGGGCCTCATGGGCCAGGCCTCGGGACCTCGATGCAGCAGCCTCGCCTCACCTGGCCCCAAGTGCTGCCTCGGCCATTGGGCTCCCAGCCACACGTGCACAGACCCCCCCCCAGACACCACCCACCCCCTCCCGCCGGGTGGCGTCCACGCCCCTGTGACAAGCTCAGCCCCTTCCTGTCCTCAGGCCAGGGGATCCCAGAGAGCCTGGCTCCACAGGCCAGGGTGTGGGGGGACCTGGCCACACCTCAGCCATGTGGAGGCGGCACCCGCACGCCTGAGCTCACCTTTCCGGCTCTCTGGCCGCATGCGTCCACTGTGGCTCCTCTCCTGCAGGGCCGCCCACCTTCCTCCCAGGGAAGCCCGCCCCTCCCCCCGGCCCCCGGCCTGGTCCCCTCTCCGGTGTGCCCAGGCTGAGCTGCCCCCGGGGTCGCCCTCACCTGGTGCGCAGGGCCTGCCGGGCGGCGTCGATGTCGGCGTAGAGGTTCGTCTCGGAGGGCCTGCCCGAGCTGGCACCGTAGCCGGAGTAGTCGTAGGAGAAGATGTTGCAGTGGAGGCGGGAACACAGGCCAATGTAGAAGCTGCTCATCTGGCCCAGGTCCACGCGTTGCCTTCCTTGTTCATGCACCGCTGGTCAGACGCAATTCAGCTGATGTAGGCTGGGCTTGGCTAGCATTGGCTTGAAGCTGCAGCTGGTGTCCAGATCTGTTCCATGTATTTGTGATCCTCCTCAGCCCTCCCGGGTACTTGAAGCATGTTATTGTTGTGGCCAAAGTCAGGAGTGCAACCTGCCTGTGCAAAAACATGCCAGGCTTCTGTTGCCTTAAATCCTCTAAGATACCCCTTTGGCTTAAGCAGAGTCACACAGCAAGGATCAAAGTCAAGGAGTGGGGAATTATATCTGTCCCTTAGAGATGGAGATAGGAGAGAGTGTGAACAAATGCAGGAAAATGATCTCATCTACCAGAGTGTCCTTAAAGATTTTAACATAATAAATTCAGTATTGTTTTTGTTTGTTTGAATGAAGCTTTGCATGGACACAGTACAGTACAAAAGTACTATTTGAACTCTTTCTCCACATTCATAAAATTGCTACATAGTTTCTACCATGATTATATTTTTATGATCCATTTTTGTGTACAGATCTGAAAACTTTATACTAGAATTTATTAGCTGAGGAAAGGAACATGCACTGACATCATCATACACAAATATTTCTCAACATTTTAATGCTTGTGGTATTGTTAATGTTTCTGTGGAAAATTACTTAAAATCATAGAAGTGATTTCTAAGTCAGTTATTGATTTATTCTGATGAATTATAAAAATCAGACTAAATTAGTAATAGAGAAATTACACTTGAAATACTAGTCTGAGCTACAAATGAGATGGATTTTTGTGCTCATCATTTGTACTCTAGTTATGTTTGTTGAGATTGGGTTATGAAAACATCATTATAACATTATCAGCAGAAAAGCCTGTTGTGCTATAATTAAATCATCTAAACAATCATTTTTGTGGTCTTAATATCCTGGATTTCTCAATTGATTGTAGTAGATAAGAGTTCTCTTTAAATACTACTTATTATCGGTAGCTTGCTTTTCTGTGAAATCTAGAAAATTTAGAATTCTGCATTAACATTTAATAAAATACCTGCTATCCTAATATTGATGCATTATATTTATCTATACAACATGCAACAGGAGAGAAATATCAGATGAATTAGAATATTTGCAGCCTATGGCAATTATCTGTAGCCACATTTTTTTTTGTCTTCAGAAAAATGTAGATGATTTTGGAAATGGATTAGTTCTAGTCTCAATCTAGGAAGAATTACTTATGGAAGTTTTGTGTACAGGATACTGATGTTTTCAAATATAACGCATTATTATTTTAGTTTAGTTTCTTTTGCCACATACTTAGAAATTGTTCAAGTGAACAGGCTATTAAAACGAATGGTATAGATAAATGGTATAGATAGGCATTGTAAACATCCCACTTTTCCCAAGCCATGAATTTTAACACTGGATTAAGGAGATGAAAATGGAGCCATTGGGAATGTGGATTCTTTGCTAATAATTATTTTTCTTCTTTAAAAAGATTCTTCAAAAGGCAAGAACATGGAAGTATTTCAGGAGATATTCTTGAGGTATCTAAAATACATACTCTTCCTATCAAAATCAATAAATAGATGGATGTAAGTAAGATAAAGTCAGGGCAACTGATTTTGCATGTGAGTGTACACACAGACACATATCCAGGTTTTCTCCATCTGTTCTCAGTTGCTGAATTATTAGACTCAGCTGACCGCTTGACTGTGTTTAATCTGATAAACAGACTCTTAACAAGAAGAACAATGTTTTAAAAACTGGACTGTTCCTCCTACTTCTCAGCATGCATCAGCCACTCTCTTTCCCCATCCTATCTCCTGCCAAATTGGTCTCTACTTATCTGTTCCACTTGGAGACACTATTTGATGTTGTTGTAAATGACATAAATGAATATTCACTCTACCTGCTTTCATATTAATTCAGTTTTCATAGGATGGTCTCTGTGGGATCAAGCAAAAGGACTTAGTGGAATATCTCTTATGACTCCATAAAGTAAAGAATGTGGTGAGTTTAGCAGAGTGCACCTTCCTTTACTAAATGTGAATGATGTGTCAGTATAGGGGGCCAGAGTGAAAAGTCCTAACATATGCTTGTTTGGGCAGCCAACAATTGGTCACATTGCACATTTCATGTTACAAAGGAGCCTCATGGTAGTATAAATGAGGGTCAGGAAAAGACACTTAACTGTGCTCTGGGCTTTAAAATGGAGCCAGGGCAAGAATTCTGGAATTTGACAATGTCAGGAAGGAAACCTCTGTAAGCAGGCACGCAGGGGACTCCAGAAATCTCTTCTTTGCCACTACAACTCTGGACTTTCAGAAATACACACCCCATTCTCCTGTATTAATACACACTTCATGTTCACAACATCAAAAACCAATTTTAAAATAGTAAACCTAAGGTAGATGGAAAGGCATTATAGCCTCAGCATGCCCGAGATGTGAGGAGCAAATCAGAAAGATGTGAGTGTGACGAGAAAGGGACATCGTGCTAACCAATCATTTAAAATTTTTACTCCAAAGAAATGGCAATATTTCACAGGTTTTTTCTCATCACCAATCTCACAAATATACATGTTTTTTGAAAATTTTCCTCTCAATTCTTCTCCTTGACAGTGAAGTCCAGAAGAGGTTGGTTTAGATCTAACTCTTTTCAGCCTCAATACTCCATAATCACTTTGGCTTTTTTGATTATGACTGGACGGCATGTACTATTATTTTAATATTAAATATTTAGGAAATAATTTTAAATGTTATCCTTAAATAACTATGGGCTTTATTCATTTACTGTATGTATTTCTCAAACATTCATAAGAACTTAAGGATTTTAATTCAAATGGTCCCTAAAGTAGAAAATGCACTCACAGATTCTGCATATGTCTTTTAAGAAACAGAAACGTGCCATTTGTTATTAAATTGAGTAGACTTTGTATCCTTTAGAATTTGGGCAGAGTTTTCTTGCTATATTGTAGAGAACCTATCAACCATATCTTAATTTTCTTCTTTTTGAGGTCTTCAAAATTAACATTGGCATTGGTCCACTAATTCCTTGTTTTCTATTTTTGGATGAGTGTGCATAGATTACCTCCATCTTAATTTTCAACATAAACTTTTAGCAGACTCTTTCACCTTTCATTGCCATGTAAGCAGATGTGATTTTTATTCTTTTTTCCTTTTCATTGAACAGTTACTTCATTTGAAATTTTTCACTTGATTTAATTTAACTTTATTTTTTGGTGGTAGATACATCTGTTGCCACCTGTGTCTGGTTGGCATTTTAATGTGTTGCCTCGAAGCTGTAACCACAATAGTGGCACATTTTCCTGCTGTTCCTTTATTCTTTGTTCCATGTGTATCTATTTTCAATAAATTGCATTGGTATATTATCATAGATTTTCTTTTTGTCTCTCAGATTTTCTGTTGTAATTATTTTTATTTATGCCTTTGGAAATATTTTATGATTGTTACATAAAACAGCAGAGCTCTTTCAGAAAGTTTTCATGGTTTTCCAAATGTACATTCATATAGATTATTTAGTAGTTATTACACAATGATCTTTGGAGCAATAAATGCTGTTACGTAAGAACAATTCCCAAATGTAATTTGAGTTATAAGCTAGCCTTTGATGGCCTAGAATTGATGTACCTTTATAATTCTAATCTGCATGCAAATTTAAGAAGACCAAGGATTGAGGATTGGGTGCATAATTTTCAGGGCCCAGTAAAAAGTGAAAATGTAGAACCCTTTGATAAAAACTTACAAAGAATTTCAAGATGACCATAATAGGCCATGCACAAGGCCTTTGTAGATGGGTAGAGTGACCATGAAGCCATGGGCATTGTTTGGTTTTGTTTAATCTTACTGTTTGGTTGTAAAGCAGATTTTTAAATCAAGAGAAAAAAGAACACCAAAGAAGATCTCTGTCAAAATGTTTGAAGCATTATAGAAGATTAGATCCATATAAATGAAAGGGATAAAGAAAAAGCACATATCCAACCTCAAATATAAAGCATGGAATTCTCATATGAACTCCATTATAGCACTTGATATTTCAGCTCTATTTTCATTTTTGAACAACTCTAGATATATCTATATATTTTAGTCTAAAATTTAATTTTTATAAATTGTAAGTACTTCCCCAAATTCTACCTTAGATAAACAATTCAGAGATAACTCTGTTTCCTATTCTATTAGGTGGAACCATATGAAATTGTCAGTATTCAGCCTTTTTTGTCCTACAAAAAAATGACAGTTTTGTGTTTCCACCTAACACATGGCAGCCCAATAAATATGTGAAGGTCAGGACCACAGAGCTACCACACTAAACAATACTAAATGCATACACATACCCTTTCCAAAACCCGGCAGGTCTTCTTTTCCCCAAGTGAAACATTCTTTGACTCTTCACCCATTATTCATGTGAGAAATTTTCCAGGCACTTCAACATGTCAGCTCAGTGACTGTAACAATTAGGTTTATTAATTCTCCTCTCACAATTTGACATTCTTTATTGAAAAGCATGATTTAAATGTTGACTAATAGTCTGCATAGTGAAACATTTTTACTAGTTCCAATGACCTAAAACAGTGTAAACCATGATTCAGAAATTTATTTTCTTAAAAACTTCTAAACAAAATGTCTGCTAGGATAAACCGGTGCAATTTCTATGTGAAACCTAAGAATTTCAATGACACATTTTCATCCTTATTGCCATCAAATAATCCCTTTAATAGTGCCCCATCTTTCTTACTCCTTCATATGATTTTCTATATTATTATTTTCCATCACTCATTCTGTTAAAACTATAATAGTTTCTTCAGAGAAATGACAGATTTTCCCACTTCAGAGGCATTTCTGCATTGAGCTCTCATAAACCTCTCTAACATGGTGGGCAATAGACTCAATAACATTTGTGTATAAACTCAGTTGTGAATTACAAAAGGCTCATCTATAACGTCAAAAAGCAACTCGGTAAAAACAATTCTATTGAAGATAGTATGATCTAAATATATAATTTTAGGATGGCTTCAACTGAGACAAAAATAGCATCGATACAGTGTGGAGCAATGAATTTCTAAAATTTTTATCAGCTTAACATTTTTCATCAGCACAATTTATACAGAAGCCCAACATGAGACATTCTTGTTCACATGGAATTTCTCTGCCCGCTGGAGCCCTGTAGAAATCCCACTGTGTTGGTAAACAGCAGTAGCAACAAGAAGATACTAAACTGGAATTCTCAGTGGCTCAACCAAACCAAAGTTTGTTGGTTGCTCCCATAAAGTTCAATGTCAGTCAGAATAAACTCCTCTAGCCTTAACCTATGACACACATGGCACATAACCTTCCAAGTACTGGCAGTGGAAAAGGAGAGAACTTGGGAATGAGGCAGGGGCTTCATGGTGAACATGGTGAAACCTCATCTTTACCAAAAATACAAAAATTAGGTGGGTGTGGTGGAGTGTGCCTGTAGTCCCAGCTACTCAGGAGGCTGAGGTAGAAGGATCGCTTGGGCCTGGGAGGTCAAGGCTGCAGTGAACCAAGGTGGTGCCACTGCACTCCAGCCTGGGTAACAGAGTGAGATCCTGTCTCAAAAAAAAAAAAAATTGTGAAGGTGAAATTTAAATACCTTTGTGCATAGCTATCAGTTATTCTTTGTTTTAATATTTAGTTTATTGTGAAATATAACACGTATAGAAACATACATAAAACAACACACAGGGCCAGGCCCGGTGGGTCACGCCTTGTAATCCCAGCACTTTGGGAGGCCGAGGCGGGCGGATTACTTGAGGTGAGGAGTTTGAGACCAGCCTGGCCAACATGGTGAAACCCCATCTCTACTAAAAATACAAAAATTAGTCGGATGTGGTGGTGCATGCCTGTAATCCCAGCTACTTGGGAGGCTGAGGCAGGAGAATCGCTTGAACCAGGGAGGCAGAAGTTACAGTGAACCAAGATCGCGCTACTGCACTCCAGCCTGGGCAACGGAGTCAGACTGTGTCTAAAAAAAAAAAAAAAAAAAAATAGGCCGGGTGTGGTGGCTCACGCCTGTAATCCCAGAACTTTGGGAGGCCGAGGCGGGCAGATCACTTGAGGTCAGGAGTTCGAGACCAGCCTGACCAACATGGAGAAACCCCATCCCTACTAAAAGTACAAAATTAGCTGGGCGTGGTGTTGCATGACTGAAATCCCAGCCACTTTGGAGGCTGAGGCAGGGGAATCACTTGAATCTGGGAGGTAGAGGTTGTTTTGAGCTGAGATCACGCCATTGTACTCCAGCCTGGGCAACAAGAGCAAAACTCCGTCTCAAACAAACAAAAAACAAAACAAAAACAAAAAACACAGTGTAACATGTTATTATGAAGTCACTGCTCAGGGACCAACTTGGCCGCTCCTGTGCCTCTAGAGGGAAGCTCCTTCCCACTGTTCTTTAGAGTTTTATATGTTAAGTACAGGAGTCAACAAACTAGGCCTATGCACCACATCTGGCACCCAGCCTTTATTTATTTTTTGAGATGGCGTCTCACTCTGTCATCCTGGCTGCAGTGTGGTAGCACAATCTCGGCTCACTGCAACCTCCGCCTCCCAGATTCAGGCAATTCTCCTGCCTCAGCCTCCTGAGTAGCTGGGATTACAGGTGTGTGCCACCACACCCGGCTAATTTTTATATTTTTGGTAGAGACGGGGTTTCAACATGTTGGTCAGTCTGGTCTCGAACTCCTGACGTCAGGTGATCCGCCTGCGTTGCCCTCTCAAAGTGCTGGGATTACAGGCATGAGGCATGATGCCTGACCCAGCCTTTTCTAAAATGAAGGTTTCGGCTGGCGCGGTGGCTCATGTCTGTAATCCCAGCACTTTGGGAGGCCAAGGCAGGTGGATCACCTGAGGTCAGTAGTTGGGGACCACCCTGGCCAACATGGTGAAACCCCGTCTGTATCAAAATACAAAAATTAGCTGGGCGTGATGGCAGGCACATGTAATGCCAGCTACTCGGGAGCCTGAGGCACGACAATCACTTGAACCCGGGAGGCGGAGGTTGCAGTGAGCCAAGATCACACGATTGCACTCCAGCCTGGGCAACGAGCGAAACTCCATCTCAAAATACAATAATAAAAAAAAGGATGTCCTTTTTTGTCTCTCAACCCCGTTTTTTATTTTTTTTTATTTTCAGACAGGGTCTCACTCTGTTGCCCAGGGTGGAGTGCAGGGGCCCGATCTTAGCTCACTGCGGCCTCAACTTCCCCAGCTCACAGGATCCTCCCACCTCAGCCTCCCAAACAGCTGGGACCACAGGTGGGTACCAGAAGTTATTAGGATAGAGTGAATTTAGCAGCTATCTTGCTTTGTTACATATGTCTTATAAATTAAAATTATATTTTCATAATGAAAAGCCAACAAGCTCATTTGCTTTTATAAGACTAAGAGAAAAGGAGTATTAAATGAAGTTAAATTAGATTTTACCATCTTTTTAATAAGTTTCAGGCCTGGTTTGATAATATATTCCCAGATACATAATTTAAAAATGATCTTTTGGCTGGGCGCGGTGGCTCACGCCTGTAATCCCAGCACTTTGGGAGGCCGAGGCGGGCGGATCACGAGGTCAGGAGATCCAGACCATCCTGGCTAACACGGGGAAACCCCATCTCTACTAAAAATACAAAAAATGAGCTGGGCGTGGTGGCGGGCGCCTGTAGTCCCAGCTACTCAGGAGGCTGGGGCAGGAGGATGGCGTGAACCCGGGAGGCGGAGCTTGCGGTGAGCCGAGATCCGGCCACTGCCCTCCAGCCTGGGTGACAGAGAAAGACTCCGTCTCAAAATAAATAAATAAATAAATAAATAAATAAGAATTTAGTGAGAGCTGGTTATAGTTTGGAACCTCATTTGTGAAATAAACCATATTTCAAAATATTTTAAGCAGAAATACATTTAAGTTGTAGCCTACAAATTACCAGAATTTGTCCTAGTCACCTAAATAAAAAATGTAAAAGTTCTACATTTTAACGTCCTTTCAACATTTTATGAACAGAAAACCCGGCAGGTAAACAGCTCAAGTCTGAATGGGAAATGATAACATATAAGATCAGCAGCATCCGCGCAAATAAAAAGTCAAATTTTTATCCAACACAAAACAATTACATACGCTTTAATCAAAAAGAAATTAGCAACGGCCAACCCCAATCCCATTACTTTCAAAAAAAGTCCTCTAACTTTCCTTTCCAGTTGAATGTACACTGATTGAAATGGTTGTTTTATGCGGACAATTGATTTTTTTAAATGAAATGTCTAATAGGGAAGTCAGTACATTACACTACCCATTCCAGAAAGCAGCCTTCCATTGAATTTACTCAAACTAATTGCTGAATTAGATGACCATGGAAAGTTACTGAGGGCATATCCAGCACTTTCTTCTGAACCAAAACTAAATCTGTTTTGGTCACTACTGCATTGCTATTCAAAATCAAGGACTGTTCATCTCTCTGGAATATTAGTATCGTAAGCCTGGGGAGGTGACAATATCATGTAATGGAGTTGTGGGGAAAGGAGTCAGAGTGTTGTGGCAACTCCCGGACCAAGGGAAAGAGTCTGTAGAAGTTCATAGAATCAGCTGACATGCTACGGTCAAAGAATTTGCAATTAGCAATTGACCAATCAATTTTGATTAACTCATTCTGTATGACTATCATAGGCTATTAAAAATAGGAAAGCGTGTTTCTAAAATGGGTTTCATAACAAGTGATTTAATGATAAAAGCTTGGACAGTTTTCAGAATTCAAAAATTCCGAGATACTAATATCTTTAAAAACTCCTGTCATTGTGTGTGTGTGTGTGTGTGTAAACACTACCTGTGTAATCATCTATTGAGATTTAAATTAGGACATTTTCTCAGTGTATCCCAGTTCTAAAGTTACTATTTATTATATTGCTATCCTAGGAACAGAGTGAGAAAAGGCAAAGAGGTAATTTAACACAGTCTTTTTCTGCTAAAATCAGAGTGTCTCTCATCTCTGCCTGAATCCAATACATTGTGATTACTGAAATACATATTATAGAATATCTACTTATTTTGTGGATTTAGGCAACGATTATGATTGTTGCTTTTCTCACATCTAAAAATCAAATTTATATTATACATGAAGACATTTTCTAAAGAACTTTTGGTCTGTATAAAAATGAATACTTAATAGAAACGTAATATTATTTTATGTTATTTGAATTGTTAAGTTTAAGAAAATAAAATGTTTTTAAATCTATTACTTTTAACAACACTGTAACATTTATTGGTTTTGGAATAAAATAGATCCAGAAAATTGCTGTGATATTACTTTTTATGTTTCTTATTGAAAGTAGGTCAATTAATTTCTAAGCAATGGGGCATTATAATTGTCAACTAACAGTGCTCAAGCAGTTAGGATTTTAACTGCTGACACTATTTTCTTTGAAAAATGATAGATGTCATTTAGTGTTTAAAGATAAATTGCTGCATAACAGTGACTTTTTTGCTGATAACTTTGCCATAAGCAAACATAACATGACCAAGAAGTTTCAAAGTGAGTTTTCTAGGCGAGCAAATCTAAATTAAAAAGGCTCTCATATTTCCTCAATCAGATATACTAACATCAACCAAGTGTTGTTTTCAATCTATAATATGAAAGGGCAATTGAGTCTGACTCAAACATCTGAAAAAGTTAATGTTAACACTTAGGAATATGTCTCCCTGTAGGAAAATTTTCACTGGCCGTGGGCTATACCACATTTATCACAGGTGATTTTCAAGGGGACAAATATTGCCCATTTCAGAAACAGGTTTGGAATGCAGGAAACTGCCAGAAAGTAACTGTGAGAGTTTGCACCATGGCTGACCTGGAGGAAGATGCCAGAGTCACAGATGGAAAAGGGAGGTGCATGACTCCCCTCTGTTGCCAAGGTTCCCATTCTCAATTCAGAAGGGTTTGCGGAGGGGGTGAAGGAACATTGAAGTTTCTGAGATATTCCTTAAGGACCAAGCTATAATTCACAGCTATCTATTTACATCAGATCTCAGCTTTTTTTTTTTTTTTTTTTTTTTTTTTTTTTGAGGAGGGTGCAGGAGGAGATGTGCGCAGAACATATATATACGGCTTGCCCTAAAGGATGAAATAAAATTGTGTATGCTATGACCTCTCTAGGAAGCCTCTAAACTTTTCTTATAAATTGTCTTCTAACTAAAATATTTCTTTTGGCCGTCCTTGGAGTACTCCCAGGTGACACACAGCTCGGGCTAACATTTCTACAGGACTGCTACCTTGATCTCTAGAGAGTCCAATGATGTTCCATACCAATATGTCTCAGCGTCACTGCCGAGCTTCCACCCACACCCTTAACACACAGAGAAAGCTGACACTTTCTGTTAGCTATAATTTTCCTTGAGAAAAACGTGGCAATATGTAGCAAAATACAATTATTAGTTTCAATATGTAGAACGTATTACAAGAAAAAAAAGATGCCAAAAACATCTTATGTCTACTGCTATTCCTATTAGTCTTTATTATCATGAAAAACTGGTCGCATCCTAAATATCCAACTTTCGGTGACTGGGTGAAGGAAAACTGTAATTTTTCCATATGATAGAATAGTATGCCAGCACTAACAACCAGAGAGCAGACTATTTAATGTCATGGTAAAGTATTTGTTTTGTGTGGTCAGGTGAGCAGTTCAGATCATAAAATCAAATGTACCCTATGATCTTATTTTTTGAAGTAAAGTACTGATGTATTTATATGTATAATTAAGTATAGAGAAAAGCCTAGATGGCTTCTCTTATAAGTCTTTTCATTGTTTTATAAATGGTATCAATATTTATTTTTCACTTTTTCCATCAGATTTCCTAGAATAATAAAATTCAATTCCCTCTGATGAGCATTCATTATTCTTTTTTTTTTTTTTTTTTTTTGAGACGGAGTCTCACTCTGTCTGCTAGAGCTAGAGTGCAGTGGCCTGCTCAGCTCACTGCAGCCTCCGCCTCCTGGGTCATTATTCTTACAGTAAGAAAAAATGAATGTTACTAAGTATCTTCTCTGTCCTAGATCAACTAGGTATATACAAGGTGCCAAATACATTTAATAAAATGTTTTATTCATTCATAGCTTTTTGCAGTACAATTTTTTTTGTATGATTCCCTTGTCCTATCATCTCCACCAATAGTTTTGGTGTGAATTTATACTCTAAAGGAAAGGTGACAACCTTATACAATCTCAGGGCTTAAATACTATCCACGTGCTGATGCTTACAAACATACACCTCCAGTTGTGTGGTCTCCCTGAGTTCTGCACATCCCTCTTGGGCATCTAACAAGCATCTCACAGTTAACAAAACCACTGATTTCTAATCAATCCCAGGGACCCTCCGCCAGGCCTGCTCCTCTCTCAGAATTCCTTTTCTCACTTAGTGACACTATCATCCCACCAAACCTCGCTATCATCTTTCTTCCGTCTCCCAAATTTCCAATCCATTAACAAATCCCAAAAACCCCGCTTCCAATATTTGTCTAAATCTATGCACTTCTCAGCTTATCCACTCTTATTATTCTAGCTCCAATTATGTGGCCTTCTGTCTGTGTTACTTTCTTTTTTCCATTCTTGTACGCAGGGTCCAGTTTTCATAGTGAAGTCCTCATAAAACATGTATTAAATTGTATCAGCTTCTGCTTACAGTTATTTATTTATTTATTAAATTTGTGATGTATTTTTATTTATTTATTTATTTTGAGAAGGAGTCTTGCTCTGTCATCCAGGCTGGAGTGCAGTGGCGCGATCTTGGCTCACTGCAGGCTCCGACTCCTGGGTTCAAGCGATTCTCCTTCCTCAGCCTCCTCAGTAGCTGGCATTACAGGCACGCTCCACCGTGCTCAGCTAATTTTTGTATTTTTAGAAGAGATGGGGTTTCACCATGTTGGCCAGGCTGGTCTCAAACTCCTGACTTAAGGTGATCCACCCACCTCAGCCTCCCAAAGTGCTGAGATTACAGGCATGAGCCACTGCGCGCAGCTAGTTTCTGCTTACAGTTTTAAAATGACTTCTTAGTCTATTTAGGAGAAAATATAAACTCTTTACCAGAGCCTACTGGACTCCCCAAAACATGATGTATGTTTATCTCCTCCCTTTAACTCACTCTGTTTTAGCCACCTGGCCTTCTGTTCTCTGAATAAAATAAACTTATTCCTGCCACAGGGCCTTTACACCTACTTTGCCTTCTGCCCCAGACACAGTTCTCACAGGTTTTCCCATGACTCCTTTCTTCTCCTTATTCAGCATCAACCCAAACATCTGCCCCTGAGTGGCCTTCACCAGCACACTCTTCTTAAATATCTTTCCTTACCTCACCTTGTTTGGTTTTGTGCATAACATGTGTCAGCTACAATACTGGTTTCATTGGTTTGTTTATTTACTTTTTTCTTACAATGGAAAGCCCATGAGAGCAGGGTTGTGTCTGCTTTATTCACAACTTTAACCTCAGTGCCTGTACAGAACCAGGACCGTACTAGAAACTCAGTGAGCATTTGTTGAGTATCTTGAACGAATTAATTATTAAAACATTAAAAAGTGACATTTTCCAAGTAAAAATCTTTATCTACTTCCTTAGTGACTCTAATTGCAGACAATGCAAGGTAGAAATGAGGTTCAGATCAATGGCAGGCCGAGAAAGGCATTTTTGGGTGAGTCCATGCAGGCAATGTTTGCTATTGTGGCTGATTTACTTCCATATACTTTAACACAGGTATGTCCCTATTGTGAGACACGGCATTTTTCATAGTATAAAGGTGGAAAGCGAACTTCATGTTATAATAAAAAATAAAGTAAATTTTATACAAACACTAAGAAGTGATCATCTAAATCTACAGTTTAGAATCTGAAACCTATTCCTATGTTGACATCTTCCATGGCCCTACTCCTTAATTAATAAATTCTGACTTACAGAAGGCTATTTTCTGAATCCTTTCATAGCTGACATTGTGGTGGGTGCTGTTAGCCATCCCTTGATACTGACAGCACAATGGCCATCCCTGCCAGGGCACGCGTACACCATCAGTAGTCAAAAGTTTGGCAAAGTAGGCCGGGCGCCGTGGCTCACGCCTGTAATCGGCACTTTGGGAGGCCGAGGCAGGTGGATCACCTGAGGTCGGGAGTTCGAGACCAGCCTGAGCAACATGGAGAAACCCTGTCTCTACTAAAAATACAAAAAAAATTAGCCGGGCTGTGGTGGCACGTGCCTGTAATCCCAGCTGCTCTGGAGGCTGAGGCAGGAGAATCTCTTGAATCCGGGAGGCGGAGGTTGCAGCGAGCCGAGATCGCGCCATTGCACTCCAGCCTGGGCAACAAGAGGGAAACTCTGTCTCAAAAAAAAAAAAAAAAAAAAAAAAAAAAAAAAAAAAATTGGCAAAGTAAAACACTTCTCTTCATCTCCAGGAGAGCAGTTCATGAAAGAGCATATTCTTAGATATTAAAGGTAAATTTTCAGTGACACCTGTGCAAGATATGACTTTCTGCTGTCCTCTATAAAAATCTACATTTCTATCATATAAATCTAGCAGATCTTAAAATGATAGACCTCAAAGGTAGCACTGCATTTGATATTCTCTTGCAACCCCAGAATGAAACTTAAGCATGAATAATTGGAGATCTGCACACTCCTATAAAGAATAAAGAATGGGACTCAAGTTCACACAGAAGCTAAAAAAGAAAGGCAGGATGACTTCCCTCTGCCACCTTGAAAAGGCTTTGAAACCTACGAAACAAGAAATGGGGAGGGGGGTTGCTGAATGGGTAATAAATATATGAGCCCTCCTCCTAAGGGTTTTTATAATCCTTTCTATCTTGGGTATCTATGTGTTCCTCTGTGAATGTGTTTTCTTATAACTGCACTTCTCATGGAACAGCTCTATCCTTATTATCTGTAACAGGGTTTCTGTTCTGCTTTCATCATGTATATATCTTAGAAAAACAATCTGAACAAATGTCCAGTTAATATGTATATTTATGTATTTATAAATTATATGTATATGCTATTGCACTAATACATTACATATTTTATATACCTTACTACAACCAAAGAAATATAAAAGAATGAGATGGAATAAATATATATTTAAGTTCTAGTTTTTCTTCCTCCATCCTCTGTGGAATGCTTACCCCACTTAAGAAACCCCTAAGATTTCACTGTGTCCTCACAGTGAGATTGTACTCACTCCTCAATGAGAGAACATTAATATTAAAGCTCTTTTGGTTTTATTATCAATTATGCGGTCGAATTTTCAAATAATCTAGCTGTACATATTATACTACAGTGGACGATACTGTGAGGTACCAACTGGACCAGCTCAGCAGAGGCTGGAAGGTTTAACTCATCAGTAGTCATGATACCACTTTTCTCTTAGACTTTTCCAGTAGAATTTATTTTTGGTTTTGCCAGCCAGGGTGAGAGCTGTTTTCTATAGGTATCAATGGTAGAATAAGCATTGTTGCCTCACAGAAGGGAGAAGTCTATGGTATTGGACACCAACCCCCAAGTCCTTCTTACATATCCTCTCCTTGAGAGATAGGGACTCGTGAAAAATGGAAACCCAGGAATTGGCTCTGCATAAACTTAAGCTTTGTCTTTGCAGAACAATTATGAGAAGCCTACTACTGACTCTGGAATATGTTGTATGCAATAAAAACTCTGTACTATTTAGGTATTGTTTCTGATGCACGATACTAGAAATAAGCATCAACTAGCCATGCAAAGTTCTGCTTAGGAAAAATGAAAGTATATTCAAATATAAATTTTTATAAAATGACTATTAACTAAAAAAAAAAATAGCCTTTCTTTCCCCAAACATCAATAGATGCAGAATGCAGAGTAATATTTACAACATGCAACATCATGTTTGGTTCTAATTAATAGACTATTTCAATGAAATATTATTTTGATAAATATGTTCATGCTTCATTTGTCATGTATTAAAAACAGCAATACACACTCACTTGATGAAAAATATTATTGAAGATAAAACAGAAGTATTTCATAAACAACCATTAGGTAGATTATAAGATAACATATAAAAGGTGATATAGGAAATAAATATTAGAAGTACATATTATTCATCTATGACCTAATTTGTATTGAAATGCTGCAAAAACCTTCATAGCAACATTCAGAGAATTACCTGAAAGAAAACTCTGGCATCTTCTATGGTCTTCTATGTGTTTTCTTTAATGGTCACAGTGATTCCCACGTTCAAACTTATTCACTGAAGACAATGCATGTCCTGAGATTCTCATTATTGAAATGCTGAGGCTGAGGCTTGCTTTTCACATATACAGATTGTCCAACATTAAAATACCACTGCATATTGACTGCATACAAAAATCATTAAACTAAATATTCCCAAAAGTCCTGATACAAATAATGTGTTACAATATTTTAGGCAGGATTACCTGATAGGGTTAACAAATTTATCAAGTATAACAGAAAGTGACCACTTATTATTTATTATTGGCTATACCAAAAAATATAGGATCAGGACTTACCTGAATAACATGCTTCAGTTTATCAATAATCTGATTTATCACAGGATCAGTTCCTTTGACTTTGACTTCAGGATTTCCAGACTGGGCTTTGATTCCATTTCCAACCACATGCTGAGTATAACTAGCAAAGGGAAATGTGAAAGATATATGACTTAGTACCTGATCAGAGTATTATCTGCCACAGCTATCTGAACATAGTTGAGGTCAGAATTTCCTCCTTTAGAGAATACACCAATGTATTTTTTTCTTGGAACAGAAACTGGCACAGCTATAATGCTTTTGCAGGTAAAATGCTAAAATGCTTATTGTGCCATTAGATCATTCTAAAAATAATGTTATTCTCTCAATGGACCCAACCAAAAATTACTTGTTTTTTAATACTACTTAACAATATGCTACAAAGAGTTGACATATCTCACTTTGTTACCAGTTCTTGCTGAATTATACATATGTCTGTACCCCTATTGTCTGGGTGAGCTTATTTTACGCAGTCCCAATCTTATTTTTTAAATATCAGGCTACTATATATGTGTGTGTGTGTGTGTGTATATATATATAGAATATGTATAGAGAATATATATAGGATACACATATAGAATATATATAGACTATATAGAATATACATATAGACTATATAGGATATATATAGAATATACATAGACTATATAGGATATATATAGAATATACATAGACTATATAGGATATATATAGAATATACATAGACTATATAGGATATATATAGAATATACATAGACTATATAGGATATATATAGAATATACATAGACTATATAGGATATATATAGAATATACATAGACTATATAGGATATATATAGAATATACATAGACTATATAGGATATATATAGAATATACATAGACTATATAGGATATATATAGAATATATATAGACTATATAAGATATATAGAGTATATAGACTATATATAGGATATAGATAGAATATATATAGACTATATACAGGATATCGATAGAATATATATAGACTATATATAGGATATAGATAGAATATATATAGACTATATATAGGATATAGATAGACTATATATAGGATATAGATAGAATATAGATAGACTATATATAGAATATATGTAGAATATAGATATAGAATATAGATATAGAATATATATGGAATATAGATATAGGATATATATAGATAGAATATAGATATACACACACATATATATTTCCTAATTAGGTCCTTCAAGAAATAAGTGATTAAACTTTTTAATAATGATAGTATCAATTGGACATGATAACAATAATATTATTAATAAACTCTTTGATTTTTAAAATAAACTTGAACCCATTTCTTTTCATAGTCATAGAGGGGCTTAGAGATAAGAATTTCAGTATCCATTAGGGATTTGCAGTATACACCAGTAACAAATAGTAGAAAGAAAACAGTTATATCTATTTTGTTAATGTGTAATGATATTCTTTACTTTAGAAAATAAAATTATATATAGTATAACTATATATAATATATAATATATATTATATGTAAAATATATATAACTGTACAAGTCAATATCATAAATTATAACTGTACAAATTAAAATCATCAAATTTATAAGCAACGAAAATGTGCGAAGTATTTCCTAAGTAGAGGAAACAATCTGCTTTCGCCTAGGTTCACCTAAACAAAGATCTGGTAAATCATGTGGTAGGTAAAAAGGGTCATTTCACAGGTGGTGAAAGCCATTTGAAATTTCACTACCTTCCCCAAATTACAATCATACGTCAACTTAGAATTAATAAAAATATTTAAATTCATTAGTCACAAAGATGTCTTAAGTGAATGCTATATTCCAAGTCCTGTACTAGGTCTTTAGGATTATAAGAAGGTGTAAGACTCAATTTTTGTCCTCATAATGCTCATTACTTAACCAAGAATATAACAGATTAATTAACTCATTCATTTGTATGCTTATTCATTACATTTTACTACATTTAAAAAATACCGTAGATTTCAGCCATATAAATACCCTTGTTTGCCTGACAGAAGAGTGTAATATAAACACAACTGAACCGTTAAAATACAACATTATGAAAGTAGATGGAAGGAACTGCACGTGCCACGTGTGAGGAAAGATAAGACAGGTGGTAGATATTCTGGATATAGAGAAGCCCATTTGAACTCAGACACTAGGGAAAAACTAAAGGAGAAGTTATAACTTGAGGTAGCCTTGGATGTATTGAGGTAAGAAGAGGACATCTATGGTATGGTTAATGAGAACTTCAGGGCAAAGGATGTCATCCCAGCAAGGAAAACGGCAAAGGTACGTGAACAAGGCAGACAGGGAGAACAGGCCTCTATTCACAAAGCAGAGAGTACAAACGTTGGAAAGCAATGGATAGAGGGCCACACCCTGAAGATTCCACCCTGAATGTTGAAGACTCTCCACTGAGTGATATAATGGGCTCTGGAAATTCATAAGGGGGAAGTTGGCAGGTGGGTGTGGAATAAAAAAGCTACATGTTTGGTACAATGTACACTACTCAGGTGACAGGTGCAATAAAATCTCAGACTTCACCACTATACAAATTATCCATGTTACCTAAACCACTTGTGCTCCAAAAGCTATTGAAGTAAGACATTTATTTATTTATTTATTTATTTATTTATTTATTTATGTTTATTTATTTATTTTTTTGAGACGGAGTCTGGCTCTGTCGCCCAGGCTGGAATGCAGTGGCGCAATCTCGGCTCACTGCAAGCTCCGCCTCCCGGGTTCACGCCATTCTCCTGCCTTAACCTCCCGAGTAGCTGGGACTACAGGCTCCCGCCAGTACGCCCGGCTAATTTTTGTATTTTTAGTAGAGACGGGGTTTCACTGTGTTAGCCAGGATGGTCTCGATCTCCTGACCTCATGATCCGCCCGCCTTGGCCTCCCAAAGTGCTGCGATTACACGCTTGAGCCACCGCGCCCGGCCAAGACATTTAAAAAATGAAAACAAAACACTATCACCTGAGTAATTTGTTTGCTTACATTAAATATCATAATACTTTTCAGCAAAAAATATTATCATTTTAATGTAACTTTCGTTCCCTGTATTTGAGCGGAGTACTGCACTATCCATAAACACCCTCTGAATTTTCTACAGTAATGGAAAAAAATCTTTGAAAAAAATAAAAGAAGGTTCTATGTTTGAGAATATGGCTATATGAAAGGGGTTTCAAGAAATATCCAGTTCTTCCCAAGACGATGTACTTCCAGTGACCAGTTTTAAGAAGTGGAACAGGCCAGGCGCGGTGGCTCATGCCTGTAATCCCAGCACTTTGGGAGTCCGAGGCGGGCAGATCACGAGGTCAGGAGATCGAGACCATCCTGGCTAACACGGTGAAACCCCGTCTCTACTAAAAATACAAAAAATTAGCCGGGCGTGGTGGCGGGCGCCTGTAGTCCCAGCTACTCGGGAGGCTGAGGCAGGAGAATGGCGTGAACCTGGGAGGCAGAGCTTGCAGTGAGCCGAGATCACCTCACTGCACTCCAGCCTAGGTGACAGAATGAGACTCTGTCTCAAAAAAAAAAAAAAACAAAAAAAGTGGATCGAATATTTCCTAACGAGGTCCTTCAAGTAATAATAAGTGATTAAACTTTTTGATAATGATAATATCAATTGGACATGATAAAAATACTATTAATAAATCTTTTGATTTAAAAACTAACCTTGTACCCACTTCTTTTGTAGGCGTGGGGGGAGCTTAGAGTTAAGTATTCCAGTATCCGTTAGGGATTTGGCAGTATACATCAATAACAAATAGTAGAAGGAAAATAATTATACCTGTGTCATATATATATATATATATATATATATATATATACACACACATAGAGAGAGAGAGAGAGAGAGAAACCATCTCTTAAATTACCTGTAGCACCACTATGTTATTCTTTACTCTCCCAATACCCCAAGTAGATTGCACATGTGACTCTTTTATTAATGTGTTGAATATTCATAATGATAATGAATAATATGAATAAATAAATTGATAAGTGCGTAACTATGAATTAGGCATTGCTTTACTCTTATCTGGAGATTTCAATTCATGATAAACATCTTTTAGTGACCATGAATAAGAAACTCATAGACCTGCATTAGAGAAATGCAAATCTAAACCACAATGAGATACCATCTCACTCCAGTTAGAATGGCAGTCCTTAAAAAGTCAGGAAACAACAGATGCTGGAGAGGTTGTGGAAAAACAGGAATGCTTTTACACTATTGGTGGGAGTGTAATTTACTTCAACCATTGTGGAAGACAGTGTGTGAATTCCTCAAGGATCTAGAACTAGAAATACCATTTGACCCAGCAATCCCATTACTGGGCATATACTCAAAAGATTATAAATCATTCTACGATAAAGACACATGCACACGTATGTTTATTGTGGCACTATTCACAATAGCAAAGACTTGGAACCAACCCAAATGTCCATCAGTGATAGACTGGATTAAGAAAATGTGGCACATATACACCATGGAATACTATGCAGCCATAAAAAAGGACATGAGTTCATGTCCTTTGCAGGGACATGCATGAAGCTGGAAGCCATCATTCTCAGCAAACTATCACAAGATCAGAGAACCAAACGCCGCATGTTCTCACTCATAAGCAGGAGTTGAACAATGAGAACACATGGACACAGGGAGGGGATCATCACACACTGGGGCCTGTGGGGTGTGGGGGTGTAGGGGAGGGATAACATTAGGAGAAATACCTAATGTAGGTGATGGGTTGATGGGTGCAGCAAACCACCATGGCATGTGTATACCTATGAAACAAAACTGCAAGTTCCGCACATGTAACCCAGAGCTTAAAGTATAATTTAAATAAATAAATAATAAATAAATAAATAAACTCATAGACCTCAAAGTATGGGAAGCCTAACTGCCTACGGCCACTTGCTGCTTCACTCTAAAATCTGTTTCTGCATCTGCCCCTCAGTCAATGACTGAGGCCCACAGGGTGGCTAATGCAGATCCCTCTTTAGGAGACACAGGGCTTCTCTGAGGACCAGTCTTGGCTCAGGATTCCCTGAAGCCTTTTCTCACCCTTCCTTAGACTGTACATTACGCTCCAGTGCTTCCACTCAACCTTCCTTTCCTCTTTCCTTCATTCTAGGTCAGACTTGCCTCATAGCTGAGACCTCTTCCAGGCTTACTCAGCTTCCTCTCCATTTTCTCTCACAGGGATTTCCCTTAATAAAATCCTCTTGTGTTTAACTCGTTTTCAACATCTACCTCTTGGAGGACCTGGACTAACCCACCACATAATGTTTGTATTATAATTACTTCCATTCTACAGGTTGAGAATCTGGGATCTGGAGAAGTTAAGCAACTTAAGTTACTCAAGTAAGGCCACACAACGTATATAAAGTGTGCTGCAAGGAGTTAAACCCAGGGAACGCACACTCCAAAACAGAACCATCAACAAGTACCAATCCTGAAACCAACTAATAAAAGGTAAAGATACAATTAGCTTGGTGCAAAATGTTATTTTTCTCTCTAATTACATTTTCTAAGGTTTCACTGTTTGTGATTAAGAAGGGATGAATGATTTTCATCAAAACTCTGCTCAACAAGCCGGGTGTCGTGGCATGCACCTGTAGTCCCAGCTACTGAGGAAGCAGAGGCAGGGGGATCACGTGAGCCCAGGAGGTTAAGGCTGCAGTGAGCTGTGATTACATCTCGTTGACCACGTGACCCTGAGTGTAACTCATAGACCTCAAGCCTGGGCAACAGAGCAAGACTCTGCCTTAAAAAGTAAAACTAAGCAAAACAAAACAATCCTGAACAAATGGTTGCACATAACCAGCTAAACAGTAATATAACAGTTGTTGGCAGGGTGAGAAGAAACTAGCAGACTGTAGGTTTGTCATACTGTTTTTTTGTTTCTCCAGAAACACAGATATAATATAGGCAATGAAAGCTGAGACTCATCTCTTAATTTCAGTTAAGCTATTAATTGATTTACATCATTTACTTACAGGTCAGAAAAGTTCCTTTCAAAAGGCAGGAATGTTGTTTCATGTTAATCTAAGGACTTGCTTACCTTTTGTTTCTGTTCTTAATGATCACAGTTACTAATACAGTTAAATAATATTTAGATAAAATACATTACAATTATAGCTGATCAAAAATCTCATTCCAAGCTGTTATATTGTTGACTATCTCATGATCACTCTTCTTATGAATCATGTAAATAGGGAAAAATACTGCAAAGTAGACCCACGTTACTTCAAATGAAATATGATTTAATAAAATCAGTTATTCTTTGCCAATTTTGTAATGTTCAAAATAACCACAATTGAAATAGTGATACATACACATCAGAACAGTTCAAATGAAAAAGAGAAATGATACCAAGTGTTGGCAAAGATGCGGAGCAACTAGAACTCTCTCCCATTGTGGATGGAAATGTAAACTGATGGACACCACCATTTTCCATGTATGCTAAATCTGACCATATTCTATGACCCTGAGCATATACCCAGCAATATTTACCAAAAGACAAATACATGAATGCTCAGAGAGGCACCATTCAAAATAACCACAAATTGAACTTATATTTGTATAATGATATAGTATATAGCAATGAGAACCTAACAAATTACAACTATATGCAAAAAGATTAACAAATCTTATAAACTAAATATTGAATGAAAGAAGCAAGATACAGAACATATTCTACGATCTAATTCACTAAAAATTGTAAAACTCATCAGTTATGTTCCAAATCACCATAAGAGCGATCCTATGAAATAGTGTCTAGAAGAAGTAATAATATAAAATTTCCTGACTTGAGTACTGGATACACAGAAGGGCTAAGTTTGTTTAAAAACAAAAGAAGTATTGAGCTGTACAGTTAAGATTTGGGTATTTTACTGTTTGTATGTATTTTCAGCGTTAGAAAATTATGTTAAAAAGTCTTTATGCTCTTTTTCTTAATATATTTACAATAGACAAATTTTCATTAAGCCACAGTATAAATAAAAAAGACCCACACAGGTATTTTTAACATGGATGAAGTGGTTCTGTCATCATTAAATGAGTACTTTAGGATGCAAGTCTGATATAAAAACTTACTTCCCTGAAGACTTTAATTTTGCATGCAAAATACACGGTTTCTAAATTAAATTTTTTTGTAACAAAGCGTTTTTGAGTTCCCCTCATGGAATTTTAATAAATCATTAATTTCTTCTTTTTCTCTTTCATGCACAAGCAGTGGATAAACATTTCAAAGATCCCTACAGAAGTTTCTTCCCTTGAAATACTGTTCACATGACAATGAGAAGGATGGAATAAAACACAAAAAAGGTAAGCAATTTTTTTTTTTTGAGGCGGAGTCTTGCTCTGTCGCCCAGGCTGGAGTGCAGTGGCGCGATCTCTGCTCACTGCAAGCTCCGCCTCCCGGGTTCCCGTCATTCTCCTGCCTCAGCCTTCGAAGTAGCTGGGACTACAGGCGTCCGCCACCGTGCCCAGCTAATTTTTTGTATTTTTAGTGGAGACGGGGTTTCACCGTGTTAGCCAGGATGGTCTCCATCTCCTGACCTTGTGATCTGCCCGCCTCCGTCTCCCAAAGTGCTGGGATTACAGGCTTGAGCCACTGCGCCCGGCCAACAGGCAAATTTTTCGTTGGGGAAGTAGTAGACCAACCATCTGTGCTTATTTCTTCTAAACAGAGCTGGGAATGAGTGACAGCAGTTGAACAGGAACACTTGCTCCCCAAGCACTACTTGTTTTTCATGAAGAAGGAAAAAAGGCAAAAGCCCTGCTACATTTACATTCGCAAAATTGTTTTCAAATGAGGATTAACAAGATGTTAGTTCCCTCTCTGTTGAACACATAAAATATTAAAAGGCAGTGCTAATACATCTATATACAGCACATCAGGAGGAAGGAGGAAGTCATTTCTCCTGACTTTACCAACTTGTCTTATTTGAAACTGATACCGTGCCCTATTGGCTGATAGGAGTTTCACTTTATTTAGAATACAATAGAATTTGGCTCAGATTCACACCAAAAGTATAGTATTTTGATGTGCACTTACACGATTTCAGGGGAAAACAATATCTGGAATGTGACCCTGGAATTCATTACAAGTCAGTTAAAGGGATCTCTCTTAGAATTTTTTCATAATTGGACTGGGACAGGATGTAAGAATAAATCATTAACAGTAGATGAGGAAAACACTTGACGAGAGCTTTCTCGTCTTACCATTACTGCTCTTTCTATCAGAGGTTAAAGACAGAATGGGGACCATGTTGTGGTTGTTATTCTTGTTGTTTGATTGGTTTGTTTATTATGTTCTTGCAGGACTTGGTTATGTGGCTGGATATGAAAATTCTTTCCATTTCCAGAGTCATAAATCTCCTAATTTCTAGGAGATTAAATACTGGTTTTATCTTTGGCTCCAGTAAAAATGTTGCTATCTTGGATTAAAAGAAGGTTGGGAAATACGTTGTGTCTATTCACCAGTGAATGGGAACCCCTTCTACAACAACAAATTTTCCATTCAAACCATTTCTAGGCCTCCCTTCCTGGTTCTGATAGCAAATGTGAAAGCAAGTACTAGAGATTTGGGTTTTGTAAGTTTCCTCAAATACTTGGGAAATACTGGATTCCGTTGCCAAGTGTTGCCTTTTGTACATTCAGCTTCTACACAGCACGTTTTCTCTATGTTGAAAGTCCTAATCCTTGAAATCTCAGAATGGAAAAGAGTTATATGACTAATTTTATGTGCCAGGATTATGGGAATAAACTTTCATGGAAGATAGGAAGCTTACAGGGCATTTAGAGAAAGGAGACATCTGTAGAATCAATTCAGAATGATTAAGCCCCTTGTGATCTCACTATCTCACTTCAATTGTTAAGCCACAAAACTCTTTTTAAGTTAATCTCTAACATTTATTTGGCTTTATAATTACATATAAATAATGTCTAAATTTGACACCTATGTTTCCAAACTTAATAATGAAGTCAAAATAAACAGAATTAAGGAGAGCTTATTACGATCTTTATTGTTATTTATATATAACAAATTTCCTATTGAGAATATAATATTTTATGATATCTTATGGATGTCATTAACATTGCTTTAATAAAGGTATTATCATGCTTTGTACAGCAACCAACACGAAAATGTTACTATACCACTGCAATAGATAGAATAAAAACATGTTCA
The DNA here is from genome assembly GCF_000001405.40 of Homo sapiens. Taxonomy (NCBI): domain Eukaryota; kingdom Metazoa; phylum Chordata; class Mammalia; order Primates; family Hominidae; genus Homo; species Homo sapiens. The sequence continues at coordinate 644,549 of NW_011332701.1, forward strand.
GAAAGACTTAGAAACTCATTAAAGAATGGACGTTAATCACTTTTCACCCTAACTCCTCATTTGGCAAGGCATGAATCTATGCATTCCAGTTTAGACAGGTGGCAAGTAAGTAGTCTCATTGCATTTCATAAAATAAGCAGCTGCGTGAATTTGAAAGATACTATTTCCACATGAAAAGCTAATGACTGCACATGTAAAATCAGTAGTGTTTAGGAAGCTGTCATTTAAAAAACAACAAACTACCTAATTAAAAAGTAGCACAAATGAACTTTTGCCTACGTAAAAAATAGAACATTGCTTAGCCTTTTCTTAAACCCCTCCCCAATTCTTACCAAGAAAGGATAAATACCTTTATTATAGTCAAAGCTCTGTTTTTATGGTTTTTGAATTTTTTAATCTAAAATTCAAAGCAAATAATCAATCTTTAATTTATATTTATCCCAATTTGATTCGAAGTGACGGTCCAAAAGTAAAATGATCAATTATAACTATAATCAATCACAAATAATGCTATGTGAGTTTGAAATGTTAATCTAAGTTGCCTTTTCCAGGTATGCATTTTAAAATTAAACTCTTCTCAGTAAGATCAAGGCTATCCTTCATGGATTTATGATGTTTGATAATCACCACGTTGTACTGATTTGCTGTCTCACTTCACTGTTTGATATCAACATATGAAAGTAAAAATGCTATTTAGGGGATAACTATTATCTGAGCACTAATAAATTAAATGCTATTTTAAGCCAACAACAAAATTGTTTAGGGTACAATTTTTATTTAACCAACTGTCCATTATAAACATTATAAAATTCTGAAAGATCCTAGAATCTTATATAGCTTTTTTGTATTTTTTCAAATGTAATTGACACCAGCATGAATTAAATTTCATATTTAAAAAGCTTCAGACTACATTACAACATACTTTAAAATTACTTGCAAGATATGATAATTCTAAGATTACCCACATATCATGCAACTGAAACAGCCAGGTACTTCCTACCAACACATGATACAATAAAATCCAGAAGAACTTCTGAATTAGAGTGTAGTAGTTGCCTAGGGCCATCATACCTAATTATCACACACTTGGTGGGTTAAGAGGACAGAAATATATTCTCTCATAGTTCTGAAGCCTGGACCTCTGAAATCAAGATGTTGGCGGGGCCACACTCCCCCTGAAGACCCTAGGGAAGAATTCTCCCTCGCTTCTTCCTGGCTTCCAGTGGCTCCTGGCAATCCTTGACCTTCTTTGATTTATGACTGCATAACTCCAATTTCTGTCTCCATCTTCACATGACCTTGTGTGTGTCTTTTCCTGTATGTTATAAGGACATTTACACTGGATTTAGGGCCCACCTTCACCCAGGATGACCTCATCTCAATCACTGGGTTAATTATATCTGCAAAGACCCTACTTCCAAATAAAATCACATTCTAAAGTTCCTAATGGACATAAATTTTGGAGGTACGGTATTTAAATCACTACACAGAACATGTAAAGACAAAAATCTGGAAGCTACCTGAATGAAAATGGATATTCCCTTGAACTTCGACAAAATCATATTCTATTTTTCCATGAGAAACATTTTATTACTCTAAAACAATATTCATATTTCACAAGTACACCTCTTAAATTATAGCTTGGACTTAAGAAAAATAATTAGCTTTGGAAATTATCAGTACATGATATCTAGTATTTCCTATATTTTTAAGAACTTCTACCTCCTAGCAAAAATAAACAATGCAATGGATAATTTCTGTGTTCTAAATTCACACACACAAACAGGAAAGGGACTTTAAAAATGATGTGTTCTCTTTTAAAGCAGAAGCCCAACCACCTGCTCTGAATCTAAAAGTTTCCTGAAAGCAATGAAGGGCTAGTTTATTATGAAGGTGTTGATAGCTGATTCTGTGGAGACTCACACAGAAACAAAGAATAAATTTTAATCACACTTAATGCTAATGTGGTAGTAAGGTTGTGACAATATTCAAATATGACTAATTTCATTGAATTAACTACACTCGGGCTTAGCTTAGTTGTCCAAATTTATTACAAATAGCTCAAACTAAATAACTCAACTCTTCTGTTTTCTATTTATTTTTTGTTGATGCTTAAGAGTAAAAAGATATTTCAACTGAATTTTTTTTTTTTTTTTTTAGCAATCAGTTCTCTTGTTTTATCACCATAAGACTGTAAACGGCCGTAACAGGTCACTGAATCTAGCACTGCCTTCAACAAGAAATGCACCTAGAGCAGGAATATAGTACTTGGCACTCATCTCTAGACCTATAACCTAACAGATTTTTTTTTTGTCTGTCTTTGGTGAAAGTAACGTAAATTTAGAGCTGGAAAGGACCTTAGAGGTCATCTAGTCCCACCCAAGCATCTTTGAAAACAAAATAAAGAAGTGTGTTGGCCTGATGCGGTGGCTCACGCCTGTAATCCCAGCACTTTGGGAGGCCAAGGCGGGCAGATCACAAGGTCAGGAGATCGAGACCATCCTGCCTAACATGGTGAAACCCCGTCTCTACTAAAAATACAAAAAATTAGCCGGACATGGTGGCAGGTGCCTGTAGTCCCAGCTACTCGCGAGGCTGAGGCCGGAGAATGGAGTGAACCCAGGAGGCAGAGCTTGCAGTGAGCCGAGATCGTGCCACTGCACTCCAGTCTGGGCAATAGAGTGAGACTCCGTCTTAAAAAAAAAAAAAAAAAGAAGCATGTTTATTTCATCATTTTGTACTTATACACTGTGTATTTCCAGAAAAGCCCCTGAGACAGCTTAGAATGAAAGGCACAGACACTATAAAACAAGGGCAAAATGACAGAATAATGAAGAGAAAGAGGTGACAATTACATGGGACAACCTAGGGAAGGAAACACTACCCTTCAGCCTAAAATTTAGTCCTAAGCCCCTTGTTCTTAAAGGCCAAAAGGAAAACCAGAATTCAAATAGGTATTGTTAGTTAATAAAATAGTATCTGGATATATCAGCAACTATTTTTTGGTAACTCTAAACTCAAGCAAAATATATGTCTTCAAGCAACAGACAATGGACAATATAATAAAAATAATCTTCCATAGCAATTTCCAAACTTTTAAAGATGTAAGAACAAATGATCTTTTCTTACAGGATGCTTAGTTGAAAGCTGCCCGCATGATGGTATTTTAAACTACATGATGTTAAATTCCCTGCATGATGGTATTTTATTGGGACCTGGTTATATGATTTGGTGAAGAATGTAACCTTTGAGAACTTAGAAGAGTGAATGGTTAATATTTCTCTGAATTTTTTTGTTTTTAATTGATATTTTATTTTATCCCTCATAGACAATATATGCCTGGGAAATACACTGAAGTATAGTAAAAAAGAATCTAAGGGTTAAAGTGTTGAGGTAAATGAGAAAGCAGAGGTTGTGTCTGAAGAACCGTGTGGTCGCACTGCACCACACAGCAAACAGAAATATGGGTGAGCACAGGCCGGGCGCGGTGGCTCAGGCCTGTAATCCCAGTACTTTGGGAGGCCGAGGAGGGCGGATCACGAGGTCAGGAGATCGAGACCATCCTGGCTAACACGGTGAAACCCCGTCTCTACTAAAAATACAAAAAATTAGCCGGGCCTGGTGGTGGGCGCCTATAGTCCCAGCTACTTGGGAGGCTGAGGCAGGAGAATGGCGTGAACCCGGGAGGCGGAGCTTGCAGTGAGCCGAGATCGGGCCACACCACTCCAGCCTGGGGGACAGTGAGACTCCGTCTAAAAAAAAAAAAAAAAGAAGTTCACCCTATGCAGGCACTATAACTACGAGTCCCTCCCATCTGAGCCTTGCCTTCCAGACAACCCCACCAATACATAAGACAGAAAAAAAGCACCTTGCACCTTCCAGACTGACTTGTTTGCCAGCCGCATAGCACTGAGTCACCCTAGTTAATGATATGAGAGAGGAAGAATCACTCAGACGAATCCTGCTGGAATTTCTCACCTATAGGATCCATGAGATACAATGAAGTGGTCGTTGTTTTACCTTATTAAATTTGGGGTAGTTTCTTTTTTCTTTTTTTTTTTTCTTTTTTCTTTTTTTTTTTTGAGACGGAGTCTCACTCTGTGGCCCAAGCTGGAGTGCAGTGGCGCAATCTCGGCTCACTGCAAGCTCCGCCTCCCGGGTTCACACCATTCTCCTGCCTCAGCCTCCCGAGTAGCTGGGACTACAGTCACCCACCACCACGCCAGGCTAACTTTTGTATTTTTAGTAGAGACGGGGTTTCACCGTGTTAGGCAGGATGGTCTCGATCTCCTGAACTCGTGATCCGCCCGTCTCAGCCTCCCAAACTGCTGGGATTACAGGCGTGAGCCACGGCGCCCGGGCCATTTGGGGTAGTTTCTTAAGCAGCAATAGTAACTGTAACACTGACTCACTTCTACTGCCACCAATCACTATCCTCCTTTCCTGATTTACTTCCTCGTATGTACCATCTTTTAAAAAACAAATAATTAGGCCGGGTGCAGTGGCTCACGCCTGTAATCCCAGCACTTTGGGAGGCTGAGGTGGGCGGATCACGAGGTCAGGAGATCGAGACCATCCTAGCTAATATGGTGAAACCCCGTCTCCGCTAAAAATACAAAAAATTAGCCAGGCGTGGTGACCGGGGCCTGCAGTCCCAGCTACTCGGGAGGCTGAGGCAAGAAAATGGCGTGAACCCGGGAGGCGGAGCTTGCAGTGAGCTGAGATCGCGCCACTGCACTCCAGCCTGGGCGACAGAGGGAGAGTCTGCCTCAAAATAATAATAATAATAATAATTAGTGAAAACTTCAATAACTTTTGCACCGGCCTAATAGTTGTAAAGAAACTATAAGCAAGTTCACAAAAGTTAAAACAAAAAATCAGCTATGAGAAACAAATATGAATTATACCACTAACTGCTGAAAAGAAAGACTCTAAGACTGAAATTACCAAAAAAAAAAAAACCCTCAGCTGAAAACAAAACAAATAATCAAACTCTATTACTCTACTCTATTTCCATGAAGTGTACAAACTGTTCCTGTAAGTTTAACGATATTAAAATGTACAAAGATTAATAAAGTAAAAATCAAAGACTATTTATAACATCATCGATTTCACATAAAGTAGAATTTTAAAGGAAAAGGTATCACATGGAAAACAATAAAATATTTAATATTACAAAGCAAAACACTAAATGAACGTCACATTTAATTGTGAAATCATTAGCATGTTTCTCCGTTATGACTTATTAAAGGATAAAATTTGAGCATTATAATGTATAAGATTTTTGGCCGGGCGCAGGGGCTCACGCCTGTAGTCCCAGCACGTTGAGAGGCTGAGGCGGGCGGATCACGAGGTCAGCAAATCCAGACCATCCTGGCTAACACGGTGAAACCGTGTCTCTACTAAAAAAATACAAAAAAATTAGCCAGGCGTGGTGGCGGGCACCTGTAGTCCCAGCTACTTGGGAGGCTGAGGAATGGCGTGAACCTGGGAGGCGGAGCTTGCAGTGAGCCCAGATTGCGGCACTGCACTCCAGCCTGGGCAAGAGAGTGAGACTCCCAATCCAAAAAAAAAAAAAAGAAAAGAAAAGAAAAGAAAAACCGACTTTCATTAAAGCCTCCTGCAGAAATTTGCATAAGTAACAAGGAGCCAAATGTAATCACCAAGACAATGGGGAAAATGTCTCCAGAACATTAAAGACCTTAACACCTTCACGGCAGCTCTTTCCATCACAGGCTCAAAAGCCTAGTATGGAAAAATGATTTCCTGGAGCAGGTCCAGGTCCCCCTGCTGTGTGCAGCCTAGAGACTTGGTGCCCGGCATTCCAGCCACTCCAGCCATGGCTGGGGTGGGAGACACCAGGCTACAGCTCAGGCCATGTCTTCAGAGGTTGCAGCCCCAAGCCTTGGCAGCTTCCACAAGATGTTGAGCCTGCAGGCGCACAGAAGTCAAGAATTGAGGTTTGGGACCCTCCACCTAGATTTCAGAGAATGTATGGAAACACTTGGATGTTCAGGCAGAAGTTTGCTCTGGTGGGGTGCGGGGGCAGGAGCAGGGGCTCATGAAGAACCTCTTCCAGGGTAGTAGAGAATTGAAATGTGGGCTCTGTCTCCCATACAGAGTCCCTACTGGGGCAATGCCTAGTGGAGCTATGAGAAGAGGGCCGCTGCCCTCCAAACCCCCAATTGGTAGATCCACAAACAGTTTACACTGTGTACCTGGAAAAGCCACAGACAATGCCAGCCAGTGAAAGCAGCCAGGAGGGAGGCTGTACCCTGCAAAGCCACAGAGGCAGAGCTGCCCAAGGCCATGGGAGACCACCACTTGCGTCAGTGTGACCTGCATGTGAGACACGGAGTCAAAGGAGATCATTTTGGAACTTTAACGTTTAATGACTGCCCTATTGGATTTCAGACTTGCATGGAACCTGTAGCCCCTTTGTTTTGACCAATGTCTCCCATTTGGAACAGGTGTAAATACACTGGGGGTACCCAATGCCTGTACCCCCATTGTATGTAGGAAGTAACTAACTTGCTTTTAGTTTTACAGGCTCATAGGTGGAAGGGACTTGTCTCAGATGAGACCTTGGACTGTGGACTTTTCAGTTAATGTTGAAACGAGTTAAAACTTTGGGGGACTGTTGGGAAGGCATGATTGATTTTGAAATGTGAGAACATGAGATTCAGGAGGCGCCAGGGGAAGAATGATATGGTTTGGCTATGTCCCTACCCAAATCTCATCTTGAATTGTAGCTCCCATAATCCCCATATGTCATGAAAGGGACCCAGTGGGAGGTAACTGAATCATGGGGATGGGTTTCTCCCTGTGTTGTTCTTGTGAAACCGAATAAGTCTCACAAGTTCTGATGGTTTTATAAAGGGGAGTTCCCCTGCACATGCTCTCTCTCTTGCCTGCCACCATGTAAGACATGTCTTTGCTCCTCCTTTGCCTTCTGCCATGATTGTGAGGCTTCCCCAGCCACGTGGAACTGAGTCCATTAAACCTTTTTTTCTTTATAAATTACCCAGTCTCAGGTATTTCTTCATAGCAGTATGAAAGTGGACTAACACAGTATCAAACCCTGGTTTGGGGTAATAATCACTACCTTCTAGGTAACCAGAATGGAAAAAAATAACAGAAAAAAAATCTTAAAAATCATCCTGCGTACAAGAAAAATGAAACTGTATGCTGAATTCTCAGGGGGAGAAAACGTATTTAAAAATATATGACTTTCAAACCACAAGAAACTATAGAACATTGCTTTAAACTATTTGTCTATGAACAGTATGTAGAAACACATGGAATTTAGGAAATAGGAGATGAAGGCTACAATAACAAAAGAGGCTCATATCACAAAATGGGAGATAGCTGAGATGAGGCTTCTATGAAAACTAAAGTGCAAGGGCAGATTTTCCATCCACAGGGAAATCCGTGGAGAAAGAAACTGACACACTGAAAAGTTCAAGCAGCAATTGAATCAGAGCTCTGGAGGGCAAAAGAAGAGATGAACTAATGACAGAGAAGAAGGCGGATGGGTATGCCAGAGACCACAGGTTCCACCTCGAGAATAGTTTGTGTACTGGGGAAAGACACAAGGGCAAGGAGATCTGAAACAATAATCAAAGCTATCACTGAAGTACGAATAATAAAAGCACCAACCAGCTTCTAGGCAGGGAGGGGGAAGAAACAAGGAAGAGTTCTCCATATTTAAATAACAACTAGCCAAACTCCTGAATTTTACAAATAAAGAAAAAAACTTCCTTAAAAATAAAAAGTCAGGCTTAGATAAGACTTTTTTTCTTCTCTGTTAACATTATTAGAAGACATAAAGATTTTAAGAGAATAAAAATATGATCAAGAGGATCATAAATATCAGGTTGTCTTTACCTGAGTACGAAGCAATGGCATCTGTATATCCAGCACTGATTTGTCCTTCCAATAAAAATTTACTCAAAGACATATGGGTACATATTAGAAAAATAATCAAAATTAATATTTCAAGGATTAGGAAGTTGTGAAGCCAAAATCCTGCAAGGGGACAATTGATTCAGTTAATGGAAAGATTTATTTTTCATATTTTATGATTATTTACCAAAATAATATTTTTAAAGTATAATTATAAAATAAAAATAAAATATTTAACAATACTATAATTATAATCATGTTCCAAGTTATAAAACAAGATAGTGAGAATTGTCAGTAAGATAGTAAGAATTCTAATACTATCTCAAAATAAAGGATACAGAAGGTTTCAGGGCAAGAGAAAGGGAAAACCTTCTATATCCTTTAGTTTGAGATAGTATTAAAGCTTTCTGTAGGCTCACTCAAAATGTCCGGATTCTGACCACATTTGAATATGAGCACTCCCAACCTGACGATTCCTAGTCTAAGCCACACATATTTCCTCTTATGGTTATTGCAAAAGCTCCCTAACTGGTCTCCCAGCTTCTGCCGTTGATTCCTTTCAGCTATTTTTTACACAAGTGCCAGAGAAATCTCAGAAATGCAATTCAGATGATATCACTTCTTTGCTTATATCTTTCAATGTTGTTCCCCTCTACGTGTTCATGTATTCTCCCCTTTGACTCTCGCTTCTAAGTGGGAACATTTGGTTTTCTGTTCCTGCATTAGTTGGCTAAGGATAATGGCTTCCAGCTCCATCCATGTTCCTACAAAGGGCGTGATCTCATCTTTTATGGTGGCATAATATGCCATGGTGTATATATACCACATTTTCTTTATCCAGTCTACCATTGATGGGCATTTATGTTGATTCCATGCCTTTGCTACTGTGAATAGCGCTGCAATAAACATATGCATGCATGTGTCTTTATGACAGAACAATTTATATTCCTTTGGGTGTATACCCAGTAATAGGATTGCCGGGTCGAATGGTAGTTCTTTTAGGTGTTTGAGGAATCACCACACTGTCTTCCACAATGGCTGAACTAATTTACACTCCCACCAACAGTGTAGAAATGTTGCCTTTTCTCCACAATATTGCCAGCATGTTATTTTTTAGCTTTTTAATAATAACCATTCTGAATGGTGTGAGATAGTATCTCATTGTACTTCTGATGTGCATTTCTTTAATGATCAGTGATGCTGAGCTTTTTTTCTACGTTTGTTGGCTGCACGTATGTCTTATTTTGAAAAGGAGGGTGAAAGCTGGGAGGAGGGAGAGGATCAGGAAAAACAACTAGTGGGTAGCAGGTTTACCATGTGGGTAACAGAATAATCCGTACAACAAACCCCCATGACACAACTTTACCTACATAACAAACCTGCACGTGTACCACTGAACTTAAAAGTTAAATTTAAAAAATAAAAAATAAAAAAATCTTTCAATGGTCCCATGTCAGTTTGAGGAACAGCCAAAGTCCTTAAAATGACGTACAAGGTGCTCGTTCCATCATCCGTCTTCTCATGTTTATTTCTCTGCCACCATCTACTAATACTCTTCCCCCTTCTCATTCTACTCCAGCTATAATGGCTTCCTCGATGCTGTTCTAAGAATAAGTCCACATGATTCCGACTCAGGGCTTTTGCCCAAGCTGTGGTCTCTCTTTGGAATGCTCTTGTTTCAGCAGAGCACGATTCCTCCTCATTTCCTTCAAGTCTGTCCCCAAATGCCTTCTACCTGGTGTGTAATTGTCATGTGTGGCAGTTTTAAACATAGTCCAAAAACAGGTTGATATTCTTCTCATCAAAAAATAGGTCTATGTCTCCCTTCCCTAAATCTGGACGTGCTTGTGACTGCTACAATCAATAGAGTATGACAAATAATTCTACCTGACCTTTAAAGTGAGATAAAAAGAGACCAGGCATTTTCCACCTGGTTCCCTTGGAGTGTTTGATCTGCGGAAAGCCAGCAGCCATATAAGAAGTTTACCCTGTGCAGGCCGGGCGCGGTGGCTCAGGCCTGTAATCCCAGCACTTTGGGAGGCCAAGGCGGGTGGATCACGAGGTCAGGAGATCGAGACCATCCTGGCTAACACGGTGAAACCCAGTCTCTACTAAAAATACAAAAAATTAGCCGGGCCTGGTGGTGGGCGCCTGTAGTCCCAGCTACTCGGGAGGCTGAGGCAGGAGAATGGCGTGAACCCGGGAGGCGGAGTTTGCAGTTAGCCGAGATCGGGTCACACCACTCCAGCCTGGGGGACAGTGAGACTCCGTCTCAAAAAAAAAAGAAAAAAAAAAAAGTTTACCCTGTGCAGGCACTATAACTAAGAGTCCTTCCCATCTGAGCCTTGCCTTCCAGACAACTCCATCAATTTATAAGACAGAAAAAAAGCACCTTGCACCTTCCAGACTGACTTGTTTGCCAGCCGACTAGCACTGAGTCACCCTAGTTAATGATGTGAGAGAGGAAGAATCACTCAGATGAATCCTGCTGGAATTTCTCACCTATAGGATCCATGAGATATAATGAAGTGGTCGTTGTTTTACCTTATTAAATTTAGGGTAGTTTCTTTTTTCTTTTTCTTTTTTTAAATTTTTTTTTTTTTGAGACGGAGTCTCCCTCTGTCGCCCAGGCTGGACTGCAGTGGCGCGATCTCGGCTCACAGCAAGCTCCGCCTCCCGGGTTCACGCCATTCTCCTGCCTCAGCCTCCCGAGTAGCTGGGACTTAAGGCGCCCACCACCACCAGGCCAGGCTAACTTTTGTATTTTTAGTAGAGACAGAGTTTCACCGTATTAGGCAGGATGGTCTCGATCTCCTGAACTCATGATCCGCCCGTCTCAGCCTCCCAAACTGCTGGGATTACAGGCGTGAGCCACGGCGCCCAGGCCATTTGGGTTAGTTTCTTAAGCAGCAATAGTAACTGTAACACTGACTCACTTCTACTGCCACCAATCACTATCCACTTTTCCTGATTTACTTCTTCCTATGTACCGTCTTTTAAAAAACAAATAATTAGGCCGGGCTAAGTGGCTCACGCCTGTAATCCCAGCACTTTGGGAGGCTGAGGCGGGCGGATCACGAGGTCAGGAAATCGAGACCATCCTGGCTAACACGGTGAAACTCTGTCTCCACTAAAAATACAAAAAATTAGCTGGGCGTGGTGGTGGGTGCCTGCAGTCCCAGCTACTCGGGAAGCTGAGGCAGGAGAATGGCGTGAACCCAGGAGGCGGAGCTTGCAGTGAGCCCAGATGGCGCCACTGCACTCCAGCCTGGGCGACAGAGCGAGACTCCGTCTCAAAAAAAAATAAAAATAAAAAATAAATAAAAAAAGATTTTTAATATATATATACGAGAATATGTGAAACAGTATTTTTTCAAGTTTCCATTGAAAATTTTAAAAATAGATTATATAAAACCTCAATATATTTTTTAAAATAAAAACCACACAGGTCACATTACCTACTCAAAATTTAATTACATTAGAAATTAAGACAAAGTTAAAACAGGACAACCAGCACCCCTAGTATCACCCTCCTCAGAGTATTTAAAAATAGATTCCTTTAAATTATCTCTTTTTTTACAAGAATAAAATCTAATCAATTATTAGAAAGATAATCTCAAACTGAACTCAAAAGAAGAAGCAAAGCATCTTCAAAGTCAATAAGGGTGCTATAAATGCTTCTTGGACTCTGAAACTCTCTGACTTCCCATTCTACTCTCAGTTGTAGAAAACTCCCTGATTGTGAAGTTTTGGTGTGATTAGGTTAGGTTTACCCAGATACTCCCCCCGTCTTAAGGCTGACGGATTATTAGCCTTAGTGACATGTGCAAGACTCCTTTGCCGTGTGAGGTATCAACAGGGTAACATGAGGAAATGAAGGTCATAGGGGCTATCTTAGACTTCTTCCTGCTACAACCTCTATTCACTTATTTTGAATCCTCAGGGTTTAATGAGCTCCTACTATGTTCTAGGTCCTTGCAATAGGAGTACAGCAGTGAACAAGACAAACATGGTTCTGGTCCTTGGAGTACAAAGTAAATGCTGAAAATTTAATAAATGGGTCAGTAGATAGATAGATGTATAAAGGTCTAAATGCACATTCAGAAAATAGCAGGAGAACACTGAGACTCAGTATTATTGAATATGCTTTAAAGGCCCATGTGTCGTCTTGAATGAAAATGTTGCTCAATTTCTGATGAGGAGACTAATTCATCAATATCTGTTATCATTGACTGATGACCTCACATAATAAAAGATCTTGACTTGAGTGTACGTTAATAATCAACATAATGGGTAATGTATCAAAAGAGTATATGGAACATAATAAAAAGATATAAATTGAAATCTTAAACAGTTTTGTGCTAAAATATGTTTAGAATTGCTTGAACCCAGGAGGCGGAGGTTGCAGTGAGCTGAGATTATGCCACTACACTCCAGCCTGGGCAACAAGATCCAACCTCCGTCTCAAACAAACAAACAAACAAACAAACAGAAACAACCCAAACAAACACAAAAAGTTACTATAATTGTATCTCTTTTGACTATAGCCTGGAAGAAATCACTTTCTCCCCAACTTAAGGAAGGGGAGACTTATCTCTAGCCAAGCTTTGAGTATAAACATATAAAAAGTAATTTTCATTTTCTTGAAACTGACTGCATGAAAAGGCATATGGTGTTCCCAAAAAATGTCTGATGAGTGAGAATATTAAAATGACTAAACTGATGGGACATATTTAATTTAATATTTAAACTTGATAAAAACTAGTTAAGCATTTAACTCAAGAATTTCAAAATGGTACAGCAAAGCATACAAGCAAAATTAAAAGGAATGCTAATTACATATTAAGTTAGAAGGCAATAAATTATAAACAAAAACAGTAACAATTTATAAACATACACAAGTTCATTCTTTAACAAATAACCCATGATACAGAAAAATATAGCAAATGTGATAAAACAAAAACTGAGAAAACATAAAATTTAAAGTGAAAAAAAAACAAAACATGCAGAAATTGTTTTAAAGACAAAAAATACTATCTTAGAAAATTAAATACGTGTTTCACTAAAATAAACATGTACTGCTTAAATGAATCTTAATTTAATTTTAAAAATAGTAAATAGGTTGCAGGCATCAATTTTTGCAAGAAATGTAAAACATTATTTTAAAAATTTTTATTAAAGTCCCTATAACCAGTGTTTTTAATAAGCATCTGTTTAAAACATCTTGTAAAATGGACCCCAAACTAGGAAATATGGATAAAGTTATAAAAAGTGGCTTCCTTTCAGTTCATTTTACAAAGCAAATATAACTATTACTAACTCTTGATGAAGTGAATACAAAAAGAATAAAATTACTAAACAGTATCCCTTATAAACATAGTTAAAATATTCTTAACTGAAAGAAAAAGGAACTGAATTCTACACTTACTAAGAAATCACCCACCCCAGTGATTTGGCATACAAAGATTTAATACTAGAAAATATATATTAATATAATGCAACACAACAATAAAGCTATTTACTTTATATTGTACATTTACTGCTACAGACTAAATGTTTACATCCCTCTCAAATTCATATGTTGAAATGCTAACCGCCAATGTGAGGGTTTTTGAAGGTGGGGCTTTTGGGAACTAATTAAGTCATGAGAGAGCAGCCCTCATTAATGGGTTTAGCACCCTTCTAAAGCAGCCCCCTGAACTCCCTTGCTCCTTCCCCACTGAGGTTATAGAGAAAGGGCAGCCTTCTTTGAACTAGAACAAAAGTTTTTCCCAGACACCAGATTGGCTAGTACCTTGGTCTTAGATTTCCCAGACCCCAGAACTGTGAGAAATTCCTTTCTGTTGTTTATAAGCCACCAAGTCTATGGTATTCTGGTACAGCAGCCCATTTTTGATATTTATTTAATGATATTTAACATGCATGACTGATGAAATTTAACAAAGTAGTTATAGATATGTCCTTACCATGATTAAAAATAACTCTTAAATTGATGCATACTTTTATTATCTAGTTCTAGCCAAAGCCATAAGATGAAAACACAAATAAGAAACCACCTATATGGCACATGTATACCTATATAACAAACCTGCATGTTCCGTGCATGTATCCCAGAACTGAAAATCATATTTTAAAAAAATTTATTTATATAGAAAAAAAGAGAGCAAATGATAATATTTTTCAAAAACTGATAATTTAATTACGGTAAGTTCTGTGTGATATGTGCCTGATGTGTGTGATATGTGTCTGATGTGATATGTGTGAGATGAAAAACACTAAGGGGGTATGTGATTTTGAGCATTCACGTGCCCATAAATCCTTGTTAGAATTAAAATATCACATTAAACCTCTCTCTTTCTTTTAATGTCCATGGTTTCTTTATATGTTTTAGTAAGTGACACAGAGGAAAATACTGAGCGGACACCGTTTCTAAATTGGTAAACTGCCCTGAACTGCCACTTTACTCTTTTCTACAGCAAGTGTGGAAGATTAGAGTTCAGGCAAACATGTCATGTAAGTGGTGAAGATTCCCTTTTTCCACTGGGACAGCAGTAGAACTGAAGGGAAATCAGACAACAGCTACCTCAGCAGGAGAGCCTCAATGATGACACTTTTGCCTCAACAGTGGAAGCTGGTAGTTTCCAAAAATAGAGCTAAAAAGTGAATCAAGTTTTAAAGCACATTGAAAGTCACACGTAAAATTCATTATTACAGAAAAGCTATCAACCAATCACAGTAAATGAGTGAATTTAGAAATTAAATTTTAATATGAAAGGTTCATGTTGTCAAAACTGACTATGTTAGTCCATCTCAATGCTATAAAGGAATACCTGAGACTGGGTAATTTATAAAGAAAAGAGGAGTATTTGGGCTGATGGTCTGCAGGCTGTACAAACAGGCCACCAGTATCTGCTCAGCTTCTGCTGAGGCCCGGGAAGCTGACAATCATGGCTTAAGGCAAAGGGGGAGCTGGCATATTACATGGGGAGAGAGGGAGCAAGGGAGATGCCAGGCTCTTTTAAACAACAAGATCTCTCGTGAATTCATAGAGCAAGAACTCACTCATTACCAGGAGGACAGCACAAAACCATTCATGGGGATCCACCCTTGGGAAACAAACACCTATTACTAGGCCCACCTCCAACACTGGAGGTCGCATTTCAACATGAGATTTGGAGGGGACAAAACATCCAAACCGTATCACTAACGGAAAGTTATTGTTTAAATTTCTGTATTCAGTCCCTTGGCCTTTTTGAGAAATGCCATTCATTTCAGCCATCAAGCAAATTATTATTTGAGACATTTATACCTCTTCATCCTTTAAAAGTTTCAGAAGCATGAATTTAAAAAGTATTCATTGTAAATTTGAGGCTAGTCAAATTGATGTGGCATCTAAGTAGCACGGTGATGGGATGAGGAGACAAAGTCACGAGGGGAGGTAGGAAGAAGCAGAGAGAAAAAGAGAAATAGGAAGAGAGAAAAAGAAATGAGGAGAGAGTATAAGAAAAATAAAGAAGAAAGAGGAAAAGAAAAATGGTTTAAATGAGAGGCAAATGTCATCTGATGTTTTACCATGGGGCCATAGGGTATTTGAAGTTTCAGAAAATTCATAAGTTATTAAAAAATGTGACTCTAGGGTAGTGAGGTTATAACTTGTAAGAAAACAAGAAGTGATTCCTTTTAAGAGAACCTTCTTGGCCGGGTGCTGTGGCTCACGCCTGTAATCCCAGCACTTTGGGAGGCCGAGGCGGGTGGATCACGAGGTCAGGAGATCGAGACCATCCTGGTTAACACAGTGAAACCCCGTCTCTACTAAAGATACAAAAAATTAGCTGGGCGCCGCAGCGGGCACTTGTAGTCCCAGCTGCACGGGAGGCTGAGGCAGGAGAATGGCGTGAACCCGGGAGGCGGAGTTTGCACTGAGCAGAAATCGCGCCGCTGCACTCCAGCCTGGGGAACAATGGGGAACAAAGCAAGACTCCGTCTCAAAAAAAAAAAAAAAAAAAGAAAAGAAAAAGAGGAACTTCTTAAAGATGCGGTTGTCTTTCTTATGCTTCCTTTAGCTCTTTTTTACCTCTCCACTGATACAGATTTTTATACCAAATAGCTGGCATTAGCTAAACCAATGTCTAGGAGAACTGATCCTCACGAAGGAAAATCATAATTTATTATTTTTTTAATTCATGGCATTTATTTGTACAAGAAATATATTTCTATTTAAGAGAAAGTAGAAAACAAAGGAGAACAGAAACAACTTTTTTTTTTTTTTTTTTTTTTTTTTTTTTGAGACAGAATCTCGCTCTGTCGCCCAGGCTGGAGTGCAGTGGCACGATCTCAGCTCACTGCAAGCTCTGCCTCCCGGGTTCACGCCGTTCTCCTGCCTCAGCCTCCAGAGTAGCTGGGACTACAGGCGCCCGCCACCACGTCCGGCTAATTTTTTTGTATTTTTAGTAGAGACGTGGTTTCACTGTGTTAACCAGGATGGTCTTGACCTCCTGACCTCGTGATCCGCCCGCCTCAGCCTCCCAAAGTGCTGGGATTGCAGGCGTGAGCCACAGCGCCCGGCCGAAAAAACTTTTTAAAATTTGTTTGGGGATCTCCCATATTTGCCAAAGTAATCCCACAAAAACAATTAACATTTGACTTTGAAAATTAAGACAAAAAATACAATGATGAATATTTTCTTGTAAAAGCAAAGACAGTAAAAATATTCAGATTTAAAATAAGCCTGAGAAAAAGCATGATTTCCTTGAGCTTACCTAAGTAAACTTATTTACAAGTGACTGTATCAATAATTAGCAAAAGTAAAAGTCATTATGAAATCCTCCAAATCTTTCAAAGTACTATCTTACATTCAAGCATTGAGTTTGCCCATAAAATTATTTAAGCTCAACCTTTTCCTCAATCTCCAAAACTCTGGCGTGTAACTACACAAACACTTCAATAGGGGACAGAATCTCCTTTTATCATTCATTCTACCAAACATCAACTTCATAAGAATTAGAATCAAGTGTAATAAGAATGAACTATATAGAATCATTGATATAAATTTATAGGTGTTCAGACATAACCTTTAGACATATTTGTCAGTGTACATGTAAACAATACTCAATAACTTCTTTAATAGAGTTCTCCAGAGAAACAGAACCAATTGGATGTGGGTATATAACTCAGTTATATATTTCATCAGCTTCCTTTTTATGTAATAGAAACTAACTACAGCTAATGATGAATTTTTTTCATTCATTCATCATTAAAAGGGGAGAGAGAAATCCAGGCTGGGTTTGTGCCATTTTTATTCCCTCACAGTTCTCTTCTTGCTGCATGATTCTTCCTTTCAGATATTAACCAGAAGGAATGGTTAGCCTGACTATAGCTCTAGAGGAGCAACACAGGCTCTGGATAATGAGGATGCACAGGCTTTAATCAGTCCTAGCAGGAGGTCTTGGCTTAGACAACTATGTAGAGTTGATGGTATCCCTATAGGAAAAAAATATATATATATATGTTTTTGTGGTAGCAGGACAGAGTCAGTTTCAGACATTTGTTCAACAACTGTTGGTGTTCAACATATATTAGTATTTTGCACTAGGTACTATGTGCTAAAAGTATAGTAAGGAATAAAAATAGGGAAATAAACAAAAACAAAATAAAGAAACAGAGAAAATTCCTATTACCCTTTAGGAAAAACAACATAAAATAAAGTAACAGAATCTAGAAACAGAGAATAACAAGATAGAAGCCTACTATATACCACCATTATCAACCTGTCAAAATAAACATTGTCAGTAATGAGACAAACTGGAATCATGTACCACCTGATAGGATGCAATGAAAAAAACGCAGCATCAATTCTGTGATATTCTTGCCAAAATGCATTGCCTGACTCTAGTCACAAGGAAACCTCAGAAAACCTAAAGGGAGCCATTCAAAAAAGAAGGAAGGGAAAAGGAAAAAGTAAGGGAAAGAGGAGAGAAGGAAGGGGAGGGGGAAGGGAAGGGGAGAGGGAAGAGAAAAAGGAAGGGGAAAGCGAAGGAGAAAGGAAAGGAGAAAAGGAAGGAGAAGCAAAGCAAAGGAAAAAAAGAAGAAAATATGGGCCAGAAATCTTGGTTAAGTTAGGTCTAAAGATCTATTCTTGATACAAGGACATTAAAAAGACATGACAATGAAAGGCAATGCATGATTCTGAACTTGATCCTTTTGCTATGAAACATTATTGGGACTATTGGTGAATTTTTTTTTTTTTTTTTTGAGACGGGGTCTCGGTCTGTCGCCCAGCCTGGAGTGCAGTGGCGCAGTCTGGGCTCACTGCAAGCCTCGCCTCCTGGGTTCACGCCATTCTCCTGCCTCAGCCTCCCGAGTAGCTGGGACTACAGGCACCCACCACCACGCCCGGCTAATTTTTTCCTTTTTTTTTTTGTATTTTTAGTAGAGACGGGGTTTCACCCTGTTAGCCAGGATGGTCTTGATCGCCTGACCTCGTGACCCATCCGCCTCGGCCTCCCAAAGTGCTGGGATTACAGGCGTGAGCCACCGTGCCCGGCTGACTATTGGTGAAATTTTAATGCGGACTTGATAATTAGATGTAGCAATATATTAATATTAATTTTCTGGTTTTGTTCGTTGTACTGTGCATGTATTGCATTTGGGGGGGCACATATATTACTGTAACAGATTTGTAATATATACAATTATATATATGTATATACATATATAGACACAATTGTGTTTGTAGAAAATATATATGAAAGCAAGGTTTTTCAACTTTGGCACTATCGCTTCTGACATTTGGGCCACATAATTCTTTGTTGGGGGCATTTCCTGTGAATTGCAGGATGTTTAGCGACTTGGTTTGCCTTTAATAACTAAATGACAGTAGCATCCTCCTCACACCTTTCCCCAGGCTAACAACTAAAAATATCTTGAGATATTATCAGATGTTTCCTGGAGGGCAAAACTCCCCCTGGTTGAGAATCAGTCTACTAAAGTATTTGGAGATGACAGAGCATCAGGTTCGTTTCTATATATTATTAAAGTATCTTTCAAAGTTGAAGGTAAAATTAAGACATTTTCGGAAAAATTAAATGGGCCAATTTGTCACCAGCAAATCTGTACTACAAAACATGCTAGCAGAAGTTTTCTGGCCTGAAGGGAAATAACGTCGAATCTAAACTCCAGATTAGAGGAAATGAAAAGCATAGAAATGGTAAGTATATGAGTAACAGGAAATACTTTTTTTTAATCTGCCGATTTTGTTGAAGGGAAACTGACTATTTAAATTTAAAAAGATATCATTTTATTGTGGGGTTTATGATGTGGACAGAAAAACTTATACTAAAAAAAATCACAAAAGACAGAGGGGGAGTAAAGGAAATGTTACCGTCATCAGTTTTTGTTGTTGTTGTTTTGGGTTTTTTTAATAGACTTTATTTTTAGGGCAGTTGTAAGCTCACAGCAAAATTGAAAGAAAGATACAAAGATTTCTCATACATCATTGTGTCCACACAGGCACAGCCTGACCCCTTGCTGTCATTCTCCTCTGGAGTGGCACATTACTTACCGCTGATGAACCTGCACTGGCACATCCTTATCACCAAGGTCCATAGTTATATTAGGGTCCACGCTTGCTGTCATACATTCTATGAGTTTAGGCAAATTCATATACCAGTATAGTATCATGCAGAATAGTTTTCTGCCCTGAAAGTCTTCTGTGCATATGAATAGGATAGGTGGAGCACAGATCACTTTTTAGGAAAATGTTGCCTTGTTTTGATTTGACAAAGTAGGCAACACTATCAATCACTGGAGAGAATGTAAAAATAGAACAGATGTCATCAGTTTTTTACATTATATATGAAGTTGTCAAAAATTACCTCGAAGTAAAATTTAGATTAGTTAAGTATAAATTGATGATTATTGTAATACAAATAACTCAATACAAAAAAGCGTTGCAACTAACTCATCTATGCAATTTAAAATGAATACTTAAAATACAATTAAACAAAAATATGAGAAGAGAAACAAGAGATTGTACAGTTTTTAAAAGTGGCAACACATTTCATTTAACATATTTATGAACTAAATTATTCAATTACAAGGTAGAGACTGTCATATTAGACAAAAGAATGAGACCCAACTAATGTTGTCTACCAGAAACATACATTAAACATAAAGACACAGATAGATGAAAAGTAAACCTACAAGAAAAGATAAACCATATACACAGCAAGCATTAGGAAGCTTGTGTGGCTACATTAGCAAAATGCAATGTAGACTGGAAAAGAGGGTGCATTATAAGAGAAAATGGGGGCATTTCATAATTATGAAAGAACCAATTCATCAGAGGACAATAATATTGCTTATATTATTGTCCTCTGATGAATTGGTTATTATATTATTGTCCTAATATGACATATATGTCCATAATTATGAAATGCCCCCATTTCATAATTATGAAAGGGACACCAACTTAATAATAAAGCCTCATAATTCATGAAGGAAAAAGCAGAATTGAAGGGAGAAATGGATAAATGACAATAATAATTAAAGATTTTAACATCCCTCTGTTCATCACTGATTGAACAGTAAGACAAACCATTCGTATGGCTATAGAACATTTCAACTTCATTATAAATCACCTTGATCTTATTGACATTTATAAAAACTACATTTCAAATGCTGAATATACATTGTTTTCTTGTGTATTGAAAGCACCACCAACATAGGCCAAATGCTGAATCAAAGAGTAAGTTTAAATGAATTTAACTTACTCAAGCTTTAGATTTTATAGAATATATTCTCTGATCACAATAAAATTTAATTTGAAATCGATGACATAAGAGATTCCTAGGAAACCCCCAAATAGTTGTAAATAACATGAAACACTATTTAACTCATAGTTCATAAAAGAAATCAAAAGATAATTTAGAAAAAATATAAAATAAGGAAAACAGTATATTAAATAAACATCTGCACCTAGATGTTTATTGCAGCACTATTCACAATAGGCAAGATATGGAATCAACCTAAGGGTCCAGCAACAGATGATGGTTAAAGAAAATGTGGTATATAGGCCGGGCACGGTGGCTCACGCCTGCAATCCCAGCACTTTGGAAGGCCAAGATGGGTGGATCACTGGAGGTCAGGAGTTCGAGACTAGCCTGGCCAACATGGTGAAACCCCATCTCTACTACAAATATAAAAATTAGCTGGGCATGGTGGCACGTCCCCAGCTACTCGGGAGGCTGAGGTGGAAGATCACTTGAATCCGAGAGGCAGAGGTTACAGTGAGCCAAGATCACACCATTGCACTCCAGAGCAAGACTCCATCTCAAGAAGGGAAAGGAAGGAGAGGAGAGGGGAGAGGAGGGGAAGGGAGGGGACAGGAGGGGAAAAGGAATAGATACACAATGAAGTACTATTCGGCCATAAAAGCAACATGCATAGAAATGGAGTGTATTATGTGAGTGAAATGAGCCAAGAAGAGAAAGTTAAACATTACAGCTTCTCACTCATATGTGGAAGCTAAAATATTTTGATCTTATAGAAGTTAAAACAGAGGATGCTAGAGGCTGGAAAGTATAAGAGGGAGGGAGGGATAGGGAGAGATTTGTTAAAAGATTCAAAATTAAAGCTAGATAGGAGGAATAAGTTCTAATGCTCTATACCATTATGGTATGACAATAGTTAACAATAACATATAGCTTCAAATAGTTAGCAAAGGATATTGAATGTTCCCAAAACAAAGAAATGATAAATGTTTGCAATGATGGATATGCTAATTACCATCACCTCATCAGGGTAATTAAATATATACACTATGAGTATTGAAACATCACTATGTACCCATAAATATGCACAATTATTATGTGCCAATTAAAAAAATAAAATAAAATTATGATAATAAAAGCTTCATATTTGTGGTGTAGAGTTAAATTGAGAGGGTAATTTATTATTTGAAATTCTTCTATTAGAAAAATACGTAGGTTTAAAAGTCAATGAAAAAATAAACAAAACGTAATTTGAAAAAATAAAATAACAGGTAATGAAAGAAATAAATGAAATTGAAAGTAAATAAATTCACAAAGTGAAAAGTTCCTTTGAAAAAATCAGTAAAGTTGTTACATACTAGTAAGACTAAGAAAAAAGGACTGATAAAAGAAGAAATATCATTACAGAACCTCTATATTTAAATGATAATAACTATTATGAACAATTCCATACTCAAGAATTTGGCAGCTTAAAGTTCTGTAAAGAGACAAATTACCAAAGCTTATTTAAGAACAAATTCATAATGTGAATTTTTCTGTATCTATATGTATCCAGATAGTCTAGGTTTTCTAATTTCTGGCCTATGGTTGCTCATAGTAGCCTCTAATGATCCTTACAATTTCAACAAAGAAATTCAGAAGAAATTGAAAAGTTTATTGAAGCAGATAAAAACGGCAACACAACATACCAAAACCTATGGGATACAGCAAAAAGCAGTAGTAAGAGGGAAATTTATACCTATAATTTCCAAGATCAAAAAAGTGAAAAACCTCAAATAAATAACCTGATGATACATCTTTTTTTAAGGTCACTATAAATTTTAATCTATGATATAAAATATTACCTACAGATATAATTGAACATCAGGTATCAGAAAATAAAACATAACAATGAAATGCAATTTTGTAAATACTTCTATGGTACAAGCATTATTTTCCTCAGATTCAACCTTTTAATTGTGTTTTGTTTGCTTTCTGAAAATCACACTTTATAAAGAACACAAGTAGAGCTTGTTAAAATGATTGTCACAGATGTACTGTTTACTAATTCAAAAAATACTACATTCATTCGCTCATATCAATTTTATTCATTAATTATGAAGAAGAAAATATAATATTCCATGCTTGTCATGAAATAGCGGTTTCTTCTTCCAGTCTAATCAGGGAACTAATAAATGCTTAGTTCATGGCAAAACTTCCATTTGATTTACATTGACTTAATTACCTCTTAGGGTCTAGCCTCATCAATGGAGAAAAAGCACTTTTTCTTGAGGCAACAGCACATTAACAGCACTGAATACAAAATATGGCAAATTCAATGGCTGTCAGCATTGCTTTAGGAATTTTGAGACTATAAAAAAACTATAACCATGAATAAAAGAAAAGGGCTTATTAATATCTTCTTTTTGGGAGAGTGATACATTCTGAAGGTTTCTTGTTATTCTGTTGAATAGCAAGGACTTCCAAACTTAAGTGTCTTAAGGCTGAAAATTAGTTACATTCCTCAGATTTTAGCCTTATTAATGAAATTCCAAAAGTATTATAAGATTTAGTATGTCTTGAAATTATAAATTTGTAACAGATATTTTTCAAAATACATGCCTTCAAACAACTTAAATGCAAAAATCATTCGTTCTTAATAATACCTAGCAGTTCATCCCTTGCTTCCCAGAAGTACTCATACAAACATGTGAATTTAAAAAATAGATTTTTCTGTTCAAAAAATAAAGCTTCTGCCCTTTTAAAAACTTGTCAGGCTTTCATTTGCCAAAATGTTGAAAACTGCACATATTCAAACATAGTTCCCGTAGGAACACATATTCCTCAACTCTCACACCTTTGAAGACACAGGAGACGGGCAATATAAATGTTCCCTTCTTTCCAGCTGATGTTAAATAGTTAGGTTTGCTTCATGAGATTATCGGAATAAAGGGTTAGATTTTCATTTTCCATTACTCTATCTAGTAAAATTAGACTTAAAGTAGGTAGAATACTACCAGAGGAATTACACAGTGATTGGCAAACTGGCCTAAAATAATCAGGCTTTTTATTTATACTTCCCTTTTTAAAGTTGTCATTTGACAACAGCTTCCATCTTTAACAGCAGGCAAAAGAAAATGAGGTGCCATGCTATATTAATTAAAATATTCCACAATGAAAGAAAATACAAAACCTGAAAATAACTTCAGTGCTATAGACATTTAAAAAGTTACAATGGTTAAAACTCTGAATAAAAAGATCTTGAGAACAGGTACATTTCAAAGCAATATTTTACACGCTTTGGAAAAAATAGCTATTTTTCAAATAACTTGATATATGGTTTACATATTTCATGCAGTCTCTGAGGTTTTTTTTTTCTACAGTACTGTTTTGCATTAAAGTCTCTCATGTTGTTTACCAGTAATTGTTTCCTTAGGCTGAAATAAAACTTTGCTTGTTCATTAGTTTTCTGTATATCCCATTTGGTTTTGAAAGCAGCTCTTCATGTTTTCCATATTCAGTAATTTTTCCTTGGTCAAGAACAGCAACCATATTAGCATTCTTAATGGTGGAGAGATGATGGGCAATAACTAACGCTGTTCTTCCATCCGTCAGTGGATCTAGAGCTTCTTGAACAAGGTACTCATTTTCAGCATCCAGCGCACTGGTTGCTTCATCTAGGAGAAGAATTTTGGGATTCTTCAGCAGAGCACGGGCAATTGCAATCCGCTGTTTCTGCCCACCTGAGAGGAGAACACCCTTTTCTCCAACCACAGTGTTGAACGCTTGGGGGAAATTCCGGATCAAGACCACTGCATTGGCCACTTCAGCCACTCTCTGGACTTGCTCAGCGGTCACAGAGGAAGGCCATCAGCACCATAAGCAATGTTCTCAGTGATAGAGCAAGAAAACAAAATGGGTTCCTGTCTCACTGTCCCAATCTTGGATCTCAGCCACACTGGGTTTAGCTGACGGATGTCATGGCCATCAAGACTGATGGTTCCAGAAGCAGGGTCGAACAACCTCAGCAGGAGCGAAAGCACTGTTGATTTGCCAGAACCACCTGGGCCAACCAGTGCCGTGACAGATCCTGACGGAATGGAAAGGCTGAAATCCTGAAATATGGGCGCCTCCGGGCAAGCGGGATCGGCAAAATGCACGTTCTTAAACTCCAAAGCACCCTGGAAGCTTTTCTCATTTAAGATAACCCTTCCCCCTCCTTAAAAGGCAGATTGGGCTCTCTCTCCAGGAGCTCCCAGAGGCGCCCCCCGGCACCCAGTCCTTTCATCAGCTCCGAGTAGAAAGAGCTCAGACCTCCAATGCTTATTCCAACCCCGAAAGCATACATAGGAAGGAAGAGAGTTCACCCATGGTCATGTGGGCACTGCCCATCAGCAGCCCCCCTTTGTACAGGACAGAAAGCACAATCAGGTTTCCGGACAGCCTAGTTCTCCAAAGAAGCCAGCCCGAGCGAATGCCTCTTTCCTTGCTGACTACATCACATGGTCCACTTTGCTGGCCTATTTTTCTATTTCAGTCATTTCTTTCCCAAAAGCTCGAACAGTTCTTAACATTTCCAATACGTTCCTCCTGAGTGGCTTGTGCCAGCGAATCCTGGGTGACTTTGGTCAGTTTCCGTAGATATCGTCCATAAATTACATCAATGATTGACACTAGACGCACCACACTCACAACAAAGGTGGCCCGATTAGGTGAGACACAAAACATCATCCTGATGCCTACAGAAGCCCGGGCCCCGGCCCTGAGCCCATCTGAGAGGTTTTCAGTCACTGAGCGCCCCAGGAGTGCAGTGTCCGATGAGAGGCGGTTAATCAATTCCCCTGTGCCAGCCTTGTCAAAGAAAGCAACCTCCTGCCCCAGAATGGAGGAGAATAACGAAGTTCTCAGCCTCTTCACAACGCGCTGACGTGAAGTTTGCATGAGGTAGACACGAATGGCATTGGCGGCAGCACCACATAGAAACACGCCACTGAGGCCAAGGCAGAGGCGGGTCAGGTTGTCGCTGTAGTCCACAGTGGGGTTGGTATAGATGGCATCGATGATCTTCCCCAGAAAGAAAGGGGCAGACATGGAGATAACACCGGACATCGGAGAAATCCAACCGCAGCTGCCAGCCTCTGGCGCTCAGGGAACTCCAGCCCCAGGAGCTTCCCGGCCTCCGAGAGTCCGGGCGCCATGGGTCGTAGCCGCTGGTCGTCCCGGGAAGGCGCCGCCCGCCCGCGCCGCCAGGCCTCCTCCCCTGCCGAGGCAGTGGCGGTGGGACCGCCCGGGAACCCGGCGCGCGGGAGCCGAGGAGCGCCCGGCCGGCAAGAGCCCCGCACCTGCAGCTGCCGGGCCCAAGCCCACAGCCCCGGGAGCCGTCCGAGGCCCGCGTGGCCCCCCGAGCCGCCCAGACCCCCGCCCCGGCAGCAGCTCCTCCAGCGGCGCGCGGCTCCAACGCCCCAGAGCAGCTCCGGCCCCGCGCCCCATAGCCGCGCCAGCCTCGGGGCAGTGAAGGGCGATATGGACTGGGGGCGCGGCTGGCCGGGGCCCACACACAGGCTACCGGCGGGAGCCGCCCTGGCTCTGCGGGGCCCGTGGCGCCGATACATCTTAAAAGAACTAGAAAAGCAAGAATAAACCAGACCCAAAATAAGTATAGAAGAAAGGAAAGAATAAAGATAAGAGCAAAAATTAATGAAATTGAAATGAAAAAATACAAAATATGAACAAAACGAAAAGTTCGTTTTTTAAAAAAGATAAACCAAACCAGTAACCTTTAGCCACACTAAAAAAAAACAAAAAACCCTAAATAAATAAAATCAAGATGAAAACGGGGACATTTTCATTGATACTGTAGAAATTCTAAGGATCATTAGAGGCTAGTATGAGCAACTATAGACCAATAAATTAGAAAATCTAGAATAAATGGATACTTTCCTAGATACATACAACCTAGCAAGAATGAACCACAAAGAAATCCAAAACCTGAAAAGACCAATAAGTAGTGAGACGGAAACAATTTTCCCAGGAAAAGCCGGGTGCAGTGGCTCACGCGTGTAATCCCAGCACTTTGGGAAGCCGAGGCGGGCGGATCACGAGGTCAGGAGATGGAGACCATCCTGACTAACACGGTCAAACCCCGTCTCTACTAAAAAAAATACAAAAAAAAAAAATTAGCTGGGCATGGTGGCGGGTGCCTCTAGTCCCAGCTACTCAGGAGGCTGAGGTAGGAGAATGGCGTGAACCTGAGGGGCGGAGCCTGCAAGTGAGTCGAGATCAGGCCACTGCACTCCAGCCTGGGCGACAGAGCGAGACGCCCTCTCAAAAAATAAAAAAAAGTTTCCCGGGAAAGAAAAGCCCAAGACCCGACGGCTTTACTCCTGAATTTTACCAAATATTTTTAAAAGTAGCACAAAATGCAGCAGCAGGATTCTCCTGCCCCAGCCTCCTAAGTAGCTGGGGCTACAGGTATGCACCACCACGCCTGACTAATTTAAAACTGTTTTTGTAGAGACAAGATCTCACTATGTTGCCCAGGCTGGTCTCAAACTCCTAGGTAAAATGATCCTCCCACCTCTGCCTCCCAAAGTGTTAAAATTGCAGGCATAAGCCATTGCCCCCGCCTGAAAAAATTTATATGTATATATATTTATATTTTATATATATATATATATGTATATATATATATATATGTATATATATATATATATATGTATATATATATACATATATATATATATATATATATGTTTTTGTGGTTTTTTTGAGACAGAGTCTCGCTGTGTCACCCAGGCTGGAGTGCAGTGGCACGATATTGGCTCACTGCACCCTCTGCCTCCAGGTTCAAGTGATTCTCATGCCTCAGCCTCCTGAGTAGCTGGGATTACAGGCATATGCCACTACACCCGGCTGATTTTTGTATTTTTAGCAGAGACATGGTTTCACCATGTTGGTTAGGCTGGTCTTGAACTCCTGACCTCAAGTGATCCACCCACCTCAGCCCCCCAAAGTGCCGGGATTACAGGTGTGAACAACCATGCCTGGCCAAAAATAATTTTTTTAAAAAGATTTTGTTCTGATTCTGATGGGAAATGGACTCTTTTCTAAAGTTACTAGCAGTTCTTTAACTGGTTAGCTCTATGTTAGGCATAGGTATTACTTTTTAGGGTGGCAGGTATGTGAAAAAAGAAGGGAGGTGGACAAAACCAAGACAGCAGAAGTAACTATTTGAGGGATTTCAAAACCTTTGACTGACACTCACTTCCTGGGACAGTCTTGATTTTGCTACTCTTTCCTCATCTGTTTCTTTTCAAGCCTTGCTCCCTACACACTTACCCTAGTTCTAACCCTTCCTGCTGATGGGCACCCCATTCACAAGGCAACAGATACCAGATGTGAGGAATGGAAAGAAAAACATTCTTACTTGATTGTTCTTAGGAGTTATACAGTCAGGCTCTTGGTTGGAGGGCTCTGATGTGAAAGCTTGGCTTCAAGTCCACTGAGAAAGTAGTATGATTGAAGTGGTGAACTGGAGATGGGGTGGGGGTGGCCTACCACGAGGACTAATTTGTTCTTTACGTGTTTTTGTTTTTTTATTTTTTTAGACAAAGTCTCACTCTGTCGCCCAGGCTGGAGTGCAGTAGCGCAATCTTGGCTCACTGCAAGCTCCGTCTCCGAGGTTCATGCCATTCTCCTGCCTCAGCCTCCTGAGTAACTAGGACTACAGGCACCTGCCACCACACCTGGCTAATTGTTTGTATTTTTAGTAGAGACGGGGTTTCACACTGTTAGCTAGGATGGTCTCGATCCGCTAACCTCATGATCCACCCGCCTGGCCTCCCAAAGTGCTGGGATTACAGGTGTGAGCCACTGTGCGTGGCCTGTTCTTTATCTAATGGTTTGCAAGGGTGGAAATACCTCTGGGGAAATGTGATGGATTCTCCTAGGAAACTGACTTCACCAAATAATTCTTTTGAAACTGTTCAGAAACGAGACAAATGACATGAATCTATTTACAAAGAGAATTACCTCTGTGTCTGTGACCCAAGAGGCATTCCCATAGTGATACACTTGGACATTTGTTCAGGGGGCAAGCGCTCACGCCGAGTGATTTTTCTTTTTTCTTTTCTTTTCTTTTCTTTTTTTTTTTGTTTGTTTGTTTTTAAGACTGAGTCTCGCTCTGTCGCCCAGGCTGGAGTGCAGTGGTTCGATCTCAGCTCACTGCAAGGTCCCCCTCCCGGGTTCACACCATTCTCCTGCCTCAGCCTCCCCGGTAGGTAGCTGGGACTACAGGCGCCCACCACCATGCCCGGGTAATTTTTTGTATTTTTTTTTTTTTTTTTTTTTTATAGTAGAGACGGGTTTGACCGTGTTAGGCAGGATGGCCTCGATCTCCTGACCTTGTGATTTTCAAAGCTGTTCGAGGGCATTTATCAGGCTTTTAACTCTAGGTACTCTTTCCCACAGTGTGAAGGCCAAGAGAAGGGATCCTGGGCTCTCTTCCCTGGCCCCAGGATGGGAATTCAGGGGGAAAAGGTCACCTATTCTCCTATTCTTATCCCACAAAAGAAAACTTATGCATCAGTTGTCAAGCTAAGGAGCTTCAGAGTCCACAAATAGGGAAATTGCTGAGAGCTTATCAGTAGTGTCCACTACCCATCCCCACCTGGGGTCACGTGGAGAATGATGGTGGGGGCGACGATCTTGTCCTACTTCAGGTGAAAAGCAGGGGTGTGGGGGGGTTTCATTGTGAAGGGCTCCTTTGTTAAAATTCCTTCCAATTCCAGGAAAAACATGCACTCGAAAGCCATTATCTCTTTTACTTCTTACTAGGGAACTTCCAGGAAAGAGACGGGGGGGTGGGGGGTGGGGAAGAAGAGGGCAAAACAGCTGAGTGAATGTAGTCACCTCTCCGATTGCTTTTCTTGTTGCAGAATATTTCACATGCCAGGATTTTCCTTCTTGTCCTCCGGACTGTTGATACACCCAACATCTTAATACGCTTTCAATCACAAGTTAAAGACATCCAGAGCCAGATTGCTTGAGCCTAGGAGTTCCAGACCGGCCTGGACAACATGGTGAAACCCAGTCATATATATTTTTTTTTAGGGGGAAATTTGCTCTTGCTGTCCAGGCTGGAGTGCAGTGGCGAGGTCTCAGCTTGCCAGACCTCCGTCTCCGGGGTTTGGGTGGTTCTCCTGCCAAAGCCTCCTGAGTGGCTGGGATTGCGGTGTGAGCCACCATGCCCGACTAATTCCTTAACTGTGCAACTACAAGGTCACTAAACAAATAAACTCAAGTCACAAAACATATTTTTCCTTAAATAGTAAAAAATAATATAATGCATGTTTCAATTAAATAACAATCTTTGTTTCTCGCTTCTATAATATGCTTCTCCCTGCACAGATCTCCCCCTTCGCCCCACATAATGCTTGAAAGGTAACTCTTGGTTCAGTGCTCAATCCTTTAAATGTTAATCCGACTGGGCCGGTGCACCTAAATAATTAATAAATGTCCTCCTAAACCCCATGAGTCTATCTAATTCCTTAAAAATCCCTCTACAGGACTGCAGGTGTGAGCCACTGCACCCCGCCTAATTTATTAATCAGAGAGGAATAGATCGGCCTGGCGTGGTGGCTCACGCTTGTGATCCAGGGACTTTGGATGATGGAGCACTGGGGATCACTTGAGCCTAGGAGATCCAGACTGGCCTGGGCAACATGGTGGAACTCGGTCTCTCTCTTTTTTTTGTTTTTTTGGAGGCAGAGTTTTGCTCTTGTTGCCCAGGCTGGAGTGCAGTGGTGCAGTCTCGGCTCCCTGCCACCTCCACCTCTTGGGTTTGGGTGGTTCTCCTGCCTCAGCCTCCCTAGTGGCTGAGATTGCAGGTGTGAGCCACCATGCCCGGCTAATTTTTTTTTTTTTTGGTACACACAGGGTTTCTCCCTGTTGGTCAGGCTGGTCTCAAACTCAGGACCTCAGGTTATCCGCCTGCCTTGGCTTCCGGGGATGCTGGGATTGCAGGCGTGAGCCAGCGCGCAAGGCCCAATTGATTAATCAGAAAAGAATAGATCAGCCTGGCGTGGTGGTTCACGCTTGTGATCCCAGGACGTCGGACGGCCGAGCGCTGGGGATCACTTGAGCCTAGGAGTTCCACACCGGCTTGGGCAACATGGTGAAACCCGGTCTCTCTTTTTTTTGGCGGGGGGGGGTACAGGCAGGGTTTCTCCATATTCATCAGGCTGGTCTCAAACTCCCGACCTCAGGTTATCTGCCCGCCTCCTCGGCCTCTGGGGATGCTGGGATTGCAGGCGTGAGCCAGCGCGCCCGGTCCAGTTTATTAATCATAAAGGACTAGATCGGCCTGGCATGGTGGCTCACACTTGTGATCCCAGGAATTTGGACGGCAAGCGCGGCGGATCGCTTGAGCCTAGGAGTTCCAGACCTGCCTGGGTAACATGGTGAAACCTGGTCACTTTTTGTTTGTTTTGAGGCGGAGATTCGCTCTTGTTGCCCAGGCTGGAGTGCAGTGGTGAGGTCTTGGCTCAACGGGCCTCCGCCTCCAGGGTTTGGGTGGTTCTCCTGCCACAGCCTCCCGAGTGGCTGGGATTGCACGCGTGAGCCACCATGCCCAGCTCATTTTGTTTTTTGTTTGTTTTTGTTTTTATTGTTGGAGATGGGGTTTCTCCATGTTCATAAGGCTGGTCTCAAACTTCCCACCTCAGGTTATCCGCCCGCCTCGGCGTCCGGAGGTGCTGGGATTGCAAGCGTGAGCCAGCGCGCAAGGCCTAATCTATAAATCAGAAAGGAATAGGGCCGGGGATCCCTTGAGCCTAGGAATTCCAGACAGGCCGGGGCAACACGGTGAAACCCGCTCTCTTTTTTTTTTTTTTCTTTTTTTTTTTTTGCGGCAGTTTCACTCTTGTTGCCCGGTTGGAGTGCAGTGGCGCGGTCTCAGCTCCCCGCGGCCTCCGCTTCCGGGATTTGGGTGGTTCTCCTGCCTCAGCTTACCAAGTGGCTGAGATTGCAGGCATGAGCCAACATGCCCGGCTCTTTTTGTATTTTTTTTTTTTTTTTTGGTATAGACGGGGTTTCTCCCTTCGTCAGGGTAGTCTCAAACTCCTGACCTCAGATTACCCGTCTGCTTCGGCCTCCCGGGGTGGTGGGATTGCAGGCGTGAGCCACCATGCCCAGCTTATTTTTTTTTCTTTTTTGGTAGAGACGGGTTTCTCCATGTTGGTCAGGCTGGTCTCAAACTCCCGACCTCAGGTGATCCGCCCGCCTCGGCCTCCCAGGGTGGTGGGGTTGCAGGAGGGAGCCACCGCGCCGGGCGCAATTTATTAATCAGAAAGGAACAGATGGGCCTGGCGTGGCGGCTCATGCTTGTGATCCCAGGACTTCCGATGGCCGAGCGCGGCGGATCCCTTGAGCCTAGGAGTTACACGCCGGCCTGGGCAACATGGTGAAACTCAGTCTCTCTCTCTCTCTCTTTTTTTTTTTTTGAGAGGGAGTTTCACTCTTGTTGCCCAGGCTGGAGTGCAGTGGCAGGGTCTCAGCTCCCCGCAGCCTCAGCCTCCCGGGTTTGGGTGGTTCTCCTGGCTCAGCCTCCCGAGTGGCTGGGATTGCAAGCGTGAGCCACCATGCCCTGCTAATTTTTTTTTTTTTTTTGGTAGAGATGGGGTTTCTCCATGTTACTCAGGCTGGCCTCAATCTGACCTCAGGTTATCCGCCCGCCTCAGCCTCCCGGGGTGCTGGGATCGCAGGCGTGAACCACCGCAACCGGCCCAATTTTTAATCAGACAGGAATAGATCGGCCTGGCGTCATGGCTCACGCTTGTGATCCTAGGATTTTGGACGGCTGAGTGTGGCAAATCGCTTGAGCCTAGGAGATCCAGACCCGCTTGGGCAACATGGTGAAACCTGTTTTTTTTTTTTTGAGACGGAGTTTCCCTCTTGTTGCCCAGGCTAGAGTGCAGTGGCGCGGTCTCGGCTCGCCGGGCCTCCGCCTCCCGGGTTTGGGTGATTCTCCTGCTTCAGCCTCCTGAGTGGCTGGGATCAAGGGCGTGAGCCACCAAGCCTGGCTACTTTTATTTATTTATTTATTTATTTATTTATTTAGGTTGAGATGGGGTTTCTCCATGTTGGTCGGGCTGGTCTCCTGCTCCTCACCTGGGGAGATCCGCCGGCCTCGGCCTCCAGGGGTGGTGCGATTGCAGGCGTGAGTCACTGTGCCTGGCCGGAAACCCAGTCCCTTAACGGAAAAACAAAACAAAAACCACAAAGATTAGCCAGACCTGGTGGGCCCCCCTGGGTAGTCCCAGCTACTCTGAAGGCTGATGCAGGAGGATTGCTTGAGCCCGGGGTGGAGGTGGCAGTGAGCCATGATGGCGCTGCTGCAGTCCAGACTGGGTGACAGAGCAGGACTGTGTCTCAGGAAAAGGGAAAGGAAAAAAAGAATAATAAAAAGAAGTATATAAAATTGCTAAATCCAGGAACAGCTTCACAGTATATTGAGAGAAATAGAGGCAAAGGTTAGCAGACACCAATGTTCACTTAGTGGAACTGCAGGTGTCCCCAGACAGGAGGCTGCTACTTTTCCAACAGAAATCTATTATTGACCAAAAAAAGTTAGTTTGTTACAATATACAAATAGCTAAACTTTATATAGCCACGACCCTCTTCTAGCACTGCTCTAAGCCTTTTCCTGCTCTGGAATAGCTACTATTGTTACCTCCATTGTAGAGAAAACAGATGGGGGAGGTTGTTGTGGAAGGACCAGGGAAACTGACTATGAAATTGACTTGTAAGTTTAGGACTTAAAGGTTCTTCCTGCTTTGCTCCTTACATTGCCACATTTTAGTTA
The DNA here is from genome assembly GCF_000001405.40 of Homo sapiens. NCBI lineage: Eukaryota > Metazoa > Chordata > Mammalia > Primates > Hominidae > Homo > Homo sapiens. The sequence goes on from NW_011332701.1 coordinate 678,065, forward strand.
ACATACCTCTTAAAATACTGGTCCTTTCTGTATTTGGAGGGACTCCTCTTGCAGTTTGAAGTTTTTTCTTACACTAAGCATCTGGTTAGAAGATCATCTCCATTTTATGTCAGTTTAAGTTTAGACATTGTTCAGTAAGGAATGTAAATATGAGCAAACAGTTATCTGATTGAAATAGATAAACTAGAAAAAAAATCACCTATGAGAAAGTCAACAAAATGTCAACTCTGGATTTGTGGCTATTTTCAGAATATTAATTTTTTGATATTTAATGGCATTGTGAATATATTTATTTTTAAGAATTCCTTGTCTTCTACAGATACATATAAGGTAATTAAAAATGATAGGATGTATAGGTTTTACTTCAAAATAATTCAGAGGAAGAAGGAATGTATATAAATGAAGTGGGAATATAAATGAAACAAAACTGGCTGTGGCCAGGTGTGGTGGCTCACGCCTGTAGTCTCAGCACTTTGGGAGACCGAGGCAGGTGGATCACCTGAGGTCAGGAGTTCAAGACCAGCCTGGCCAACGTGGTGAAACACCATCTCTACTAAAAATACAACAATTAGCCGGATGTGGTGCCGGGTGCCTGTAATCCCAGCTACTCGGGAAGCTGAGGCAGGAGAATCGCTTGAACCTGGGAGGTGGAAGTTGCAGTGAGCCAAGATCATGCCACTGCACTCCAGCCTGGGCAACCACAGCAAAATCCCACCTTTAAAAACAAACAAACAAACAAAAAACAACCAAAAAAAAAAACTGTCCATACCATGAATGAAAAATTGTTGATGATGTGTATATGTAGGGCAATTATATCATTTATTATATATAATATATATATTATTTTTCTCAACTTTTTTTTACATCTGAAACTTTCTATTGAACACATGGACATGTCCCTTGATAACTGGGGCTGCTTCCCCATTATTCTCTCAGCAGCCCTTCTGATTTTCACTCCATCTTCATTCTTAGAGATTCTGGATTTTATTTTTTTTTTTTTTGGGAAGTTCAAGTATGTCTTTGCAAGGATTATCCAGCATGTCTACCTACTCAATCATATTATCAGAAACAGAAAAAGTGTCCAGATTCTTGTCTTGTCCTGTTCAGATTTTTTAAATTCCAAGAACAGTCACCTTCTACCAGACACTCTGATGTTGGAAGACAAAGCATATTTGGTAAGTGGCGTGATTTCTGGGCTCCGATTTAGAACAGTCACAGCTTTCAACAATCCAAAAATAGCTGACTGTGACTCACCATATTTAGAAAGATGGAGATTATTAAAAAAAGAAAACCTTAATTTATCATGTGACCTCTAAGTATCTCGGCTGAAAATTGTAAAGATAGAAAGGTAAATCAAAAGATACAGAGACTGTAATCATGCACTTAATAAAGCGCTAAATCAAAATATATTTGGCATATGTGAAAGAGTTTAATTTTATCCCATTTTCTACTGGCACTATAGGTATTTGTAAGTACATATAAAACTACAGTGTTACATATAAACTACCAAAAAAGAACTTAAGAAACGAGACTAATCTAGCAACTTTATTTAAAAGTTTATCTTAAGGGAATAATTAAGGATGTCCATACAAAAGGATTTAGCCATGACACGAGAATGTTCTTCCTGGCAAATCAATGGAAATTATTAAATGTGCAAAAGGGAACTGTTGGAATAAATTCTAATGCCTTCATATGATCGTATGTCGTAACCTTTTAAAATGATATTAAAGAGTTGCATACATTGACTTAAACAGATATTCATAACACATCACTGAATAGGAGAAATACGGGCCAGCAAAGAACATAGAGTTGGTCCAATTTCTACAAAAAAAAGAAGACTAATAGCATGACGGCAGGGAAGGGGGAATATGTCAATGTATGTGTGTATATATATGTATGCATAGCAAGTATGAACTTGAAAGGATATATATCAAATTGTTTACACAGATTACCTCAGAGAGGTAAATAACTGGCCTTTGGTGTTCTGTGTTCCATAGATTCTGAATTTTCTTTTTTTATTTAAATAGAGATGGGATCTTAGCCAGGAGCAGTGGCTCACACCTGTAATCCCAGCACTTTGGGAGGCTGAGGAGGGCGGATTGCTTAAGGCCAGGAGTTGAAGACCAATCTGGCCAACATGGCAAAACTCTGTCTCTACTAAAAATCCAAAAATTAGCCAGGCGCAGTGGCTTATGCCTATAACCCCAGGTACTCGGGAGGCTGAGGCATAAGAATTGCTTGAACCAGGAGGCGGAGGTTGCAGTGAGCAGAGATTGCACCACTGCACTCCAGCTTAGGCAACAGACCGAGACTCTGTCAAAAAATAAAAACAAAACAAAACACCACCACCAACAACAAAACAGTAATAAAGAGAAAATCTTATGGACAGGAGCAATGTCTCATGCCTGTAACCCCAGTGCTTTGGGAGGCCAAGATGGGAGAATCGCTTGAGCCCAGGAGTTCAAGACCAGCATGGGCAACATAGCAAGACCTTTTCTCTACAAAAAATTTAAAAATTAGCCAGGCATAGTAGTGCATGCTTATACTCCCAGCTACCTGGGAGGCTGAGGTGGGAGGATCACTTGAGCATGAGAGTTGGAGGTTGCAGTGAACTGTGATCACACCACTGGGAAGCCATGACCCCATCCCTGCCTTCTTCCTCTGTCCTATGCTAGCAATAAGTAAGTTTCCCAGCCACAAATAATTATTAGAACCTCCTCCCCATGTGCCACCTCCAACCACCGCTAGGTATGATACAGGGGTGGCCCTACCCTCTGGAATATACAAAACCTTACACAGACACAATATATACACCGGGGAAGGGGGGCCACCCCAGCAGCCCATGCCTTCGCCTGGTCCACAGTTAGCCCCACTGTCCTGCCTCAGCTACCTCTCTGAATAAGAAGATTGGAGCCCCCACTGAGGGAAAAGTTGCTATGGTGAGAGTAAGGAGGCCATGAGGCCTCCTCCAAACAAACCAACTCCACCAGCCTCTGGCTCTTAAATAACAATATCATCCAGAAATTTAAGGACTCAGCTCTGGTCAAGGTGGCAAAGGGTCTGTTTGTCTTTCCTCGTTAGACAGAGGTCTTGTCCTGCTACCCTAATTGTAAAGGGGTGACTGGGAAGGGGAGATAGGGACAGTGTGGTGGTGGAGACCCCAGCCCCACTTCTCCAGGCTTTGCTGACAGGGGCCTGCTTTTAATTTTAATTTTTATTTTTATCCCATGCCTTTTTTTTTAAATCCCATAACTTCTTTTTCATAACTTTTTTTGGTAACTTTTCATAAAACTTTCTTCTACTTTTTGGTCACAAGATTTTTTTGCCACAACTTTTTTACATTTTTTATCCCATAACTTTTTCACCCCATAACTTTTGTTAATCCCATAACTTTTTTATTTTGTGTTCTTTTAATAAACCCTTGCATAGTTATATTACAATTTTGTAAAAATGAAACATTATCTCATGCCAAGCATGCTCAGCATTTGCACAGTATCAATACCTTTAATACTATATTTTTCAAGACACACAGAATAAAATTTTAAGGCAAAAACAGCACTTTGCAACAACTTAATAATTTATTACATTACAGTAGCATCACACCAGCAGTCAATAATGCCACTTTAGGCAAAAGTCTTTCAGTATTTCCGTTTTACATTCCGCTTACAAGAATTCATAAATTGGTAAAATTCATTCTAAGAAAACTTGGCAAATAAAGCTTTGGACTGGAATTGGCATTTCTTTCTCTACTTTTCCTTCCCACCGTTTATTTCCTTTACAGTATTCATATTTTAAAATGTTTTAACTTATTTCAGAACATTAAGATAGCAGTTACATTGTTTAATAGTTATTTTAAAATGACTCTTTCAGATAAAGTTTTAGAGAAACTATAGTATGGATAGGGCTGATTTACATTTTCAAATTTTCTAAAAATCAGCTTTGGTTTTAGAGCTGATTTTTGTTCATTTCTGGAAAACCTATCAGATTTAATCCAATACTTTAAAAATGATTATTATATATTGCAATCTTTAAATCGGTGATTTGATTCTTCCTACAGAAATTCAAATTTATTGAATTGAACTCACATTTTAGAATTCTGTTTCTGATGAACTCTAACCTTCCAATGTTGCCCTCTAAGCAAATTGAAAGCTGCCTTATACCGAATGAGGAAGAATACCAATACTTGGCTGAATGAGGTATCGCAAAAGACTGCATGCACTTTGAAGAAAGACTTAAGTTATAGTCATGCGATTTCCATTCTTTTTAGCTTTTTCTTCAATATACGACAAATATCTACACAAAGAGTGGTATTTCCGTTAATACAGTCAATTTATTTTCCAGATTGACATTCAGCTTAAATATGCCAGTATGTGATTTAATCCACAGGCACCTGATGAACACATTATTGTCAGATTGGTTACAGATGCTCGTAGTTGTCTTTAAACTGAACTCAAAGAATGCAAAAACATCAAGTTCAGAAAATAAAAGGCAAGGACAGGACTTTAAGTGCATTTTAAAGCCACGGGCGAGAAATCGTACCACTGTTAACTAGCCGCATTATTTGGTCTAACATTTTTTCTTTATCATTCTGAAACTGGGTTTATCTAATACATTGATACATTCATACAATTTGGAAGAGTCCGTTGAAGTCACAAGGACCCGATGTTTGCACTCTTTCAGTGATTGCCGGCAAATCTGTTATTCCATCGGCAAAATCGTACTGCTGCTCTCCTGTTAATGTCGTATTTATAAAAGTATCATGAGGATGCCAAATGCTAAAAATGGAGATGGTCTAGTAACTAGAAATCCCCACCCCAGGGAGCACACATACATATCTCCCTACATCCTAATAATGTGATGTGTTTTGGAACACAGACATTAGAACTTCATGAAGTTTTAACTGTTGAGTCTTTCCCAAGCATCATCAAGTTATGATTTAGGCAATGTACAACTGAAATTCATTCATTCATCATGCATAGGCACAATCACATAAATACTGCACAAAATATGCCCGTAAGTGAAACCCAGAGGTACAGAAACACATTTCACTCTTCACAAAGAAGTTTGTGAGGAAATATAACTCTGTGATTGTATAGACATGTTTCCTGATAATACACTGACATTCACCAACAGTAGATTGCACTGCAGTTTGTACACATTTTAAGTTGCATAAACTTCTCCTTGATTTTCAAAGATAGTATAATACTGTCTACTAAAACTCCTTTTTGTTTCAACTAAGCACTCTCACATATATTAGTTTATAACAATGTTTATTATTATTTCAAAGTGTTTTCCATTCAAGGAAAAGAAGTCAATTCCTATGTCAAAGTAACCAAGGTGGTTGAAGAATAGGCAGAGTGGTCTAGATGGTAAAATCAATCTTCAAGCCTCAAAGAAGCTCCATGAACAGAGGAATGCCAGGTGTCACACAGCTTTCCTTCACTCTAATTCATTCTTGACTAGAGCCTGTATGCCTGTTCCAGGGACATTTGAACTCTTAAAGGATTTCTTATGATCTTTACTAAATACATTAAGAAGAATGCCAACCAGTGCCCTTTTGTGTACTGGGACATGCAGTCATGTGATTAAAACAGGTAACATGAACTCTGACTTTAAAATATAGATACAAATGCTCTAAGCTAGGAAAGGTTTTCCACAACCGTAGTCAATGATGGGAACCTTTCATTCCTCAGAAATAAGCCCTTTTTAGGTCATCAAAAAAGAGTACAACTGCTGAAGCTCATGATGCAATATCTTCATGAGCCCAGAGCACATACAAATCCTAAAGGAACTACAATAGTACAGCACTAATTCTTGGCAACAGAACAAATGAAACACACTCTATCTTGCACATACCTGCCAGAGCAGGCAACTTTCCTCTTCTGTGAAATTTAAAAAGCTCCCCCAAAATGTTATTACTCCCATCACCAATACACAGAAAATGAGGAAAAGGCTGTTTCCAGTTCTCGGCCTTTAAACAACTCTAAATGTCAGTACTCTTGGTGGCATATTACAAAGTATTAAATAGTGCACACTTGGGGCAAACCACATATTGTGCTAATGAAGAGCTCACTGTGATTAAGATTAGATCAAACAACAGCAGAACATAGGCACATTTTATCTGAATTCTGTAATGAATATACATGCTGCAATAACATTAAAAACACATGGCAGCCTATTCCAAACCAGCAAGAATAGTTTTGTGCAAATAGTGGGTCTTTGTGTGTTTGAACTCCCACCACGTAAGGGCAAACTCAATATGCATGCTAATGACCTACAATTATGAAATTGAAAAAGAAAATTGCGAAAGTATGCCAGAGTGAACATCAGTGAAAGCCACAGAGACCCACTCTCTTTTAACTATTTACAAATGAACTTAAACTATAAATTAGAAACACAAATAATCATAAGTGGCTATAACATTCAAATGAAGTAAATGAATTGTGTAGGAGATTAACCCCATAACTTTGTTTCTTTTTTAAAAATTTCTTCAGCAGCTCTTTGACGATGGTGATGTTTATCTCCTTCTTCTTGGCAGCCAAGCCCAGCAAAAGAATGGCACACAGCAGTTGCTGCCCAAGCCTGGGTGCTCCTGGTGGTCCTGCACGATCGGCTGTGCAGTAGGGTTGTCGTGGGGAGAACCCTCCCTGGCCTCTCCTTGCACAGGCTCCACGCTGTCAGTGAGGCTCACCTCACAAAGATCTTTGGAGAGAGGGAGGCGGGGATCTGAGCTCAGTGAGAGCCCCCCTGCTCCTGCCTGCCCACCCCGCCTGAGGGCTCTACTCACCACCATGCTTGTGGGCAGCCCCAAGCTCCTGGGGGGCTGGGGCTCCTGGACTGGGCTCATGAGCAGGGTTCTGGGCAGTCACCAAGAATTTGCTGTGTCCCTTGTAGTCGCCACCAGCTGCAACACCATCTCCTGCAGCTCCAGCAGCTTCACCTGGAGGGAGGGGTGCTCAGCTGTCACGCTGCTGCCAGCGCTCACCGTCACAGCCACCCCCACCCCCGCAGAGATGTTGCACACTCTACCTTCATCTCCTCCCTGTCCAGGGCCAGCCTGATGGTGTCCTCCTCCCGGTGCTGCATCTTTGGCACTGCCCCCTGGCTTTGTTATAGGGTGATAAACTTTCCTGCGGGAGGACAGGGCTCAGACGCTGGGGCCCCTCCAACAGCCCTGCAGCTCCCCCTGCCATGCCCTGGCCTCCCACTCACTGATGGCATCTCTCTCTGTAGTACTGGAAGAATCCAAGTTCTTCTTTCTCCACCAGCTCACTCAGGTCTGCCTTCTCCTCCAGGTGGTCCATAAAGCCGCTCTGGAGCCAAAATAATGGGGTCACATCTCGCCAGCGACCTGCCCTCAGGTGGCATTTTCAAGTCATGGAGAAGGCGGAGGTGAGTTCCGGCATGGGCCAGCTTCTCCGTGACTTCCTGCAGGGCCCGGTGGGTCTCCCCACTCACAGACTCGCCCCCAGGCCCTGGGGCTCCAGGGCCTCTGGCTGCCTCTGGCTCCTTCTGGGCCGAGGCCACCGGGTGAGCCAGGCGCTGGCAGCACACCCTCTGCTCTTTCACCTGCTCTTGTAACTGTGCCTGCTTCTCCTGGGCACTAGCTCCAGCGGACTTGAAAAATGCCACCTGAGGGCAAGATGTGAGCATTCTTGCAGGGGCATACACAGAACAAATGGGGCAGAGAGGTGGAGCGCAGCCCCTTCCCTTGGGGCCCCAGAGACTGCACATGTTGGTCACAGGTGAAATGGTGTCTGACCACTGGCTCCCAGAAGGGGTGAGGGTCCAGAGAAATCAGAAGGCAGGGAAACGAAGAGCATAAAGGGGTCTTGGAGGGACCACAGAGGAAGGAGGCAAAATGGGTTCAGGTGGAGTCAGGCTTACCATGGCCTCCCTGCTCTCCAGGTCCTGTGGGATGCTAGGAATGGGCCGAGGTGCCTCCTCCCCCTCACTGTCCAGATGTCCTCCTCCATCTCCTGGGGGTGGGGGTGGTGGCCAGAGGGGTCCTCAGACAACTCAACAAGGGAAGTATTGTGGGCCCACCTCTGCCTCCACCCTCATTGTGTAACCCTGAGCCAGGCCCTCCCCAGAGAGGAATGAGCTGCTGTTATTTATTTTTACTTTGAAGAACCAAGATCTTGCTATACTGCCCAGGCACATTCCCACTACTGGTCGGTGCGGGAGTTCTGACCTGCTCCCTTTCTGACCTCGGCCAGTTCAGCCATCCTTAGGCAACTTGGTGGCCCCCCGCTCACAGGAGGTCACCATATTGATGCTGAACTTAGTGCAGGCACCCGGTTAGTATAATGACCAGCTGTTCTAAAGGTCTCTTCCAACTCCTCAATCCTATGCTGCTAGCAGTCCCCCCTTCCTCCTGGGGCTCTCTCCTCTTCCTCTGAGCGGTCTCCCGTACCTTCCCCAGGGAGAGCCATGAGGCTCAACTGGGCCGTTAGCTGCTGTTTCTGCTGGCTCGCAGCTTCCAGACGCTCCTAAGGGGCCAGGAAAGAGTGAGAAGGCACAGAGTTTGCCAGGTCGTCCCCCTCACAGCCCCATCCTCGGCAGCTCCCTCCCCTGGGTCTCCTGCAACTTTTGGCAGGCCATCTCGGCCACCGCTTTGCCCCAAGCTTCCTGCTGCTGCAACTGGTTCATTAGCTGGGTCTGCTGCAGTCACTGCCTGTACAGCGCCTCCTTCTCACAGGTCAGCTGCTGATAGGCGGCCACCTGCTGCTGATAGGTGGCCACGTACTGCTGCAGGTGACCCAGGTAATGGTCTGGCTGCTGCTGCAGACTCTGAGCCTCTTGGCTCTTCAGCTCCACCTGCAGGAAGACCCTGGGTGTGAGGGCACGTGGTGGCTGGTTTGCAGATTCTGGGCCCATTAATAGGGTAGCGAGGGCACTGTGGGGCTCTGTCGCCTGCCCAGGCCCCTGGCCCCTTACTTCAGGCCTAAGTGACTGCCTTGCTTTCCTAGAACCCCATGCCTCCTTCCCCAGCCTCAAATCTCATGTCCTCTTCCCACCATTTCAACTGTAGGCCACAGAATGGTAGAAAAGTATGGGAGCCAACCACCATCTGCTAAATGTGCTACAGGCCTAATGCTTCCCATGTATTATCTCATTTAATCCTCAGCACCTCTGTAAGGAAAATGCTAACTTCCTTTTGAAGTTAAAGAAACAGAGACTTAGAGATGCGAAGTACTTGAATGGTGACCAGTGGAACTGAGGCTGGAATCCAGTTTTAATCTAAGGAGTCTTTTTGTTTTGTTTTGAGACAGAGTGTCACTCTGTGGCCCAGGCAGGAGTGCAGTGGTGCAATCTCAGCTCACTGCAACCTCCACCTCCTGGGCTCAAGCAATTCTCGTGCCTCAGCCTCCTGAGTAGGTGGGATTACAGGCATGCGCCACCACCATGCCCCACTAATTTTTCTTTCTTTTTTTGTTTTTTGTTTTTGTAATTTTAGTAGAGATGAGGTTTTACCATGTTGGCCAGGCTGATCTCAAACTCCAAACCTCAAGTGATTCTCCTGCCTCAGCCTCCCAAAGTGTTGGCACTATAGGCGTAAGCCACCGCATCTGGCATAAGAAGACTGTTATACCACTCTGTCTCTTCCCCTGTGATTGGGGGGGCTCCATGTCTCTAGCTGGAATGATGATGTCCAGACCTGGGAGGAGCCCAGGGCTACCCACCTCTAAAATCAGAGGGCAGGAAGCAAGAAACAGCCACAGGACTGCCCTGGAGGGTGCTGGGGTCACCTGCCCCCGGGCTGGAGCTACCGCTGGCCTGGCACCTCCCCTCCCCAGAGGCTGGTGCCCACCCACCTCCCAGACCTTCTTGGATGGGGTGGAGGTTACCGTCTCCTTCACCTTGCCTAGCTTCTCCTGCAGCTCCTTTACTTGCTGCTCCAACTGTAGTACGCTCTTGTTCTCATTGTTCTGGACAGAGAGAAGCAATCAGCAGCCACCCACTGCAGCTGGAGACCCCAGAACTTGGTGACTGCCTCCCATGGCACCGGGAAGGGTGGAGGCAGGTTAGAAAAATCATCCCCTGTCTCCCACAGCCACCAGAGCAGGGCTCTGGCTCACAGGTGCCTTTAGGAGTAACATTTCACTTGAGGGCTACACTGCCCCATTTTATAGGTGGGGAAACAAAGGCCTGGAGGGCTAGGGAGGAGGGCAAGCTCCCCAGCTGGGGCAACGCACCAGCTCCTTGAAGCTGTTCTGTGGCTCGGCCAGCTGCTGAAGCCTCTCCTCCTGCTCTGGAAGCCTCTCCTGCTGCTCCTGAAGCCTCTCCTCCTGCTCCCGAAGCCTCTCCTTTTGCCCCTCATTCAGGAGACTTATGCGCTGATTGTACTCCACCTGGGCCTGGAGCTCTCCTGCCACTCTCTCTAGTTCCTTCCTCAGGTGCTGCAGCTCCACCTCAGAGGGCACTGCTGGGGGCTCCGGGGGCAGAGGTTCAGCTGAGAAAGGAAGCAGACAATAAGAGCCTCTGGATTCCAAAAAAAAAAAAAGAAAAGAAAAGAAAAGAAAAAACCCTCCTCTTGGCGCACAGCTCCTCTCCGGCTCCTCAAACTTAGCCTCACTGCTAATGATTCCTCGCACCCAGATGGTAGCCAGTCTTCCAAAGCACTTTCAGAGAAAGAGCACTGCGGGTGGCTGACAACGGGCCCTCTTTGCTGATGGGGACACTGAGGCTCATTGAGATGACAAGACTTGCCGTCTCCTGGCACAGACCTCTTTCCCTCTGCCTCAAAGCCCTTCCATCCACCCACCTCGCTGGGGCACTCCAAGCCACCCTCACAGCCCTCTGATGCCAGTCCTGCTGCCAGGTCACGCCAGCCCCATCTTACCCATCTGGTGTTTGAGTTTGGACAAGCTCCTCTCCAGCTTCTCTACCCGATATTTATCATGCTTCTTCTCCTTCTTCAACGAGCAAACCTGCCCAAAGCACAGGGGGAAAGGGCCCTGGAGAGAGGGGCTGGAGGCTGGACATGCTACCATCTCCCTCTCTGCCCCCACCTCCACAAAGCCCAGTCCCAGGACCACCTCTGGCTCTACTATTCCCATTTTACAGGTGCCCAGAAAGATCCAGTGACCTATCTAATGTGGGGGGGCTGAAGGGTCAGATCTCACCTCCTGCGACATTTTTCTCATCCTCTGCTGCCACCGGGCCCTCTCTCCTTTTAGATGTTCAGCATATTCATCCCTCTCTAGCTGGACTTCTTTAAGTGACTCCTTCAACTGCAAGAATGGGCACAGAAATTAGGAAGGGCTGTCACTGGTCCTCACCTGCTCCTGGTTACCTGGGGTCATCTTCCTTCCACATCCCTCCCTCTGAACACCTCACCTGTGTCAGCTGCGCTTTCAGCAGTGCCTGCTCCCGCATGGACTGCTCTAACTTCCACTCCATACGTGCTTTACTGCGGCTGGAGAACTGCTGAAGAGTGAGAAGTTTCAATCTGGTGAGGCCGGGCCATTCCACACAGTGCCCCTTAAAAGGGCCAGGGCTAGGCCCAATATACAACTCGGTCAGTAAAGATCAAGGCATTTCCAAGCCCGTGGTTTGGTTTTTAAAGAACTCAGTAAAGTTGGAAGGGACAGGGAAAGAGATCGAATTTATAGCTGGCTAACAGAGGCCCAGAGAGATCAGATAATATTGCTATTGTTATTACTGTTATTATTACCACTGTTTGAACTTTTATGGAGTGCTTCACCAGATACCATGCTAGCAATCCCATTTAATCCTCGCAACTACCATGGGAGACAGTTACTATGATGACCTCTATTGTGTAGATGAAAAAACATGGAGTATTTGAGGTTAAGTGCTTGCCTAAGATCACTTAGGCAGAGCTGGGATTTAAACACCCAGATCTATCCAATTCTCTAAGCCCATTTTTCTTGCTGGGGGTGGGGGCACAGCTAGGAAGGGGAAAATTAATCTTTTGTTCACTTTTTGAAAGGATAATACATTCACATAGTCCCAAACTCAGAAGGTACAGAAGGGAAGTATCTCCCAGCCACCCTGTTGCTCTCTCCTGAGTTTTTATGAACACTTGCAAACATATTTTATGTATATTATCATAATATGTACACACACACACACACGTTTCCTCTCTCTACAGAAATGGTAACATACTAAAGGTACTCTTCTGTACCTTCACAGTACAAGTACCCAATACCCACTGAGGACTTGGCCAAGACCACAGCCAGGTAAAGGCATGGCAGGCACTTGGCCTCCAAGCTCTACGTCCTGTGCTCTCTCCCCAGAGTGCCCCCCAACTCACCCACAGCAGCTGACTCAGTCCCAAGCTGCCGCTAACAACCATACAAAAAAGCAGTGAGAAATGGCCATGCTGCCTTCTGGGCAGGACACTCCATCCTGCAGAAGGGACCTTTAGGCTCACTCCTCTGTCTGCGAAGCCAGGCTCCCAGGGGACGGGGCAGGTGGTTGGACTCACCCTCTCCGCCTTCTTCTTCTGTGTGGCGGTGACAGCAGAGAGAGCCCGCTCTAACTCTCCTTTACGCTGCAATGAATGTTGCAGACGGACGGCCAGATCCTTGGACTCTTCTGTAATGAGAGAGTTGAGATGGGGCCCAAAGGACTCCCCCTGAAGACCTGTCAAAGTGCCAGGTTGAAGGATGACAGGGTACCCAGATTCCCACCTTCAAAGTATCTGAGAGAACGTTTCGTGTGGTACAGGTCCGTATTTAGTTTCCCTTTCTGTATGTTCAATCTCTGGATTTGAACCTTTGGGAGAAAAGCCAAGCAAGTGCTGAAAGAGAAGGAAAGAAACATTCTCCGGAGGACAGGAGAAAACTGCACACCGTCCACTCACCTCTAGCTCCCTTTCGGCTTTCTGTTTCTCGTTGTTTGCTTTCTTTTCCTGTAGGAAGAGGAAGACAGAGATCTAACCAGGCAGAGGCAGAGATGGTACTGCAAGAGACATGTCCCCAGAATGCCACCACTGCCCCTGCCCCGGGACAGGCCCACCCATGGGACCGGGTTATCAGGGACCCTGTGGGGGATGGGGTGGACTCTGGGGGGTGAGCCTTCTTCCCCAGGCTGGGAGTGGGTGAGACGAGACTCGGGGCCTCTACATCTGAGTGTCCCCCAAACCGAGCAGTCATGTCGCGAGCAAACAAAGAAATCATGTTACTTCTTCCAGCTGATGTTCCACTTGTTTATTCTGTTGTTTCTGTGGGGAGAGTCACATTAAGGTGATGGAGGGTGGCCCCCTCAACTCTATTCCCCAGAGCAGGAAGTGGTAGGCAGGGGCCAGGAATGGATTTTAAAGGCAAAGTTCTCAGACCCAGTGGGAACTCGAACTGGTAAACTCTCCTCAAGCTCCCAAGGACAGAGGATTTGGGTCTTTGTTGGCTTTTGTCCACAGCCACAGAACTCAAGGTCTGAATCTGGAATCTCTTGACAGGACAGTAACATAAACCTCTAGAGATGGAGTTTGAGAAAGGCCCCCCCTTCTGCCAGCTTGTGATTTAGAAAAGTGCATTCATTCAATAAACATTTACTGAGCACGTACGGGCCAAGTACGGTTCTTCACAGAAGATTTAGGGCGGAAAAGGACAGACAGGAGCCTTTGGCCCTGAGGTTTCCATTCTAGGAGGCCTTTAAATCTCAGACTCGAGAGCTAACAGAGACCTTTGATACTCACTACTTCCTCTGGAAACATGAGCCCAAAAAGGAGAGGTGGCTTGTCCAGAATCAAAGAGCAAATTAGGGACTGAGTCATGGCAGAAATACGGGGCCCCTGACAACCAGTCAGGCTAGCACTTCCCCAAGAGGCAACAATCCCAGGGCGTGTGTAGCAAGGACTCGAGCAGGGGCGTCTGGAGAGGGGAGAGTCAGCAAACAGGGCAGCAAAAAAAGAGCCATGCTGCATGCTCCGGGGTCCCTCCAGGTGAGGCCTGGGCGCCCCAGCTCCCTATTCGCCCTTGGCACCAGGGGCCGCCGTCCCCTTTCTTCAGGGCCCCAAGGGGAAACTAGAGCCCAGGATTGGCAGCGTGGAATCAGGGGACCCCAGTGGACTCTTACCAAAGATTTGATGGTGTTCTTCAGTTGACTGACTTTTACGGACCTCGAGTCTGGGACTACTGCTAGTTCTTGGCACGGGCTCTGAGGCGCATGCAGAGAGGAGGAGGTGGAGGAGGAGTGGGGGGAGAGGTAGAGAGAGCAATCATTAGGGCTGGGGTGTGTGGGCTGTCTCAGCTGGCAGAGGGGCACCCCATCCCACCTGGAGGAGGAGGTTGGAGGGCTGGCCTGCAGGGTCACTGCACCTCTGCCCAGAGCCTCTTACCTCCAGATCCTTCAGGGTAGCAGATGATGTAGGGCTCTCCCCGTGGATACCTGTTGCTGACTACAAGAGATGAGAGTGCACATGAAGATGTTCTGTCCCACTCAGTATCTAAGCCCTCTGACTTCTTTTCTTCCCCATCAACTGGCACAATTTTCTTTTCTGCCTATCTTGGACCCTTTGTCCCATAACTCCTTTGTGCCAACTTCTCTCATGGTTCTTATCTCCCCACCACAGCACCCTGTGGCCCTTTCAGTGACTCCTGTGCCAAGTGACTGTTCTCATTGTCCTGGCTTCCCCTTGAGACTGGGGATGAGGAAAATCGAACAGCAATGACCATATCCTGGGTGTTCTGGGTGTTTACAGCAGGCCATGTACTAGGGATTAACATAAAAACAACAATAACAAATCTCATTTAAACTTCACAAATGGAAGTGAAACAATACCACCTCTATTATACAGATGTGAAAAGAGAGGCCCGATGAGGTCTAGCAACTTGCCCTAATTCATATCCCTAGCAGACAAAGAGGCAGGATTCAAACCCAGAATTCTTCACAGGTACCCAACAGTCCATCCACAATCTTAACAATTACCCTCTAGTGCCCCTTGGGTCCCCTGTCCCCAGGAACCTAGTCAGCCAAGACTCACATCTCCAGGTGAGTGGCAACCACCAGAAGTGGCTGTCTCATGGATGCTGCCATTTGTTTTCCTGTTCCTCTTGGCTCCTGCTGGAACACCAGGGCTGTTTCTCTGCCAATATTCTTTTAACTGTCAGAAATAAGAGCAGTAATACTCATGAGAACTATCAGCCCCTGCAGCCACATCCTCCTTTACAGTTTTTATAAAATACTCTTATACACCATCTGATTTAATGATACCAACAACTGTACAAGGTGTTGTCACAATCATTTAGTGACTCAAAGAGATTGATATCATGGCTAGAAAAAAAAAGAAGAAAAGAAAAAGGCGACAGACGAACTTTGAAACTCAGTCTTCTGACTCCAAACTCTGGGGTTTTACCAAGAATCATCAGCTGCCAGGGACCAAAACCAGAGGCAGAGGTAGAAAAGTAAACATTAAGTAGGCAGGAACTGTATGCCATGTGGTTTAGTCATACATCCTCACACGTCTGTTAGTGTGAAGAAGTGCACCAGTACCTCTCAAACTCTTATATCAATGTGTCCTCATGGCAGAAGGCAGCCTTTCTGTTAAATCTGGGAATTTATCAGAAAGAGGACAACCCAAGCCTCATTTCAGAGAGAAGTCTGGTATACTGTTAGAAACCTATGTGACTGTCATCCCTAAGTACATTAATGTTTTTTCTCTTGATCTCAAGAGAATCAATGGAAACTGATGCTTCAGAAAGATGTCCCATATGTATCCTGTGGCACTCAAAGTACCCCAGGTTTACATAATATGAGGAAGATTCAAGCTGTCAAGTTCAGTTTCCCAAGATCTATTCCACAGAAGATGAGCAAATCTCACTTCACAGACCACTGGCTGAAGGGCAGTCTGGTCCCAGAACCATGGAGAATTAGAATGTGAGGTGGAGAACTCACAAAAAATTTGTTAAAATCTCTCTGGAAAGTAGAAGCCTGGGAGAAAACCAAACCAAGTCAAACCCATTCTCCAGTTGCCATCCAGAGGTACTGTCAATGTTTTGAGCTCACAGGGGAAGTGTAGGCTTTTCCCGCTGTCAATGTTTATGCTAAGGGAGTGAGGCAGCCTGAAACCTCTTGCTCCTAGGTCCCAATCTCCATTCCCCTTCCAGCTGGAAATTTGTGCTGTGACAAGAGGAACCAGAAATGGGGTGGCAATGCTTAGGGGACTGGGTCATAAGATCAAAGGCCAGTCTTGCAGTAATGACAGTTACTGGATGGACCGTGACATCACTACATTCCACTCTTCCTGGTGAGGGGGAGGGACCACATCAGCATGATGTCCGAGTCACCGCTCCATGATAGGGGAGGGAAAAACAGAGCTGGGACCCAGGTCCTTGGAGACACCAGTGCACACAGCCTAGGGAGGTCCACCTTGAGGCAGCAGGAGGGAAGGGAAGAGTCAGCAGCAGGGAGCCCCAGGATTCACCAGCCTAAAGTCACCCAGGGATGACTGGTGAGGGTGGGGTCTGGGGCTGTGGGACCCAGGTCCTTGGAGATGTGAGCCCAAAAAGCCCTGGGAGGTCAAGCTTGGGGTGGCAGGAGATGAGGGCCCAGTAAAGGAGCGGGGAGCCCCAGGATTCACCTGCCCAAAGTCACCCTGGGGTGATTGGTGAGGGCAGAGACTGGGCTGCTTGCTGAAGGGGTGGGGCTGACTGACAAAACTTTGGTGGGGGTAGCCCAGAGGCACCGGTGTGGGGGTCCCAGTCCGGTGAACCTCGGGAGTGGTATGGACTCTGGCAGCAGTCTTGTCGTTGGAGAGGATCTATGGCTGGGTTGGGGGTCCGTGACCTGGTGTGTTTTTACCTTTCTCTTGGCTGCTGCCAATTTACTTTGTCGAGTTTCTTCTGCCATCGCAGGGTGGGGAGGGAGGCGGGCTTGGGGCCACATCAGCAAAATCCCACCAAGCACTGATCAACACCTCCAGTCACCTACCAGGTAGCTGTGCGACTGAGCCAGAGGAGGCGTAACCAGGGATGCAGTAGAAGGCAGAATAGGGGCGTGGCCTTAATGCTCCAAGCCCATTGGTTAATGAGAAAGATGAAAGGGAAAGGGGGCGTGGCCAGGCATCATGTGTCCAGAGGGACCTTTGGCTCACAAGGAAAGCTGCCCAGGCAACCACTGTCCCCACCCACCCTAAGAGAGGGGAGAGGCCGCCAACTCTGGGAGAGGGGCAGGGCCGGCTTTTGCTTTAAAAGCTTTTAAAAATATATATATGTGTATACTTTATATATATGTGTGTCTGTGTGTGTGTACCTGTGTGTTCCTCCAGAGCTGTCTTCATGATCCAGCTTCTATGCAAGGTCTATGATTTTGGCCTATATTTTTCATAGAGTACAAAAATTACCAGTATTACCTTAACCGAGATACAGATCCTATGAACATGGAAAATCCATAGCATGCTTGATGATTACTGAAGCAGACTATATTATCCAACATTCCAATAAGATAAAATAATCACAATGACTTCTCTTTTTTGGAAAAATGTTTCTCTTATTCTCCTACGTTATTGTGAAGACTTTTTTTCTTAAACAAGAAACATGTGTAATATTTGTAAAAACACAAAGCTTTTGGGCCGGGTGCAGTGGCTTATGCGTATAATTCCAGCACTTTAGGAGCCTGAGGCTGGCGGATCATGAGGTCAGGAGATTGAGACCATCCTGACTAAAAAGGTGAAACCACATCTCTACTAAAAATACAAAAAATTAGCCAGGCGTGGTGGTGGGTGCCTGTAGTCCCAGCTACTTGGGAAGCTGAGGCAGGAGAATGGCGTGAACCCAGGAGGTGGAGCTTGCAGTGAGCTCAGATCGTGCCACTGCACTCGAGCCTGGGCTACAGAGCGAGACTCCTTCTCAAAATAAATAAATAAATAAATAAAACTTCTATTTCTTTCACTTTCTAATATAATTTTAATATCTCCTCCTGGGATTTCACTAAGACACATTTTGGACCTCATTCTGATCTTCCTCTCCCCTCCAAGCCCACCAACTTCTGCCCTATCATCCATCCTCATGTCTCTCTGTGTGACATGCTGACTTACTTTTTGGAGAGAATCGCCTAAACAATTAATTCTTTCTTCTCGTGTCTAATCCATCCACTAGTTTCTTATTTCAACAATTACATTTTTATTTCCTTATTTCATTTTATTCTGAGACTGAGTCTCATTCTGTCACACAGGCTGAATTGCAGTGGTACGAACCTGCAGACTCGGCCTCCTGGGCTCAAGTGATCCTCCCACCTCAGCCTCTTGAGTAGCTGGGACTATAGGCAGGTGCCCCATACCCAGCTAATACCATACCCACACAGCAGAGACATAAAAGATTTCCATCCTCAAAGAAGGTTCCATTGAACAGCACTGCTCTAATTCAATAAAAAATACCACTGAGCACAACATAGTAATAGAAAAGATTGAAGAGGCAGTGCTGATACTTAAAAACCTGGTATTTTCAGCCAGGCATGGTGGCTCATGCCTGTAATCCTGGCACTTTGGGAGGCTGAGGTGGGAAGATCGCTTAAGCCCAGGAGTTCTAGACCAGCTTGGGCAACATGGTGAAACCCTGTCTCTACAAAAAATACAAAAAATTAGCTGGGCATGGTGGCATGTGCCTGTAGTCCCAGCTACTTGGGAGGCCGAGGTGGGAGATCACCCGAGCCTGGGAGGTCAAGGCTGCAATGAGGTGAGATGGCACCACCACACTCCAGCCTGGGTGACAGAGTGAGACCCTGTCTCAAAAACAAAAAACAAAAAACAAAACAAAAACACCTGATATTTATTTTTAAGTACACTATTTTCAAACATTCAGAAGTTATTTCATCCTACCTTCATGGTTTCCATTCTATGCCTGGTTTAGAATTGGGATCTGATAAAATAAACGTGTTCAACAGAACCACTTCTCATGGCTGTATAACAGATGATCAATATGTATTTGCTGAGGAAATTATACAATTTTCTTAATTTTTTTTAACAAAAATTGTGGTTTCAAGGGACCAAACTTGAATACTACACCTTCATGTTCTAAGAATCAGGGGACTTATATAAAACCTCAGTTGCCTGATAAGGACTACATCAAAGTGAAAAGCCATGGGAAAGAACTAGAAAGTATACTTTTGACCCTAGTTCTGTAAAGTTTCCTTATGCCACAGGTAATACACATCGCAATTCCTGCCAAATTCTTTCCCTCACCTCTGTTTATGGTCTCGATTCCATAAATAGGAGAAGGGCATGAATTTGCTTTAGTTAGATAGACAGATGGATAGATAGATAGATGGATGGATGGATGGATGGATAGATAGATAGACAGAGATAAAGATAGAGACAAAGATGGAGACAGAGATGGACATAGAGACAGATTTGCAGAAGATAAGTTCTAGGTGAACTAGTGTCAACATTAAAGTGGTATGCCTACATCTAACTATTCTGGAGAGAAAAACATACCTCAAAGAAATTGACTTAAATATATACAGAGAAAAAGTTTAAGCTGAAAGCTACTGCCTTTTTATATGAGACACTTTAGGAAATTACTTGGGGGGCAAGAGAGAAAATGGGTGGACATAGCTCAGAGGTTACACAGTAGCAGATATGTAGGATGAACAAGCCTAGAAATATAATGTACAACGCGAGAAATATAGGTAATAAAATTGTGCTGTATTTGGGATTCACGCTAAATGAGATTTTAAGCTCCTCTTGCCACCAAACAAAAAGAAAACGGGTAACTATCTGAGTTGAAGGATACGTTAATTTGCTTCACTGTAGTAATTTTTTTTAACCATCTATATGCATCCCATAAAATCATGTTGTATACCTTAAATACACAGAATACAATTTATTTAACATAAAAAACTACTCCAATATTTTCTGCATTTTTAATATGCTCACCCAAAGAAAGCATTAATTTGCATCTTTGATGTTAAACAGATAGCCTAATCAAGTCACTATCAAGATCAAGACTAAAAGTTACAGCTTTTTTCTTTTGATGCCTTTCAGATATATCTATTTATATATAAAAATATATATACACACACACATACATACACACACACATATATATGTAGTTATGTGTGTGTGTATATATAGTTACAGTTTTGGCCAGGTGCAATGGCTGACACCTGTAATCTCAGCCCTTTGGGAGACCAAGGCTGAAGACTTGCTTGAGGCCAGGAGTTTGAGACCAGCCTGGGCAACGAAGCAAGACCCTATCTCTACAATTTTTTTTTTAACAAAATTAGCCAGGGATGATGGCATGCACTTGTAGTCCCAGATACTTGGGAGGCTGAGGCGGAGGATCCCTTGAGCCCAGGAGTTCAAAGCTGCAATGGGCTGTTACTGTGCCACTGGATCCCAGTCTGAGCAACAGAGCAAGACTTTGTCTCAAAAACAAAATTTATAATTAAAGATAAATAGTTATAGTTTTATGAACCTTGACTGCAACTGAGGGAAAATCCCGTAATTGGCAAAATGAATTCTGCCTGCTTGCAAAACTTCTGACTAATACGGAATGAATAATAGGAAGCCCATATTAGAGGATCCACATCAGTTAAAAAGTTTCCAAATAAGAGTGACTCTGAGTTCTGCAGAGTGAAAAGATTGGGTTCAAACCAAACACTTGCAAGATCTTGAGTAAGATACTTAATCCCTCTGTGACTCACTGTTCTCAAATGTAAGTGAAGATAATTTGTAACTCAAAAAAAATGAAAAAGTTTTCTCTAAGATTGCAAATCCTAAGGATAATTTCATTTTAATATCAGTTATTTAGTCTGGATACACCATAATGCAGACTAATTTTCCCTCTGCTTAAAGACCACACAAAAACATTACCAATAAAATTTACTTGTGTATCAACTTTTACTCCTGAGACTTCATCGTTTGTTTGGTTAAAAAAAAAAAAAAAAAAAAAAAGCGCACTAGACCGGGCACAGTGGCCCATGTCTGTGATCTCACTTACGGAGGCCAAGGCAGGTGGATGAGTTTGAGAACAACCTGGGCAACATGGAAAAACCCCATCTCTACAAAAAAAAAATATAAAAATTAGTCAGGTGTGGTGGCACATAACTGTGGTCCCAGCTACTCCAGAGAGTGAGGCGGGAGGATTGCTTGAGCCCACGCAGAGGTTGCAGTGAATCAAGATGGCACCACTGCACTCCAGCCTGGGTGACAGAGCAAGACCCTGTCTCAAAAAAAAAAAAAAAAACACTATAAAATTGAAATTCACAACAAAATGTGCATACTTAACCTTCTTTTTATTTATTTATTTATTTATTTATTTATTTATTTTTAATATTTTGAGACAACATCTTGCTATGTTGCCTAGGCTGGTCTTGAACTCCTGGGTTCAAACCATCCTCCAGTCTTGACTTCCCAAAGTACTGGGACTACAGGTGTGAGCCACCAGCCCCGCCAGCCCTGTTACACTATTCTTGGCCCCTCAAGTGACTGTATGAATTTTAGGATGAGCCTCTCGAGTTCCACAAAAAAATTCTATTGGGATTTGTGTAGGAATTTCTTGAATTTATAGATTAATTTGTTGAGAAGTAGTATGTTTATAGCATTGAGTCCTACGATTCATAATATATATGGCATGTATTTCAGTTTAGTCAGTTCTTCCTTTAAGTCCCTGGGTAATTTTTATATTTGTCTTAGTCCCTTCATAGTGCTATAACAAAACACCTGAGACTGGGTAATTTACACAGAGCAGAAGTTTATTTTCTCAGTTCTGGAGGTTGGGAAGAACAAGATCAAGACTCCAGCAGACACAGTGTCTAGTGAGGGCCTGGTCTCTGCTTCCAAGATGGTACGTTGAATGCTGCTTCCTCTGGAGCAGGCAAATGCTATGTTCTCATGAGGCAGAAGGGACAGATTTACCACCACCCACAAGCCCTTTTATAAGGAAGGCACTAATCTCATGCATGAGGGCTCACCCTTATGTCTTAATCACTTCTTAAAGGCCCCACTTCTTAGTACTATCATCTTGGGAATTAAGTTTTAATACATGAATTTTGGGAGACACATTCAGGCTATGGCAATACTCTTCATGAAAGGCCTTGTGTATACTTTGCTAGATATATTCTCAGGGTTTTGTTGCTATTGTGAATAGAATCTCTTTTTTTTTTTTTTTTTTTTTGCCACGGAGTCTGGCTCCTTTGCCCAGGCTGGAGTGCAGTGGCACGATCTCGGCTCACTGCAAGCTCCGCCCCTCCAGGTTTAAGCAGCCTGTTGCCCAGGCTGGAATGCAGTAGCATAGTCATAGTTCAATACAGCCTCAAACTCCTGGGCCCAAATGATTCTCTAAGCTAATATTTTTAATTTTTTAGAGATGGAGTTTCATTCAAGGATCACTAAAGGCCAGTGATCCTCCCGCCTCAGCTTCTGAAATTGCTGGGATTACAGGTGTGATTGAGCCATGGAGCCTGGCCAGACATGGGCTATTGATTCTCGCTGTTACTCTTTTCCCTTTCCTTCTAATCCTTGTATTGGGAAGAAAACAGTATGGAAATTTTATTTCTTCATTTTATTGATACGTAGATCTCTGCTTAGAAGACAATTTTAGTTTTAAATTATAAATGTTTTGTTCATTATTCATAGAAAACTAGATTTGCCATGGGATGTTTATAAGTGTTGCACGAATGAAGGGTTTTCTAGTCAAATAAGTTGAAACACATTACGTTAAACAAACTTGGACAGTTTTGTTTCTGGTCAGTTTTAGAGTTCTAAATTATGATTCTACTCAAGAGGATATTGTATGCGGTATTTTCAAACCAACTCATCCTGCGTCAGGTTGTGGTTACGCTTTGGGAGAGGAAGCTATAATCTTATACTGAGACTGTAATGAATGTATTAAAGTAATTTTCGTAGCTTTCTCTTTTTGGAGTTACCTGAGAAATTATGACACCCTTTTCCAAACAGGCCAAGCTGCTTTGCAAACACGATTTCCATAATTTTAACAATGGTGAGGCCAGGCACGGTGGCTCATACCTGTAATTCCTTCCAGCACTTTGGGAAGCCTAGGCAGGAGGATCACTTAAGCCAGGAGTTCAATACCAGCCTGGGCAACATGGCAAAAACTCATCTCTACAAAAAATACAAATATTAGCCAGGCGTGGTGGCACACACCTATAGTCTCAGCTACTCAGAGGTTGAGGTGGGAAAATTGCTTCAGCTCAGGAGCTCGAGGCTGCAGTGAACGGTGATCACGCCACTGCACTCCAGCCTGGGTGACAGAGCAAGACCCTGTCTCAAAAACAAACAAAACAAAACACAAACCAAGGGTGAGAGAGATGTTAGATGTTTTTGTCCTTGTTACAGATGTAAATGCTCAGTTGGAAAGAGGGAAGTATTTAGAGTGAAAAACTTTCGGTGGAACACACACAAAAATAGGAAGATCAGGTATAACTGTTCCAAAAAAAAGAGTATGGCAGTATAGAAGAAAAGGTCTCCATGAAAATGCAGAAGAACAATTTCACAGCTGGTGCTGGCATTTCAGAGACCTTGAGCTGGGAATCAAAAGATGGGAATTTCAGTCTCGGATGTGCCACTCCTTAGAGGTTTAATATCTACTAAACCCGGCGGGCTCCACTTGGTGGTGTTTGCTATTTAAAAAAACAAAAACATGTGGCAATGATCTTCCACGTGATTCTGACTTGAGCCCCACCCGAGTCTGCAGACTTACCCTTCCACTGCTTTGCCCTTCAAGTTTGTGCCCATTAGCAAAGAGAAATTTTCTCTTTGGGATCACTGCTGTGTTGATCTCAGGAATAGTTGGCGTTGAATTTAACATATTTTTCATATGTGTGTGCAATAGGGAGGCTGAGAAACTTGTCTTTTTTTTAAGGTGTTCATTTTTGGGGTACAGGTAGCAGCCTGCTCTACAATCCACACAGAAGCTGGAAATAGCCTCTAGAGAATTTCCACTTTTAGAGAAGATAAATTTATACATTTGTATCTAATCAACATTTTTTAGCTAACATAGTAGTCTAATTATACTATGTATAATTATACTATGTATAATTATGGGTACTGAAATGACACCTGGCATATGCTGTATGCTGTGTTATATATACATATATATTTACACATATACATATATATTACACATATACATATATATTTACACACATATATTTACACATATACATATATTTACATATTTTGCATTTACATTTTACATTTATTTTACATTTTACATTTATTTTACATTTTACATTTACATTTGACATTCTACATTTATTTTACATTTACATATTTTACATTTACAAATATTTACATATTTTACATTTATATATATACATATATTTACGTACATATTTTTACATACATATTTACATGTGTATATATTTACATACATTCACATACATATTTACATATATACTTACATACATACATATTTACATAATATTTACATACACATATTACATACATATATGTACACATATACATATATTTACACATATACATATACTATGTATAATTATACTATGTATAATCATGGGTACTGAAATGACACCTGGCATATGCTGTATTTAAAAATGTGAGGTTCAATGAGAACACATGGACACAGGAAGGGAAACAACACATACTGGGGCCTGTCAGGGCGGGTGGGGGAGGAGCATCAGGAAAAATAGCTAATGCGTGCTGGGCTTAACACTGAGGTGATGAGTTGATAGGTGGACCAAACCACCATGGCACACGTTTCCCTACGTAACACTCCTGCACATGTACCCTAGAACTTAAAACAAAATTTTAAAAATAATAAAAAATAAAAATTTGAAATTCAGCACATAAACTGTTGGTTTTATTATTCATATTTTCTTAATTCAGAAATTATTTTCTGAACTATGGTTTATTCGATAATTTTGACGTAACAATTTTTTAAGAGGAAATTTAAGTTTTACTTTTTAATTGGGGCTCTTGGTTCTTTTTAAGAAAGACAGAGATAAATCATTTATACATTTAATTAGAAGAGACTGGGCTTGAATTTTTAAAAAGTACTAGAAATCGTAGCCACTATATATGTTATCTTTGAAATGTTTTAGACACTAATTACCTAAACAAGGAGCAAATAAGTTAAACCTCTTGGATTTTAATAAGAGCTAAAATGTACAGTTGTATTTTCTGGTTTTTTAAATTGTTACAGTCTAAATTTATTCTTCCTAATGAAGAAATGTATGTGCCGTCAATATCAGGTTCTTTGTGGGTACTCACAGTTCCCTTTGCCTTTTACGCAGTGAATGTGGGCAACATGCGTGGAACAGAAATGATGTCGTTTTCTTTCTTTTGAATATCACTATGAATCTAATAATTCAAAGATTCCTAACTTTCTGAATGCCATTATTAATTGGATTCACAATGACTTACCAGGTACAGAGTTGTCCAGTGTGTCTTGGGGTGAACTACTGAGAGTGGTATGAGGGAAGCGATTCTCAGCTAGCACTGAGTGGGGCCACTTCCAAAGAGGTGATGGGGTAAGAAGCACACACAATGTGGCATTTTCACTGCAAAGGGAGGTTTGTGCTGCCTCTCCTCCTGTGGCAGGTCTGCTCGCAGGGGAGGCTCCAAAGTTTGGCTTTGCTGGGTTTGGCATGTGAGAACTGATGAAATATCTGTATGTAGTATCTTTCAAGGATTTATATCGGTTGGATTTCTGTGTAAATTTGCATATCCCTTTGACTGCTTTACCCTATAGAAGCTTTGTATGCTTAACAAAATCTGTAACTTTTCTGTCACTTTCTCATTTAGCATCTGCCTTTCTGGCTTTTTACTTTATCTTTTTATTATTGTTTTTAGTTTAATGAGATTATGGTTAGAGAGAAAGATGGATGCATGATTCCGCTTCTTTGGAATTTGTTGAGATTTTCCTTATGGCTCAGTACATATGTACTTGGGGGGGGTGAATGCTGTCACTTTGGAGAGATATGTTTTTTCTCTACATTAGGTCAAGCTTGTTAATTTTCTAGAGAGATGTAAATCTTCTATGTCTATGCTGATTGTTTTTTGTCTCTTTTATCAGATACTGAGATATGTATTTAAATTGCCCTCTGAGGGTTGCAATTTTGTCATATTTTGCTTTCATGTATTTTGAGTGCTAGTTATTAGATACATTAACATTTTAGATTACCTTCTCCCTTGGTTTATTAGAATTTTTATCATCATATTGTGACCTTAAAAAATCTCCCATATTGCTTTTTGCCCAAAGCCTATTTTATCTGATAATAATATAGCTTCCAACCCTTCTTTGGGTTGGGTACATATGACATGTGTATCTTTTTTCAATCTCTCTCAGTCTTTCTGTGACTTTATGTTTTAGATGTCTTTTCATACTGTTTATTTTCTGTTTTTTGTGTTTTTTTTGTGTGTTTTTTTTTTTGATACGGAGTCTTGCTCTGTTGCCCAGGCTGGAGTGTAATGGTGTGATCTCGGCACTGCAACCTCTGCCTCCTGGATTCAAGCGATTCTCCTGCCTCAGCCTCCTGAGTAACTGGGATTACAGATGTTCACCACCACGCCGGCTAATTTTTGTATTAGCAGAGATGGGGTTTCACCATGTTGGTCAGGCTGCTCTCGAACTCCTGACCTTGTGATCCCTCCGCCTGCCTCATCCTCCCAAAGTGCTGGGATTACAGGCATGAGCCACCACGCGTGCCCTAATTCTGTTTTATAGTCATTTTCTCTTAATTATTCAGTCTATTTACATTTATTGTGATTGTTGGCATAGTTTCTTTTATAACTTTCATCGTATTTTGTGCTATTTGTTCCATCTGTTTTTATTTCTTCATGTCTTTTTTGTCTCGTTTTTGCTAATTCCTTTTATATTCATGGTTATTCTGCTCTTGAAATGTATGCTATGTGAATATATTTGTGAGTTGACAATACTTTATTAGCAATTAAATATACTATTTCTCTTTTTTTTTAGAACTTGCTCAAATGTTACATAACCTCAATATCCTTAGTATCTAAATTAAACTGACTTTCTGAACAATCATCATTTTAAGGCAGTTACCACGATCTACTAAAAAATAAAAAAAAATTAGCCGGGTGTGGTGGTGGGCGCCTGTAATCCCAGCTACTCAGGAGGCTGAGGCAGGAGAATCCCTTGACCCTGGGAGGCAGAGGCTGCAGTGAGCCGAGATAGCGCCACTGCACTCCAGCCTGGGCGACAGAGAGACTCCGTCTCAAAAAAAAAAAAAATAATAATAATAATAAAGGAATTTAAAAAAAGACTGGGTTTAACCATGTTGCCCAGGCCGGTCTGGAACTCCTAGGCTCAAGCAATCCCCCACGCTTGGCCAGTCCAAAGTCCTGGAATCAAAAGCGTGAGCCACCACGCCAGGCCGATCACGCCTGTCATCCCAGCACTTGGGGAGGCGGAGGTGGGTGGATCACCGGAGGTCAGGAATTTGAGACCAGCCTGGCCAACATGATGAAAACCCGTCTCTACTAAAAATACAAAAAAAAAAAATTAGCCGGGTGTGGCGGCAGGTGCCTGTAATCCCAGCTACTCAGGAGGCTGAGGCAGGAGAACCACCAAAACCCGGGATGCAGAATTCGCCGCGAGCGGAGACCCAGCCACTGCACTCCAGCCTGGGCAACAAGAGGGAAACTCCGCCTCAAAAAAAAAAAAAAATAATAATAATAAGAGACAGATTTTCACCATGTTGCCCAGGCAGGTCTGGAACTCTTAGGCTCAAGCAATTCCCCACGCTCGGTTGTCCAAAGTCCTGGGATCAAAAGCGTGAGCCACCACGCCAGGCCGATCTATTTCTTTCTGATTAATAAATTGGGCCAGGAGGGTGGCTCACGCCTGCAGTCCCAGCACCCCGGGAGGCCGTGGCGGGCGGATCACCTGAGGTCGGGAGTTTGAGACCAGCCTGACCAACATGGAGAGACCTGTCTCTACCAGAAAAAAAAAAAAAAAAAGAGCCGGGCATGGTGGCTCCCGCCTGCAATCCCAGTCACTCGGAGGCTGAGGCAGGAGAACCACCCAAACCCAGAGGCAGAGGCCGCGGGGAGCCGACACCGCACCACTGCACTCCAGCCCTGCAACAAGAGGGAAACTATGCCTCAAAAAAAAAAAAAAGAGAGAGAGAGAGAGAGACCGGTTTTCACCATGTTGCCCAGGCTGGTCTAGAACTCCTAGGATCAAGGGATCCGCCACGCTCGGCCCGTCCAAACTCCTGGGATCAAAAGCGTGAGCCACCACGCCAGGCCGATCCTTCCTGTCATCCCAGCACTTTGGGAGGCCGAGGTGGGTTTACCTGAGGTCCGGAGTTCGAGACCAGCCTGGCCAACATGATGAAAACCCATCTCTACTAAAAATACAAAATAAATAAATAAATAAATAAATAAATAAAAATTAGATGGGTGTGCTAGCGGGCGCCTGTAATCTCAGCTACTCAGGCGGCTGAGGCAGGAGAATCACTTGAACCTGGGAGGCAGAGGTTGCAGTGAGCCGAGACAGCGCACCACTGCACTCCAGCCTGGGTGACAAAGTGAGACTCCGTCTCAAAAGTATATATATATAAAAATAAAAAATGAAATAAAAATAAATTGGGTGTGTGCGCTGGCTCACGCCTGCAATTCCAGCATCCCCAGAGGCCGAGGTGGGCGGATAACCTGAGGTCTGGAGTTTGAGATCAGCTTGCCCAGCATGGAGAAACCCCGTCTCTACCAAAAACAAATAAAAAAAAATTAGCAGAGCAATGTTGGTCAGGCCTGCAATCCCAGCCACTCCGGAGACTGAGGCAGGAGAACTACTAAAACCCTGGAGGCAGAAGTCGCTGCGAGCGGAGACCCAGCCACTGCACTCCACCCTGGGCAACAAGAGCGAAACTCCGCCTCATAAAAAAAAAAAAAGAGAGAGAGACCGGGTTTCACCATGTTGCCCAGGCAGGTCTGGAACTCCTAGGCTCAAGGGATACCCCGCGCTGGGCCATCCAAAGTACTGGGATCACAAGCGTGAGCCACCACACCAGGACGATCTATTCCTTTCTGATTAACAAATTGGGCCGGGAGCGGTGGCTCAAGCCTGCAATCCTAGCACCTCGGGAGGCCTAGGCAGGTGGATCACCTGAGGTCGGGAGTTTGAGACCAGCCTGACCAACAGGGAGAAACCCCATCTGTACCAAAATAAAAATAAAAAAAAAATACAAAATTAGCCGGGCTTGGTGGCTTATGCCTGCAATCCCAGCCACTCTGGAGGCTGATGCAGGACAACGACCGAAACCCGGGAGGCGGAAGTCGCGGCAAGCAGAGACCCAGCCACTGCATTCCAGCCTGGGCAACAAGAGCGAAACTCCGTCTCAAAACAACACAAAACAAAAAGACCAGGTTTCACCATGTTGCCCAGGCCTGTCTGGAACTCCAAGGCACAAGCGATCCACCCTACTTGGCCGTCCAAAGTCCTGGGATCACAAGAGTGAGCCACCACGCCAGGCAGATCAAAGCGTTGAGCTGAATAAAGAGTTATCTTTTAGCATTTTGTGGAGCCCGGGTAGATCTGTGCAGGGGGAAGCATATTACAGAAGCGAGAAACAGAGGGTTATTTAATTGAAGCACGCATTATGTTTTTTTTTTTTTTTATGTTTTTAGGAAAAATATGTTTTGTGACTTGCATTCGTTTGTTTAGTGACCTTGCAGTTGCACAGTTAGGGAATTAGGGTTTTGATAATGCCTGGGAAGGGAGCGATAAGGCTCACTAGCCATAGGAAAACAGGTAGTTTTTTTAAAGGACTAAGGCTCTTTCTCATTCTCAGGGGGAATTGGTTTTTTTTTACATACAGCTGAGTTTTTGCTTACACATTTTTTCATTTCTTTTAATTCCTGTTCCAATGCCAGCATCCTTGCGGTGCGGTTTCCCAGCGGCTCTCTTGCCTTGCAGCTTGTGTCGGGAGTTGCAGACAGCCATGGCCCATGGGCCTGGCGCTGACGGACCCTGGAGCGGTGTCTGAGGGAGGTGGGCAAAGCCACTGGCTGGCCCGAGAGCATCCTCACGTAAGTGCACAGATCCCGGGCTTGGGTGCGACTGCGGTCGCACGTGGACACGGGTTGCAGACCCCTGGCAAATTGTGGAGCTGGGGGAAGGTAAGGGGAAATGTAAATCACTTTTCCCCACATTTCAGAGGACCTAGGCTATCAAAATTTTAAAAATTGTTAAAACTTTTACAGTATGGATCTCTCAGTTGAATGTTATTGAAATCAACCTAACCTCAGTTATTCACGCCTATAAGCTCCCCTTGAGGCTTATTACGGCCCCCATCCCCCTACACACAACTGTGTTGGTTTCTCCTTCCGCCTGTGCTCCTAAAGCACTCAGTGTTTACCTGCCATCATACTTTATTGAAAACACAAACTTGTCACTTGTCTGTCTACCCCACTAAGCTTCTTGAGAATTAGAACTTTCAT
Source organism: Homo sapiens (assembly GCF_000001405.40). Lineage (NCBI taxonomy): Eukaryota > Metazoa > Chordata > Mammalia > Primates > Hominidae > Homo > Homo sapiens. The sequence continues at coordinate 708,420 of NW_011332701.1, forward strand.
GTCTCTTCCCAACACAAACGTTTTATGTGTATTTTGTTGAAGAACTTCAAATATGACCTATAAAATTATGACTCATTTATGTTTCAAACTCCAACCTCTCCCTTGAGTTCCTTGCTCACAAGCAACTCCAGACTGAGCTTAGTTGGAATTCAGTAGCGCACAACTGGGATATCCGCACCGTACGGTTTTTAACAATTTTTTAAATTTTGGTCCTCTCAGCATCACAAATTCACTGTGTCCAAAATACAGTAGAATGCTGTTTCTACCCACCTACACTCTGCCATCCGCTGAAGTCCTTTCCCCTTGCTCCACCACTCAAGCCTTGCCTATCGCACTAAATGGCAGTTCTGTCTCTCCAGTTGCTCGCACATAAAACTAGGCTGCTATTTTGATGTCTTCACTTTTCTCTATTCTGTATCTAATTCCTTAGCAATCCTGTCAGTTCTACCTCCAAACTGTACTCAGCATATTCACTGCTCTAACTCCAGCTTAAATCACCATCATCCTTTGCCTGGAATGCTGCATCAACCTTCTAATCACTCTACTTTCCTCCTCCTCCTTCCTCCCTTTCTTCTTCCTTCGTATAAATCATCATTTCATCCTTCTGCTTAAAATCTTCTCATATTTTCTTATTACACTTAAAACGGCAAACTCTTACCCTTGAGCCCTGCAGAATTTGGCTCCCATCAGTCTCTCCAACTTCACCTTCTGCCTCCTTCACGCTATAGCCATGCTCACTTTTTTTATTCCTCAGGCTTACCAAGCTCAATTGCATCTTAGAGAATTTGTTCTTGCTGTTTCTTCCGCCTGGAATACATGTTTCCCAATCTTTATAAGACTATACTTGTCTGTAAGTTTCATCTCAGATGTCACATCTAGGAGAGGTTTTCCTTGACCACTGTAGCCAAAGCAAATGTTGATCATTGAGTGAATAAGGGAATGAATGAATGGAGTGGTATATAATGTAGCAGAGTAGATAATTTAAGGCTAATTCACTATATATCTCCAAGCAAATAGATTTGTAATGCTTTTCCTGCCAACAATCTATACAGCTGATTCACAAATACTTGGTTGACAGGTTTTATATATCATTGTGGCTCATCAGCTTATATATTGTTGGGGCCAGAATCTATACTTACACTTTATTCAAATTTGATTTTACAGAAGAGTTGAGGTTTTTATTTTTCTTTTAATTAAGAGGGCTGTGAAATTATTATCTATAATTCTAAATCTCATTTAATTCCTCCCAATAGGTTTCAAGATGGATTGGAACCAAAGTTCACTTCTTTAACAAAAGTGCTTTATGACTTTAATAAAACAGTAGAGAATGGTAGAATCCATGGCAGCTCTTTACAAAAACTTGTGATAGAAAGTTTTGATGATGAGCAGACTTTGCAACAACTGGAATTGCAAAATGAAGCAATTTTACCGTGCTTCCAGAATGCGGTTAGTGAAAGAAAGATGAAGATATCAGTCTTCTCCCAGAGAGTGAAGAACAGGAGCATGAAGAGGCTGGTTCAGAAACAGAGGCTGATGGCCAGGAGGACCTAGAAGATTTAGAGGAGGAGGAGGACGTGTCAGATATGGGTGGTGACAATCCTGAAATGGGTGAGAGAGCTAAAAACTCAAGCAAATTCAGGGCCAGGCGCGGTGGCTCACGCCTGTAATCCCAGCACTTTGGGAGGCCGAGGCAGGTGGATCACGAGGTCAGGAGATCGAGACCATCCTGGCTAACAAGGTGAAACCCCATCTCTACTAAACATACAAAAAATTAGCCAGGCGTGGTGGCAGGTGCCTGTAGTCCCAGCTACTCGGGAGGCTGAGGCAGGAGAATGCCATGAACCCGGGAGGTGGAGCTTGCAGTGAGCCTAGATCACGCCACTGCAGTCCAGCTGGGCGGCAGAGTGAGAGACTGCATCTCAAAAACAAAAACAACAATTACTTAACTTTAGGATGCTCCAATAATCAAAATTGATAGTGGCTTGTGAACAGATAGATTACTTGAATAGAATAGAGCCCAGAAATAAACCCAAATGCTTCTGGGGGAGTTTGGTACATTATAAACATGAGATTTTAAATCAATGAGGAAAAGAAATCATTTGCAGCTCACCCCACCATACACAGCAGGAATAGGAAGTCATTGGCAGAATAAAAAGATGGTAAGAACAGAACAGAATTGTAGAACAGTACATTTCTTGCTTCCCCACTTTTCAAAGTATTTTTTGCTTTTTCACAAATGTAAGTGTAATTTTATTTTCTAAATGTATACTAATTCTTTTCTTCTCTTTCTTAGATGAATGACAAAAATTACATCTTTAGAAAAAGAGTTGTTAGAAAAAAGCCTTGGCTGCATGTGGGGGAAGTGACAGCACAGAAGAGACCAGAGAAGAGCCTCCTGGAGGAGAGCCTGCACTTTGACCATGCTGTCCGGATGGGTGCAGTGCTCTTTTCTGCAAAGTGTTCACTTCTCTGCTTTTTCTGTGGTCCCATTTCATAGAAAGATTTGGGGTGATGTTTCTTTCCCTCAACTTTTATTTTGAAAACTTGCAAACACAGAAAAGTTGATAAAATCATACAGTGAACATCTGTATGCTATTCAACTGGATTCACTAGTTAATGTTTTGTCACACTTGTTTTCTGTCTTCTGCGTATGGAAGATTGTATATGTGCCCTTTTTCCCTCTGAATCATTTCAAAGTAAGTTGGCAGTATCAGAGCATTTCACTGTTAAGTACTTTCGCAGATATCTTCTAGGAACCAGGACTTCTCCTATGTAATCACAATACCATTAATCCACCCCCAAAATTTAACATCAATACACTAATGATACCTACTGTATAGATTATAATCAGCTTCCTTGCAGCAATCTGTTTAGAAGGCTTGCATCCTGTCACTGTCCACTGATTAAATTTTGAACTCTAACTTGAAACCCTGGTCATCTCATTGCCTTCTTTCTTATACCCATTAAGTCAAAAGGAGCTCTCATTTTATTTCAACAGAAAAGAGAATGGAAAAGAGGGGAAGAGTCCCTAGTACCTTGGATAAAGTATGAGCACTTACTACCATATGTATTCTAGTTCTGTAGTTTTCAAACTTCAGGGAGCATCTCAAGGCTTATTAAAGCACAGATAGCTGTCCTTCCCCACTTTCTGATTCAGGAGGTGTGGGGCTGGCCCAGGAATTTGCATGTCTAACAAGTTCCCACGTGTTTCTGATGCTGAGGGTCTAAGGACTACAATGCATGAATCCGTGGTTTAGTGGATATCCACCTAATGAATACATGTTGTATTTCCTTTGGCACCCGTGATTACAGAGGAAACACCTTTCAACTGGAAGGTATCATTAAACAGAGGATAAGAGATCAGGTCAGTAAGAATTAAATTTCACTTAATTGAAATGTCACTCAAATGTTTAGAAATAATATGACAGGCCAGGCACAGTGGCTCATGCCTGTAATCCCAGCACTTTGGGAGGCCAAGGCAGACGGATCACTTGAGGTCAGGAGTTCGAGACCAGCCTGTCCAAGATGGTAAAACTTCCTCTCTACTAAAAATACAAAAATTAGCTGGGCATGGTGGTGCATGCCTATAGTCCCAGGTACTCGGGAGGCTGAGGCAGGGGAATCGCTTGATCTCGGGATATGGAGGTTGCAGTGAGCTGAGATGCGCCACCGCACTCCAGCCTGGGCAACAGAGTGAGACTCCATCTCAACATAAATAAATAAATAAATAAATAAATAAATAAATAAATAAATAAGATAAAAATAAAAATAAAGGGAAGATGGGGCAGCTTTGTGTATTGCATGTCCTGAAAACGGGCTGATTTCTCTCAAGAGGCAGGGATTTAAGCTCTGTAGCCTATGTGGGATACATACAGGAGAAAAAAGAAGAAAAAGAAAAGAAATGTAAATATAAATAAATGAAAATAACACTTTTCCATGATTATAAAGGAAATCACATTGTTTTTGTAATAATTTGGATGACAAAATGTAAAGAAAAATCTTTAATTTTGCCACTCAAAACATTCCGGTTTGTTGCTTTTCACACTTTTTATGCTGTAAACATTTTAAAAAGTAGAATCACAATACATGGTCTTTTGTCACTTACTATATTTTAAGCATGTTTCTATGGGAGAAATATATCCTGGCATCATCACTTTCAACAGCTGGATGTATGTTAAGTGAATCATTGCCACCCCAGAGGTGGATTTCCTTCTATATATATTTTAATGGACTCGAGTGAGGATTTTTGCACTGAATTCATAGAAGTAGAATTTCTAGAAGAAAATAATATAAAACAGTTTTAGGATTTTTAAAACAAATGTTCAAATCATCCTATAGGAAAATTGGTTGAGTTTACGCTCCCACCAACAGGGACAGAGCTCCAGGTTCCGCCTTCCATTTGTCGTCTTCGCTGGTCTTTAAGCAGAAAATCTCATTGTTTTCATTACCTTTCTTTGATTTCTAGTGCTTTTGAATCTTTTTCATTTGCTCATTGGCCATTTTTATTCTTGTGGGAAGTGCTGGTTTCTCCATTGCCCATTTTCTGCTGCAAATCATTCATTTTTTTTTTCTGAGTAATTTAAAAGATTTCTTTATAGGCTAAGGATACAAACCTTTAATCTGTCATTGAGGTTACAAAGATCTTCTCCCAGTAAGTAATTTGTCATTTCACTTTATTTATTTATTTTTTGCTAGCAAAGCACCAAAGTCAAATTTCACTTAATTTTTATCCTGCTGAATGAACACATTTTAAGTTAGTGATTTTAGTGGAAACAGGAGCAGGACAGAATGTAATAATTAGCTCTCGCTCTGTCACCCCAACTGGAGTGCAGTGGCATGATCATAGCTACTGCAGCCTCAAACTTCTGGGCTCAAGTGATTTTCCCACCTCAGCCTCCCAAGTAGCTCTAGGACTACAGGTGTGTGCCGCCAAGCCCAGCTAATTTTTAAATTTTCTTTGTAGAGATATGAATTCGCTATGCTGCCCAGGCTGGTCTTTAACTCCTGACTTACCCCACCTTAGCTTGCCAATATGCTGGGAGTACGGGCGTGAACTACTGCTCCCGGCCAAGAGCTTACTTTGGTTTGCTAGCAAGGTTCTTGGTATCTTTTTATATTTGAGGCTTTCGTGCTAGTGCTGAAGTATTACACTCACCATCTGAGGTTTACAGGACTTTTGTTTTAATATTGAACCGAGGGAACTGTTTAGTTTTGCATCTTTGCAGGTATACAAAATGTGCCTACCAGGACTCTGCTTTATATCCATTGAAAAGCAAGAAGTAATACAGTAAAAGTTTGCCTGGCTACAGGCTTTGGAAGAATGGAGTATTCTGGTTTAATTCTATTAACTTGGAAGGATGAAGGTGGAAAAAATTCAAACCTTTAATTTCCTGTTGAATGCAATTTGAAAATATAGCCAATGAGTCCACTTTTCTTCTCTAGTAAGTTTGGACATTCAGATCTACTTGGTCTTTTATCATAGAACTCCTAGTGCGCCTGAGTCTTACGTTGTGAAAATCCTTTTCTAAAACTTTAGATGTAAGAGGATAGAAATGATATTGGATGAGATCAGGCTGGATGAGAACTGATACCTGTAGATATATTTTTTAGATGAAATCTCTGATTGCCACACGTTTTCTTATTGAACTCATAAAAATAAAACACACTGGCTGGAGGGTGGAAGTAGGAAGGAGATTTATGTCTTTTAATTGCATGTCATTGTTTCATATTGAGACAGAACATATAGTATCCCTGGCTTTGGACCTACAGAAGGAAACACATTTTTCTACCTGCTGTATGGCAGAGGTTCCTGAGCACCTGGAGGGATTATTGCAGCACGGATTGCTGGGCCCTACTGCAGAGTTTCTGATTCATTCATGTCTAGGGTGGGGCCTGAGAATTTACATTTATAAGAAGTTCCCAGGTGCTCCTGGTCCGGAGACTACATGTTTGAGAGCCACCCTTACATACTAACTGTAAATTGTAGAACTCTAGAAAAAAGCGTAGTTTGGACTGGGAGAAGAAGCACACAGGTAATGGAGCAAATCATGAAAAAGTCAACCCTTGATCCCAGGTAACAAGCAATACACAGTGACATAACACAATTCTTGGTTTTCATGATTGCAAGTCATAGCCAAGTATCGAGTGAGAAATTCAGTTTCATTTTCAGGGCTTAGAGGCCAGGTGATTCTAGAAAAATCGGATTTAGTGATTAACTCATGAGAGTAGGAGTTATTTATGTCCTTTTTCTCTCCCCCATCACTTAGCATTTAGCCTTACTTTAGAAGGGTCCTGTATTTGCTTTAACCTTGTAAAGAACTTTGAGTGCTTATTAAATGGAAAGCCTTGTGTGTGTGTGTGTGTGTGTGTGTGTGTGTCTGTGCGTGTGTGTGTGTGTGTGTGTGTGTATTTAGAGACAGAGTCACATTCTGTAGCAGCCCAGGCTGAAGTGCAGTGGCATGATTTTGGCTCACTGCAACCTCTGCCTCACAGGTTCAAGGGATTCTCCTGCCTCAGCCTCCCAAGTAGCTAGGATTACAGGCACCTGCCACCATGCCCAGCTACTTTTGTATTTTTAGTAGAGACAGGATTTCATCATGTTGGCCAGGCTGGTCTTGAACTCCTGAATTCGGGTGATCCACCCGCCCCAGCCTCCCAAAGTGCTGGGATTACAGGCATGAGCCATCATGCCTGGCTCAAAGCTTTGTATTTTTAAAGATATTAGACATGTTTCTTGTTTGTTTGTTTTTTTTAAAAAAACTAAACGCTAATGTAGGAGAATAAGAGAAAGTTTTTCCAAAAAAGAGAAAACATTGTGATTATCTTATTGGAATGTTGGATAATAAAGTCTGCTTTATCAATCATCAAGCACACTATAAAATTTCCATTTTAATAGGACTTGTACCTCAATTGAGGTAATAAAGTTTTAAAGTTTTTAAAGTGAAAGCCAGCCCCGCCCCTCTCCTGGAGTGGGCGGGGACAGCGGTTGCATAGGCAGCTTTCCTTGTGACAACACAGGTCCTTGATGACACGCTGCTGTCTGGCCACACCTCCTTTTCCTTTCATCTTTCTCATTGACCAATGGGCTTCAAGCATGAAGGCCACACCCCTATTCTGCATTCTAGTGCAGCCCTGGTTACGCCTCCTCTGGCTCAGTCACACAGCGACGTAGAGGTGACTGGAGGTATATACTTGTCCTCACCTGGATCATGCTGATGTGGCCCCAACCCCACCTCCCTACCCATCCCCACCTCCCTACCCATCCCCACCTCCCTACCCATCCCCACCTCCCTACCCATCCTATGATGTCCAAAGAAACCAGACAGAGCAAATTGGCCGAGGCCAAGGAACAGGTAAACGCACCAACACCCCAACCCAACCCGAGGCCCCCTCTGACAGCCGAACTGCTGCCAGAGTCTGTGCCACTCCTGAGGGACACCAGGCTGGGCCCCCCACCCCAGTGCCTCTGGGCTCCCCACACCAAAATCTTGTCAGCCAGCCCAACCCCCTCATAAGTCCTGCCCCTGCTCTGCCCGGCACACCAGGGTGACTTTGAGCAGGTGACTCCTGGGGCTTCCAACTCCATACTCCGCCCTTACCTCCTGCTACCCCAAACCCGACCTCCCTGGGCTCCTTGAGCTCACAGCTCCAAGGACCTGGGTGCCCCAGAACCTGCCCTCACCAGTTGCCACAGGGTGACTTTGGGGATGTGACTCCTGGAGCTCCTTGCTCCTTAATTGGCCCTCACCTCCTGCCGCCCCAAGCCTGACCTCCCGGGGCTCTTTGGGGTCACGTCTCCAAGGACCTGGCTCCCAATTTTGTGACCCCCTCCCCAGTCTCAAAGCGGCAACTTGGGCATTGCACTCATGTGTCCCCCCCAACCACTCCACCGAGGAGTAGAATGTAGTGATGTCACAGTCCCGCTACAAACTGTCATTACTACCACAAGACCGGCCTTTGGTCTTAGGACCCAGTCCCCTAAGTGTTCTTGCCCACTTCTGTTTCCTCTGGTTGCAGCACAGGTTTCCAGCTGGAAGGGGAATGGGGACTGTGGGACCTAGAAGAGAGAGGTTTCAGGCTGCCTGACTTCCTTACCACAGACCTTGACAGTGTGAAAAGCCTACACCTCCCCCATGAGCTCAACACGTTGACAGTGTCTCTGGGTGGCAATGGGAGAACGGGTTTGGTTTGGTTTTCTCCCAGGCTTCTACTCTCCAGAGAGATTTTAACATTTTTTCTCAGTTCTGCACCTCAGATTTGAATTCTCCATTGTTCTGGGACCAGAGTGCCCCTCAGTCACTGGTTCTGGAGTGAGATCTGCTTATCTTCTGTGGAACAGATCTTGGGAAACTGAACTTAGCTTGAGTCTTCCTCATCTCATCTCAACCTGGGGTACTTTGAGTGCCACAGGATAAATATGGGGCATCTTTCTGAAGCATCAGTTTCCCTTGATTCTATTGAGAGACAAAACATTAATGTACTTAGGGATGAAAGTCACATAGATTTATAAGCGTATACAAGACTTCTCTCTGAAATGAGGCTTGGGTTGTCCTCTTTCTGTTAAATTCCCAGATTTAGCAGAAAGGCTGCCTTCTGCCATGAGGAGACATTGATGTAAAGGTTTGAGAGGTACTGGTGTACTTTTTAACACTAACAGACGTGTGAGGGTGAATAACCCTAAACCACATAGTGCACAGTTCCTGCCTACTTAATATTTGCTTTTCTACCTCTGCCTCTGGTTTTGGTCCCTGGCAGCTGCTGATTTAGGGCAAAATCCCAGAGCTCAGAGTCAGAAGACTGAGTTTAAGTTCCATTACTGCCTTTTTTTTCAGCCATGGTATCAATCTCTCTCAGTCACTAAGTGATTGTGACAACATTTCCTACAGTTGGTGGCATTAAATCAGATGGTCTATAAGAGTATTTAGTATAAACTGTAAAGCAGGATGTGACTGTAGGAGCTTGTAGTTCTCATGAGTATCACTGCTCTTCCTTTCCACAGTTGACAGACCATCATCCCCAGACCAACCCTAGTGTTGGTACAGCAGCAAGCGACACCAAAAAGAAGAAAATAAATAATGGCACTAACCCTGAGACAACCAC